>NW_018654717.1:3653299-3954880 GCF_000001405.40 Homo sapiens
CCGCTCTAGTAGTCTGCAATGTCTACTGTTCCCATGTTTATGTCCACATGTGCTCAATGTTTAGATCCCACTTATAAGTGAGAACATGTGATATGTAGTTTTCTGTTCCTACATTAATTCGTTTAGGTTAATGGCCTCTGGCTCCATTCATATTGCTGCAAAGGGCATGACTTCATTCTTTTTCAGGGCTGTGTGGTATTCCATGGTGTATATGTACCACATTTTCTTTATCCAATCCACCACTGATAGGCACCTAGGTTGATTCCATGTCTTCGCTATTGTGAATGGCATGGCAATGAACATACAACTTCATGTATCTTTTTGGTATGATAATCTATTTTCCTTTGTGTATAGATCTAGTAATGGGATTGCTGGGCCTAATGGTAGCTCTGTTTTAAGTTGAGAAATTTCCAAACTGCATTCCACAGTGTATAAGCATTGCTTTTTCTCTGCAAATTTGTCAGTATCTATTGTCTTTTGACTTTTTAATAACAGCCATTCTGAGTGGTGTGAGACAGTATCTCATTGTGGTTGTGATTTGCGTTTCTCTGATGATTAGTAATGATAAGCATTTTTTCATGTTTGTTGGCTGCTTGTATGTCTTATTTTGAAAAATGTCTGTTCATGTCCTTTGCCTACTTTTTGATGGGACTGATTTTTGCTTTGAATTAAGCTCCTTATAGATCCTGGATATTAGACCTTTGTCAGATGCATAGTTTATGAGTATTTTCTCCCATTCTGTAGATTGTCTATTTACTCTGCTGGTAGTTTCTTTTGCTGTGCAGAAGCTCTTTAATTAGGTCCCACTTGTCAGTTTTTATTTTTATTACAACTGCTTTTGGAGACTTAGCCAAAAATTCTCTGCTAAGGCTGATGCTGAGGATGGTATTTCCTAGGTTTTTCTCTAGAATTTTTATAGTTTTAGGTTTTATAATTAAATTCTTAATCCATATTGAGTTAACTTTTGTATATGAGGAAAGGTAAGGGTCCCATTTCATTCTTCTGCATATGGCTAGCCAACTATCCCAGCACTATTTCTTGCATAGGGAATCCTTTCCCCATTAATTGTTTTCGTTGGACTTGTGGAAGATCAGATGATTATAGGTATGTGGCTTAATTTCTGAGCTTCCTATTCCATTCCATCAGTCTACGTGTCTGTTTTTTGTATCAGTGCCATGCTGTTTTCTTTATTGTAGCCTGACAGTATAGTTTGAATTTGGGTAGTGTGACGCCTCTGGCTTTGTTTTTTGCTTAGGATTGCTTTGGCTACTTGGGCTGTTCTTTGGTTCCATATGATTTTTAGAATAGTTTTTTCTAATTTTTTGAAGAATGATGTTGATTGTTGGATAGGAATAGCACTGAACCTGTAAACTGCTTTGGGCAGTATGGCCACTTTAATGATACTGATTCTTCCAATCCATGAGCATGGAATATTATTCCATTTGTTTGTATCATCTCTGATTTCTTTCAGCAGTGTTTTATAGTTTTCCTTGTAGAGATCTTTCATCTCTCTGGGATAGCTATATCCCCAGCTATTTCATTTTATTTGTGGCTACTGTAAATGGGATTGAGATCTTGATTTGACTCTCAGCCTGGATGCTCATGGTGTATAGAAATGCCACTGATTTTTGTACATGGATTTTGTATACTGAAACCTTGCTAAAATCGTTTATCAGTTCTAGCAGCCTTTTGGTGGTGTCTTTACGGTTTTTTATACTTAGAATAAAATCATAGTGTCAGTGAAGAGAGGTAGTTTGACTTGTTTTTTTTCCCTATCCAGATGCCTTTTATTTCTTTTTCTTGCCTGACTGCTCTAGCTAGAACTTCCTCATGTTATTTCTTAGTGGTCATTTATCAGTCCTTATCTTATCTGACCTTATTAGCATTATTTGGTATCGATGATCACTTCTTCCTCCTTAAAATGTTTTCTTCCTTGGCATCTAGTTCACCACACTCCTTATTTTCCTCCTCCCTAGCTGGTTACCCCTTCTCAGTCCTTGCTGGTTGGTTTTCATTCTCTTGACATTGGAGTACTCCAAAAGTCTGTCCTTAAACCTCTTTTCTACATTGTCTAACTCATTCCTTTGGTGAGCTCATGCAGTCTTGTAGCTTTAAATAGCACCCATGAACTGACAACTCCCCAGTTATATCTCCAACCTAGTCCTCTTTGCTAACTTCCATACTGTGGAGGTTACTGGTTACTATATGGAGTAAATGACATATAGTCATATGCTATAATCCAACTGCCTATGTGACATCACTACATGATATATGTAAGACTTCTCATGCTTTTCTCCTGTCTAAAATGGAGCTCCCCCTAGTGCTTCCCTTGAAACATATGCTGCAGAATTTCTTGTTAATGACAACGCCATCCTTTTAGTTACTCAGGCCAAAAACTTTGGGAGTCTTTCTTCATTCCCATCTTTTTCCCACACACTATGCTCAACCCATCAGACTATTTCTCTTGGAGACTATGCCTCCAAAATATATCCAGAATCCAATCACTTCTCACCACATCTACTGTCACCTACTTGAAGACAGTATCCTCTCTCAGCTGGCTAGTGGCAACAGCCTTCTACTAGGTCTCCTTGCTTCCAGTATAATCCCCTTAGAGTAACACAACATGACAGCAGAGTAATCCTGTTAAAACCTAAGTTAGGTATACAAATCTTGTGCTCAAAATCTTCCAGTGGGTCTTCATCTCACTCTAAGAAGAAACTGAAGTGTTTAAAATGTTCTAGAAGGCCATAAGCAATCTCCCTGACTACATCCCACCCCACAACTTTCCAACTTCACCTTTTCCTCTCCCCTTTCTTCACTCCACTCCACTTCATGCAACTCAAATGCCACAATTATCAGTTAGCTAGAACCACTGAGAATTAAAGTAACTTCTGAAAAAATTAAGTTAGTAACAAAATATGAATATTTAATTTCATACATAACTTCTTAATAAATCCAAACAATGATGGAAGGTAAAATCTTCCTAAGGATTAATATTAGAATTAAAAGTTCTTATGGATTCATAATGTAGCTATCTGCTTTGGAAGACCTATATACTGTTATGTGCCTGGAATACAAAAATTTAATGACTACATCTTTTGATTTCCCCACTGAGCAATAAAATCATGACAACTATCAGTATGTCTAGATGTATTATCACATACTTAATCCAAATGGAATTTTAGCATTTACATTTTAATATAAAATATATGTTGTTATCTCACAAATGACTGCTGGGTACATAAGAAAAGGTTTCCTTGCTCTGATAATGCTGGGGAAGTTTTTCAAGTTATAACTACCATCTAGACAGAATAGCCTAGCATCTAGCTCACCTTTCATCTAAAAGCATAAAATATAAATATTTTTAATTTCTTAGGACTATTATTATTATTGAACAAAATTTTTAAATGAGATTCCAAAATACCAATGTTCCATATAATTACCTGTTTTCTTCTTGTTCTGTCTTTGGACAATATCTTTTTTTTTTTTTTTGAGACGGAGTCTCGCTCTGTTGCCCAGGCTGGAGCGCAGTGGGGTGATCTCGGCTCACTGCAGCCTCCGCCTCCTAAGTTCAAGCAATTCTCCTGCCTCAGCCTCCCAAGCAGCTGGGACTACAGGCGCCCACCACCACACCCGGCTAATTTTTGTATTTTTAGTAGAGGCGGAGTTTCACCATGTTGGTCAGGCTGGTCGTGAACTCCTGACCTCAAGTGATCCACCTGCCTTGGCCTCCCAAAGTGCTGGGATTACAGGTGTGAGCCACCATGCCGGGCCTGGACAATACTTTTTGAAAGAAAAAAGACTGGTCCTGAAAACACTTGCCACGATCTTTTACTCTTACACATGTTCCAAAATAATAGTTATTTACTTGTGTATCTGTCTCCTAACTCACTGTGAGTTCACTGAGAAAAGAGAACATTCCTTAATTTTATGTTTTAAAGGCTTAACAAAGCACCTTACATATAATAGGGTATTTTTTAAAAAAAAGAATGAATGAGAGTTATTGTCAGCTTTTGATTTACATTTCTAAAGGTCAAGAGAGGACAAGGATAATCCGACATGGTGAATTTAAATTTGTGTGACAAATTTACACTGACACTTCAATACAAGCATGTGTGATGTTCGATGCATTTCCTAAGGAAGAATAAAATCACAACTGTGAAGCTGTAAGTCCTCAGAGAGCCCTCTAAACTGTGACATACAGTGTATTTTGTTTTTCTGTAAGATGAAGAACCAGTTTGGCCTAGACCAACTCCTTTGGGACTTTCTAGATTACCATGACTGACTTGTCCTGATTTGCCCAGTACTTTCCTGATCCTAGGAAACCCATTGATCTCAGCAAACTAAGACGGTTGGTCACCCTACCTTAGCCAGGCAATGTAAATCAGTTTCTTTGTTTCTGGATCTGTCCAGAATGAGAAAATTGTGTGTGCGTGTGCATATGCTATCAGGTGACATATTGTACTCTACTTTTAGTAGTAAGATTGTTCAATGTACCATCAGTTTTGTAATCAGTTTTCTTAAGTACTACCTCTCTGAACTCATGTGTTCTACATATCATCCTTGTAATTTTTTTTAACTTCCTGCATCTTTCTGTGTCCAGGTCTGGCTTCACAAATAAAGTATTGTATATGTATTTTCTCAGTTTAACCAGTCTCAATATCAGTTACTTTACATTTATTCACCATCCTCTCCCCAATAACTCCTTTTTAAATTATAAAATTACCACATTCCCTCTAAAAATTCAAACAGTAGAGAAAATACTATAATATAAACGTTTATTATTTTTTCCCTCCAGCCAAACAAGCCCTCTTCCCAAATGTAATCACTATTTACAGTTGCACAATGATCATTTCAGATATTTTTCCATGTATATGAACATGTATTTGTTTTCTCTCTGAGTTCTTTTTGTTGCTGTTTTTTCCCACACAAATAGGAATGTTATTATATTCTTCTATGATTAGCTTCTTTCCTCTTAATATTAGTACATATCTGTCTGTCTTATTCTTTGTAAGAGCTGTACAGTATTTCCATTGTGTGGCTGTACCATAATTATTTAGTAATGTTCTACTTTTGCTCTGTCTTATCAAAACATATTTCATTTGATCTATCATTTGGTTAAGATCAATAAGTTTCCCTTCTAAAAATAAAATATTACATTAGCCATTAAAATGGAATTCTTAGGAAAATACAATAAACACATAATTAGCTTTATTAAATTTCTATCAGGCACAGAGACATGATTAATCTGCTAAGAAACTAAGAAGCAACGAGCTTAGTAGCTCTTTGAGAGAGTGATATTTAGATGAGAACCCTAAACAAATTAACAGCTAGAGAATCGATATAGGCATGAGTCCATGGAAATAAATATATTTCATTGCTAATGCTGTCTTTCAAAGGGATTTTTAAGTAGTACCATAATGAAGATCAGGCACTCTCATTGAAGTTACTTAACTTTTGGAACACTAGAATGATAATTTAAAAGAGAAACCTTGTGGAAAATAAATATTGATTAACGAGGTGAGATGAAAGGAAAAAAGCTGTTTTATTCACTTCTTTATCAAAAAGTATGACTCCTCCAATTTGTCTCTTCTGCAGATGACATGACTAGATTCTCTAATAGCCGTATGTTTTCTCTCCCATTACGAGTCTTTCTCTCTGGTCCTGGACCTCTTGGTCAGCGGTTCTTTCAAGCACTGTTCTTAGAGCTAAACGCATCTAACGACAGATATAGTCTCATCACAGTGGATCATGGCATGATACTACTCCTAAAACCTAAGGCTGTTTAACATATTAATGTCTTTAATTCACGGTTTTTGTAATGGGGGAGATGGGTGACAACAGTGCTGACTTCCTCACAAAGTTGTCTTCTGGTTAAAATGACACAGAACCTTTACAGCGACATGGATGCAGCTGGAAGCCATTATCCTAAGTGAACTAATGCAGGAACAACAAACCAAACACAGGTTCTCACTTATAAGAGGGAGCTAAACAGTGAATACACCTGAACACAACGATGGGAAAACAGGCACCGGGGACTGCTTGAGAGGGGAGTTGGCCGGATGGCTACCCGTTGGGTATTATGCTCACTACCTTGGTGATGGGATCATTCGTAAGCCAAGCCTCAGTAACGCACAATTTACCCAAGCAACAAACCTGTAAATGTACCCACTCCTGAACCTAAAATAAAAGTAGGGGGGACAACAAGAATCAGAGGAAGGGACAGGAGGAACAAGATAGAAAAAAAAGACATGTAGGATGCAACCAAATTTTTTATATCTGAGATGCTGTAAAATGAACAACAATAATTCATTAGCTGGAGTGTGGCTCTCTATATATCAAATAAATTATTTTGACTTTGATAAAAGATCTTCAATCTGTACTGAGTCTAAGCCAGTGTCCAGTGCAAGATGTAGAAAATAGAAAACATAAGCAATGACTAAATAAAATAAAATGACATAGCATATACAAAAAATTTTAAATACCAATATTTTATTAAAAATAACAGCTAAAATTTGGGCATTTTCTATGTACTAAGCACTTTTCTAAGTGCATTATATGTATTAACTTGTTTATACAGCAACTACCTTAGCTAGAAACACTATTACTTCCACACAACAAATGAGGGAACTAAGGAACAGGGTGATTAACACGGCAAGTTAAAAGCAGAGTCAGGAGTCAAATCCAGGCAGTCTGACTTAGAAACTCTCATTCTGCATTTCTAATTTTCCTTTGTGTGGGGGCTCAGGTTCTAGATAGGATGTTCAGAAATGGACTAATATAGCTGAGGGGCAAGAATTACTCTTGGCAGGCAGGGATCTCCTTGGTTCTGACAACTTTAGCATTCTGATCCATAGGTCAGTAGACATTAAACTCTATCAATAATGACAGTGTGACTGTTCCATTGGATAAGCGCCCCAGAAATGTGGAACTCCTTCATAACAGAAGCTGCCTAAAAATAGTTTAATATAGCAGGACAAAAAAGAATAACAATATTGAAATTGGAAAGAATAATTGATTCTGCCTCCTTCCCAGTGCAGGATTTTTCTAGATATCTCTAACAGACAGTCACTTGGTCTCTTCTTGAACTAAACTCCCCTGCAGTTACTTCAACTGCTTATTAGAGAAGAATTTTCTGACTACCTTCTTGGTTACACTCTGGTTGGTCAACATCCCTTCTTAAAATGTGACACCCTAAATTGAGCACTAAATCCAAATATGGTCTGATCTAAACAAGCGAGCTCTCTCTCTCTTAAGCAGAACCTGTCAGAGCTGTCATAGCGAAGGTTCTAACACTGCATTGGGAGGTTGAACTAGTTGCCATTAAGTCCCCATCCAAGTAAGATTCTATGAATCCTAGATAGATTACATGAACAGAGATAAAATAGCAATTGATATTTCATAGCCTCAGAAAGGATGTTCTTCCAAAGTAATGGAAGTACTCATCTTTAGGAAGGCATTTTAACAGCTAAAGAATTTATGAAATATAAAACAAGGTTTCTGTAATTCAAGTTGCCACAAATAGTAAACATTATTTATTTATTTATTTATTTACTTACTTACATTTATTCCCAGGTTCAAATGATTCTCCTGCCTCAGCCTCCCGTGTAGCTAGGACTATAGGTGCCTGCCACCCAGCTAATTTTTACATTTTTAGTAGAAGCAGGGTTTTACCATGTTGGCCAGGCTGGTCTCAAACTCCTGAACTCAAATGATCCACCCGCCTCGGTCTCCCAAAGTGCTGGGATTACAGGCGTGAGCCACCATGCTTGGCCAAAAATTTATTTTTAAAGTGAGAATATAAAGGACTATCTTTATTTTAAATGTATGTATTAAGAAGAGAAAGAGAAGGGAAGGGAGAAGAGCAGATAAGATTGAACAAGAAATCCATAGGGTAATCTTTGTGAGAATAAAGCTCTGAATGCCAACTTAATTCAATTTTAACGTCACATTATCATTGTGGAATCTTCAAGGGGATTTTTCAGCGGCCAGCAATTTGTGTTTCTCTTTTCCAGCCTCAGAATCAGCAGAAGAATTAAAACGTGTGGTGAAAATGAGTTTCTAGCATGCTCTCACAAGATTTGTGTGAACAAAAATGCTGAGTACTCTCAAGGTGCAACATTAGGTTTTCATCATCGAATGAGAAATAGCTGGTAGATTTTATGAAAAGAAAAAAATCAAAGGTTTCTTGGTCTGATGTAACTTGATGTTTCACACTTCATGAAAGGAGAAAAATTTTCACACTACCCAAACTGCACATAAATTCCTTTTTGTAACTAATATTTTCAATCTTAGGTTTTCATATCTAAGCATCAAAGATTCTACGTAATGGACAACAGATAGAGGTCTTCTTGAAAGAAGAAACCACTTGCACTGATCGGCATTTAATAATTACATAGGAGGGAATCGGTCCACCTTAGATCATTAGATAGTCATTTTAACTGCAAACTGGGAAAGTGACAAATTCCTTCAGCTGATTTTAATGTGGCTAAGAGCTCTAGGATTCTGCAGATATGCTGTCACCTCAAAGTTCCTTAAGTGATAAAGTCTTTGTTGTTTCTGCATTTCTATAATGAATGTGGCAGCCAAAAACAGCCAGGAGCAGAGACGTCTAGTTCTGTTCCCTGCCCACAGCCTTCTCTCCCAATTCTAATGGGTATTGAACACTGTCTGAAAGTAGATTATTTTATGGAGCATTTTTATAATATTCAAAAGTAGGGTATTATGTTACTATTAACAAATTAAAGCATTTTTTTTATAAAATCAAAATATAAAACATTTTATATTTAGAATTGGTCTATTTCCAAATTTACCAGTTTAGTTATCCAAATATGCATTTCAAGTGATTATGCATAGTATTTACAGTGCTTTCTTGAAGCTTTACTCTTGATGGCATTCTTAGTAGAGAAAAACATTTCTTTAAATTAGTCACTGAAAACATTCTTTTAAAAGGCAGAATAATATGAAGATTTTTGATACTTCTAGAAATTTGTTTTCATAACACAATCCTAATTTAACTGAATGAGATGAGTGAATGGATTAATATGCATATGTGTGAGACAGAGAAGCAAGCTTGAGTGATAATCTCTTTAATAAAAGAAAAAAAAGGCAGTGATAAAGAAAAAATAACCAGGTTTATTGACTGAATGCTTAGTATTCCCCTAAAATTTATGTTGAAGCCCCAACCCCCAATATGATAGCATTTGGAGACAGGGTCTTTGTGAGGTAATATGGTTTGGATGAGGTCATAAGGGTGGGAACCTCATGATAAGATTAGTGCCCTTCTAAGTACAGACATGAAAAAACTTGCTGGGCCGGGAACAGTGGCTCACGCCTGTAATCCCAGTACTTTGGGAGGCCGAGGTGGGTGGATCACCTGAGGTCAGGACTTCCAGCCCAGCTTGACCAACATAGTGAAACGCCATCTCTACTAAAAATACAAAAAATTAGCTGGGTGTGGTGGCGGGCACCTGTAATCTCAGCTACTCAGGAGGCTGAGGCAGGAGAATCGCTAGAACCCAGGAGGCGGAGCTTGCAGTGAGCTGAGATTGTGCCACTGCACTCCAGCCTGGGCGACAGTGCAAGACTCTGTCTCAAAAGAAAAAAAGAAAAGAAAAGAAAAAAAACTTGCTCACCAGAAACAGACCATCTGACCATGCTGGAACCTAAACCTTGGACTTCCCAGCCTTTAGAACTGTGAGAAATAAATTTCTGTTGTTGAAGCTACCCTGTCAATGGTATGGCAATCCTAGCTGACTAAGACACTAGAAATGGTATACAATGAATTAAGAAATAGTTTACATTGGTTTTATATTGTGGCCAAACAATTGTTTTAATAATGTCAATTCAAAGTTACAGATAATTTCAGAATTCTTAAATCCATAATTAACTCATCACTTTCTTTTTGCCATTTCTCATCAGGCTGGAAGAATTTCCTGAAATCAGACTTCTGTTTGCACCTAAACAAGCCTTTTTTTACACAATATAGTCTTTTACTTAAATAACTTTTTGTAGAATACTCTACTGTCAAATGATATTAACTGAACAGTCTGTTCAAACCAAAGGGTACTCAAATCATAATCATTACAGAGATATTTTAAAATATCTTTATCATGTAATATTTAATCCATAGAAACATGTAAGTTATAAAGCATATATTAAAACATCATCCAGCATCCATTCAGTTGGAGAACTGGGACATCGGCAATACCACAGAAGCTATCTTGTGTGTTTCTTCCTGCTCTTTTTCCTTTGCCCCTCTGTGACATGGGTGTTTTTCCAGCTACTGCTGTAGTTGTAATCCACTCTACTAATGTAAAGTTCGGTTTACTTGTAAAGGCAGAAAGAACACTTTAAACTTCGATTCTAACAATTTTAAAAACAGATGCTGAAGTGTCATATTTGTAATTTGGCTTCTAAATTTTTAATAATGACTCACACTCACGGCCAAAGGATTTAGTACCAACTCCCTTCCGGTCCCTTGAGCAGTCTAAAGTGGAAAACAGCAGGAAACTTGTGCTTCTGGATAGGAAGGCAGGACAATTCAAAGCTAGGAGAGTGGCTAAATAGAGGTAAATGGACAACTAAGTTTTATCGTCTTGCTGCTTTTTAGCACTGTGGTCGGTCCCCTTCTACTAAAAATTCATTTCTCCAGCAGAGAAAACAGCGCACTTGGCATTGGTACTAATTACCCTTACCAGTAGAAATGTCATGCTTGACAAAATAGAGATTGTTTTCGTAGAAGCAATTCCCTAATGAAAAATAAAAAAGACATTTTCAAGTCCTTATTGGTACAAAATGAATATACATAAGCATAAAGATTTTATACAATATATCCCAACATAAGGAGGCAAGAAAACTTGCTCTAAGGGATTTTGGCACTACAGTAAGATATGCATTGCTCAGCAAGACGTACTCCGAAGAAGTGACTTGATTAGATATATAATTGAACCTGAAGTATTTGAAGAGTTCCCTAACGCAGACTTACTGCATTTTGACCTTCTTGTAATCCCAAGTAGCATCTGAGCTAGGATCCATAAAAGTTGGAAATTTAAAACTGGTATGACCTTTTATCTACCAAGATTTGGCAAGAATGGAGGGTGATAAAGGTCACTATAGGCCATAGAGAGCCAGATATGTACCCCCAGGTAATGCTAACACTTCCTTTCTTAAAGGGGAAAAGGGCTCTACATAAACTTCACTGCAGATGCCATGAGTGTTCTATCCAGTGTGAGGATACAGTCACTTAGGAAATTCAATTCTGCATTATGGGTAATTGCTACTAACTCTGCTGAAAAATAAGTAACAAAATATATTATAATCTTGAAATGTTAGAGTCGAAAGGTACTTTAGAGCTCACATGGCCCAAATTCTTCATTTTTTTAGGCTAAAAAAATTGAGAACTCAGAGATATGATAAAATTTGCCATGAACACATGGCTAATAACAGCTGAAACTTAAAATCAGATCTTCTAGCTTCAAGTTCCTGCTTTTTCCCACAATACCATGACCCCAAAAGATGCACATAAAATTATGTTTTTGCATTTCAAGGGGGAAAATACTTAAATTGTAAGATATAAATTCAAAAGAACTGAACATATCTAAAGACGTAAATACATTTGGGAAGATATTTTAAAATCCTCACTTATTCTTCCAAGTAACTATCAACGAATCATTTTCAGTAATAAAGCTGAAAAAAAGATGGAATCTTTCTTGCCCAATAGATAATAAGCATTGAGTTATATTTTCTTTTAATCAGGTATTTCAGTTATCTATTACTACATAACAAACCACCCCAACAGCAGTGAATTACCTGGGCAGGTCTTCAGCTCTATGTGGTATGAGCTACGGTGCTAGGATGGCTGATGTCACCCTAAAGATGGATCGGGAACTCAGATGGGGTTAAATTGTCTGGGACGTGTGAATAGTTAGAATCATTAAGAAGCTTCCATACGAACTCAGGTGGGTCTGTTGGCTAGGGGCCTCAGTTCTTCATGTGGACCTCGTCACATGGCTGCTTGGGCTGCCTTATGACATGGCAGCTGGGTTCCAAGAAGAATTACAAAAAAAGAAACTAGCAGCTGCCAGGCCAACTCAGGGGCGTGTCCTGAAAAGGACAGAGTATCACTTGTGCCTTATTTTATTCAAAGCAGTCCCAGGCTAAGCCCAGAGTCAGTGTGGCAGGGGGCTAGACAAGGGCATGAGTAATAAAAGGGACGGTTTATTGAGGCATCTCCAAATAACAACCTACCACATAAAGATTGTTAAAATCCTGGCCAAACACAGTATTTGGAAAAAAGTTATACTGAGAGACGGGGGTACTGATCAAGAATAATGAGAAACTCTACAACCCTAAAACTTAAATGTAGATACAAAGAATTACACTAATCCTCCATCTTTCTTGTTCTTCACTGGATGGGGTTTATGGAATTCCATATATGGCATTATTTTCAGCCAGATATTAATTTTTAATCAACACGTGTTTAAAAATGGGCATATATCTCAAGAATGTATTTCTGAATTTATAAGCTGCTAATTTAGACAAATTTATTTATTAAATGTGACACTGGGTGAAGAGAGGGGAAGGCCAAGCTCCAACTGAATTAATTAAATTATATGCTTTATAGATTACAAGACAATCTACAGGTTATTTTATCCAAAGGCAGCTGGGACAGAGCTTGGATAATAAGGACATTTAAGTGGAGAGAAGGGGAACACTGGAGTACTTAAAAGTATGTAAGTGTCCATTCTAGATACATTTGAAAGTTTCAGAAAAAATTATCAAAGGAGTAGGAATCTAATTTTCTAAAGGTTACTGTGTGCTACAAACTGTACTAGGTATACTGACCACATTATTTCACTTAATCCTCTCAAATGCCTTGTGGAAAGGGTATGGTTATTTCCATTTGAGAGTGAGTAAATTAAAAACTCTAGAGCCATAGACACACACTTGGAAAGCAGAATAGAACCCAATCCCTCTGACCTTACAGTCTATTTGCCCTATCACAGTTTTTCTATGGTGTCTTCAAGGTACAGCACTAAATTCACTAAATTCTACTTTATTTCTGATTGATTTCCTTTTGAAAGTAGTTTTCAAACACTTTACTTTTCTCTGTTTCCAGTCATCTTCATTATTAACTATTTGGAAGCAAATATTTACAGGAAGTTGACACTTAAAGAAATCCTTAAGTTTTCTGAATTAAAATCATGTTCCTCCAATTACCTGCTCATCTAAATTTGTGGTTTCTTACAGAAGGGTATACTAAATACTAAAGCGTTAAAACTAAAAGGGCCAGGAAAAAACACTGTCACCTTAAATCAGCACTTTATAACTGTATCACCGCAAAAGGAATACTGTATCATTTTAATGCATTAGCTTCAATGTCTTCCATAATGTCTTAATCATTCTACCAATGTTTGAGCTCCCCGTTAACCAGTACCATCAACCATATAGTTATCTCCCATGACACTAAGCACAGTGACCCACACATGGTAGGTATTAAGTGTTGGTGGAATGAATGAATGAAAGGAGCAGAGGGAAACCTGAAATACTCAAAATTACATTGGAGATGTTATTTTAAAAGCACCTATCAAATATTAGTTACTTTTAATTGGTGACATATACTAGTAGCAACAGTAGGCAGAGTAGATATATTCAAAGATACATATTATTTCTATTTGGAAATATGTGCCATAGTCCCTAACCCCTACCTATTGCCTATTAAGATGAGGAATGGATAATTTTGGACATTTATTTTGGAAGGGGATAAAGACACCTAGAAAAGGAGAATAACACAGAGAGGAACCACAAAGAACTCTCAAAAGAGTTGACTGTTGGACTAATTTTATTCAAATATTTATTTTCATTTATTATAAAAGGTATCCTTACGAAAATTAACACTGGAAAACAAGAGAATATTACCACCTTAAATTTAGATATCAAACAAGGCCAGAACATGTGGATAATAGCTAATAAAACATCTGATACTGATATAAAACACTGTAAAGGGAGATTAAAGATCAAAAAATCCAAGTTTGAAAATAAAGGAATAAAGAATTCTAGAAAGGCAACAACCTATTTTCAGGTTCTGGTTCACCTAATGGCAATAATGAATTGTGGACTGTTATGACTAATCATACTGGGCAGAAGGTAGAAGATGACTAAATAACATCTATGTCCCTATGTTTCTAAAAGTGGTCATCATTATAACACGTATATAATTGCATAAAAGTATCATTTTAGAGCAACAACAAAAGGTAGCATTTTAGAACAAAAAAAAATTCTGCTTTTAGGGAAAAAAAAAGCCAGTAAAATTTCTAGTGTAGCCAGGAGCCAATTTTGATTTATGTGTAAAATAAAAGCATAGTAACAATATAAACTGTATAAAACCTTATTGATGTTTTATAATTTTCAGAATTCTAAAGGTTAGGAAAACAATTGTCTTTGGGAAACAAAATATTAACTTCTCACATATTACCTAATTAGATAATCATCAAGTCACAGTATAGAATTAAGAGTACTTAAAATTTACACTCTCATTGTATAATCCCACATATTACATTAAAAAAAAACCTAAAGTCTCAAACCCCCACATATCTCTAGGCAAATTCCCCACCTACTAACCACTGTATAAGAGACATTTCTTTTCCAAAAACATTTCAAAATTAACATTTTCATGGGCTTTTTAAATTTACAAACCAGGAACTGTAGTAAAAACTAAGAAAAGGGCTCAGTTAAGCAATAATACAGTAATTTAGGAAACTTCCAAAAAAGGATTCGCTTCTACGCTGTGTTCTAAAATGAAATTCAGGAAATAAACTTTATATGCCTGATTTACTACATATGAAAAAGTACCTTTATCATCTCATTAATACACAATCTGACTTTCTAATTCTAAATAAACACATACAAATGTTCTAAAAAAGGACTACATATCTACTAGGACAGATACTTGTAATTTTAGCAGCTAGATTTGTTTTCTTGATAACAACAGGAAGAAAATAAAAACAAACTGACATAACCAAGGGATCTTGTCCCAATCTCCATTAGCACCCAGAACATTTAACACCTTGTGGCTTTACTGCAACTGGTACATTTAATAAGAATTACTCTGTGCCGTAAATGAGAATAATATCTAAATAGGAATTATTCAATTCAAACCACACAGATGAGCAATTGTTAATTATTTCTTATATGCATAGCACTAAAACCTAATAAATGCTTAAGTTTAATTTTTTCTATCTAATTTAATTTGAAAAAAACCCTGATAATCTAAAAAAGTATGAGTACATTTTGGAACATTATTGCATTATTTATATTTTAGGAATCTTTTGGTACAATAATAATGCTTGAGGTACGTTCTTAAAAATGTTCTATACATTATAAATTATACGGTTCTCCCTCATGTTAACAGTACCCCAAAATAAATATAATAATATTAGTAATAATAACAAAAAACATAAAATATCGCATTCACATACTTCTGATTTAATTTTCTAAATGGCAAAGGGTAGATGTTTTTCTCACTCAGAGGATAAAATTATGTTTATCAAGGAACAACAAAGTTCTATTCTAAGCTTCTGCTATATGCAAAGTGCCAGCCTTGGTCCTGGTGCAAAATACAAGAAGAGCTAGTAGAGGAGTAAAAGAAAAAGATATTTATGAACTTTAAGGAACTCTAAGTGCCACAGAGTAATATAGAAAAGGAGCCACAAGAATTTGGATGAGGAATACATTGGTTCTAGTTAAAGGAAGTATATTCTCCTTTAAGGAAAAGGAAAAATAAATGAGTTCTATACATTTGTGTAGGAGATGAAGCAGGGAGAAGAGAGAATTTGTTAAATATCAGGGATCATGTTCCTTAATTATTATGATTTATTGCACTAGGAATGTGGCTGTCAAAGTAGAAGGGTAAGGAAGGGAAAACGAGGCTGTGACAGAAATCGACTCCGGCTGTAGAAATCTCACATAAGTTCTGTAGTATTAAAACAGTTATAGAAAAGTGACGTAGGCCGGGCGAAACAAGCTCTGTCTAAAAAACAGCTGCATTTAACCACAGATAAGAAGGCCCTTTTCTACACAGTGATAGAAATCACTTTATCTACTTGGAGAATCCAAATAAAATCTGGAGTTTCAAGTGCACACAAGAGTGTGAAATTCCCTAAAGCAACTTCAAAACTGAAGGAAAAATGAACAGTTACCATTTAAAAACACTTCCCAAGAGTAACTAATAGTGCTGAGTAAATCTTTGCTAGTTTATGGCTTGATATGTGTAATTTAACCTTCTATGAAAGTAGAAGTCTCTCCCCAAATTACCCAGAGAAACAAAATACTCACTGGGCCATGTAACGATATATAAGCTATCTACAAAAACAAATGAACGTAAATTATATTCCGAGGGACTCAATTCCTTGCCACTATTTTTGGATTTCATTAAAATAGAGAAAAAGTGGGGAAGCTTGCAAAAATCTGATCTGCAAAATTATCACTCACAGAAAAGTAATTTTTTAAAAGCAAAATAATTTATTATTTCTAAGGGGTACCATCCATCCTGATATTTGCCGTAACATTTTCACTGTAAATAATTTCAAAAGAATTCATTTCTAAATATCAGACATACAATTTTCCTCAATTTT
Organism: Homo sapiens; assembly: GCF_000001405.40. NCBI lineage: Eukaryota > Metazoa > Chordata > Mammalia > Primates > Hominidae > Homo > Homo sapiens. The sequence continues at coordinate 3,669,934 of NW_018654717.1, forward strand.
TGTAATGTGTCTTTAAAAATGTTTCAGGTTTTTAGTTAACATTAAAAAATTAACTCTCATTTAAAAAAAAACCAACTTTATGGTACAGAGTGCATTGGTTTTCAATGTCTATTACGTAAATCATTACAAAACTCTGCAATTACCAAAGCCATAAAGGATTACATTTCAGTCTATCTTCAGCAAGAATACAAAGTAGATAATGAAGCTGCCAGCTGTATATTTTATATATTACCTTACATTTATGGCAACTGCATATTAATATAGAATATTCCTCTCTGTTTTAATCTATTTTCTTTCAATATTCCACAACTAAAACTTAGCCAGTACAAATAATAATAAAAGAGCAGAGCTGTTACATAGATGTAAAAAAATCATTAACAGCAATTTCTCAGCTTTAATGGAAAAAGTGTTGGTATCTAGCAAACAAATCTTCTTCTGCCAAATAAGAAATCAAAAACACAAATGTCTTAACAAAGATGGGTAAATAGGACACTCATATTTCCAGTTTCCATTATCATACCCAGAAAAGAGCATATGCTGTAATTTTAATCACCGACAAAACTGCAGTTTCATGTAACAAATAACTTGCTGTGTCTGACATTTAAGAGAAAAGGCTTACTTAAGATCCATGCTTCACCAGTTCTATGAATGTGTCACAACTGCCAATAACAGATATAGTAGCATTTCATTTACAGTGAAAAGATGCCAGTTAAAATAAAGCCATGTAGGTATACGTGCTTATATATATATATGCCACATTCACAAAATTTTGAAGCATTGCAATTAAAGAGGATTGTATTTAAAATAACTTACCTTTCGCCCATCACTTGCATGGCAATTCACATTTAGAGGAGTCAGTAAAGCCATTAGTTTTTCTTCATTACCACTCCTATAAAAAGGTAGTAAGTCAATTCCTCTAAAATTACAAAGCTTCTTATGAATATTTATGCATAATTTTTTCACACGAGAGTAAAATATGGGTTTGCTTTGATTTCTTTTACATGGATCACAATAAATCTCTTTTGCAATATTCAATTCAATTAATATATTTCTAATTAATTCCTGTTAATTACCCTATAGTGGTATATCTTAAATAACATAGCTTTCTACATTTTTGTTTTATTTATCTACATAAAGTCATCTTCTTAATTACAAACAAACTTTATTCTGATAAATAGACTAAAACGTTGGAGTTAAAAATACATACAAAATGCTGTAAAGAGCTAATCAATTAAATTATAAACGACCAAGAACACAAAAAAAATAGATGAGGATTTTAACATTTACTTTTTGCTCTTCATTCAAGCTTTGCTAGAAAAATCTTCAGATGAAAATGAAGATATAGGTATTTAAATACTCCAAGAATATCGCTGGAAAAGCTGGGCAACTAGGGTTTACAGGTACCTTAGGAAATGTTCCAAATAAAATTAACCTTATAATCATCACCACATGAAAAGATTTTATTATATACAATAATGATATAAAGTATATAAAGATTTAGTATCTGCATAATTGCATAAAATCCAAGCAAGACAATAACGTTATATTTTTTATAGTCCTCCACCTGCCCTCCTCCTTCTCTTCCTTAATGCATTATATACACTTAAAATGAATGGAATCACTTACCTAGCAGCTTCTAGGAGTTCGTCTTTCTTGTATTCACCTAGATGATTGCAAAATATCATGCTGTTAGCATTTGGCAGAAGACAGATTAAGAAATGCAGTAGGCAGCAAATAGAGAATTAAATAGAGAAGAACAGAAAAAGAGAGTCCACACCCCGCTGGGTGATGGAGCCGTGACGTTAGCCAGCTTGTGAAGGCAGCATCACCAGTGCCTTGGAGACGGGCAGCAAATTGACGCAGCTTCTTGTCCAATCCTCAGATGAAATAGCTTTCTTCAGACAACCAATGAATGCTAAATCTCGTGTCCAGAAACACATTCCCTCTGATAACAGCATGCCAGCTGAAGACAATGTCCCCTCCCCCCTTTTCTCTATTCAGGCTGTCACAGTATACTTGGGAAGCATAATACATTCTGAGACAAAAGCAAAATAATGTGGCTCTTTAAAGGTACAAATTACTAGTCTTCTAAAAACTGAAGTTTTATTGGTAATGACATGGAAAGTTAAAAAAAAAACATTAATTACTATTGTTGAGCTTTATAGCAGTAGAAAATGCAAATATCAGAACCACGAAGGCTTTGACTCGATAGGCAAGGTCTGTAGACTAGAAATACGTGAACTACGTACCAAATGCCATGAACCTCTTGGAGGCGGTGCTCCAAAAACCAAAACAGTGAATACATTCTTAAATGGCAATAATATTCTGACATGCTGTAATCTTAATACTTCATATAAATTCAATACCAATTTTAACATATAATAAATCTTAAAATATTTTTTAAAAGGAGCTTGGGGTCTTTGAGAATGAGCAGATATCTAACTACTGCGACATGGGTAATTTTCCCCCATTCTATTTTATCACAAGATTTTAAAAATATATCAAATGATGAAAATAGAAATATAATTAAAAACCATCCATAATACATTTCTTAGGGTATTCAAGATCTAACAAACAAATTTCTTTTGCAAGCTCAATTGAAGGACAAGGAATGTTAATAATACAGTGTTTGTTCCTTCAGTAAATAAAAAGAACAGCCAGGACTATGATTCAGCTGTAATACACTGACTTAGTTTGCTACATCACTAAAGAAATAATTATACAAAGTATCTCAACAAATAATTACATGAAAGCAAATACTAAGTGCTCATATAATAAAACATTAGACTAAATGAAAATGTTATTCTATTATGAAATAATATTAAGTAACTTTTAAAAAATCTTATGTGTAAATATGGACTTCGCATGTTGTTTTGCTAAAGAATGCAGAATATTGATGCAAATATTACAAAGACATCTCAAGGCTACCAAATACATACTTAAATGCTATAACCCATTATTAGCAAATATTCTTTAGCTTTAATTTTGTCTTGCCTCCTGGATTAAGATTAGGTTAAAATCTGAAAACTATAACCAGGTATTTTCAAAGTAAAAAGTTGTTAAATACCTATTTTCTCTTAAAAGAACTTTGTATACCAATAAAGTTATAAGTTTAAGAATATAAGCTAGAATATATGATTTCATGGTCATAGAGTTGGTCTTTCTAATTTCCCATAAATTGTATTTCAGATTTTTTAGCCAACTGACAGAGTAAAGGTCATTTCATTATATCCTCCATCTATTTAAGTTCCTGCCTTCCCAAAGCCCAAGACCTACCTTTGTTAAACATTTTAGGTAGCAATATGGAAGTTAGAGAGTCAACTTTAAAAGCTCCTTGTGAGGAAAATGGCATAACCCATGCCCCCAAATGTCTACAGAACCAGGATCAAAGTAAATCAAATTACGCAATGTATCTATAAAATGTATTAATTTCGTAGAGTCACATTTCTTCAATAGGCCTGTATGCCAGATTTTAACGCGAAAGACACTATCATCTCTGACCTCAAGGAATATTATTCTATTAAAGGAGACAGACAAATAAATAAATGATTACAGTAAAGAAATTGTATGAAATGTTAGAGAGCTTACCAGCCAGTGTAAATGGGATTAATGATTGGAAGGGTAGTTGGGGGTCAAGGAAGCCTTCCTGGAAGAGGGGAAACTTGAGCAGTTTTGAAGGAAGGACAAGTAATCCTCAGGTGAAGCAGGGTCAGGGAGAAGGAAGCTACCACAGTGAAAGAAAGGAGAAGGGGAATGGTTGTAAGTAGCTCTGTGTATCTGAAGCAAAGGACACTCACAGGGGAATGGGTATGGACGAGACAGAGAAGAAATGGAAACATCATGAATGTCTCTCTAAGCTAAGAAGTTTGAACTTTACTTTGAAAGTAATGAGAAAATACTGCAATATTTTAACAAGGGTAGTGCAAAGTATACTTAAAAAGCTGCAAGTTTTGTGATTACATAAAATACTTCCATACTGTACTTCAGCAAACTTTTGTTGGAGAGGAAGGTGGGCAAAAAAAAAAGTAAATTCTGACAGTCTACATTTTAAAGTATAAATTCCCTGACAGACAGTAAAAACACATTAAAACTGTGAACTTAAAAGTAGCTACTATTGAAATTTAAGTCATAGTGAAACATGACTCCAATAAGAGTGGTAATAAAACCGCAAAGTATTTAGGAACCTCAAAGTTCAAATCAGTCTCTCCCTACCTGAACTTCTCATCAAGCATAGTTTATTGATGTTTTCACCAAAAGGCACATTTTTGCAAAAATGCTATTCCTTCCCGGATAAGCTGATAATAAACCAAAGCTTTCAAAAGGAAATATATTAAGTGCATCCAACAGAGTCAGACACAGGTATTACAAATGACTTTCTACTCTTCCTGCTAGAGATCCTAGTACTTTAATCAGCTTTTCTGCAATACATTCTAGCATCCACTATCTGGTGCCCAAGGACCACAATCCATAAACAGCTGAAGCGATTTTTCAAACGCTAGCTCCCAGGAACAGCTAACATAATGAATTTAGAGCCCCTCACACTCTGATAACAAATCTGAGCTACTTACTTAACAGCCAAAGCACCAGTTCTCTTTCATCTTAGCTGAGAATCTGAAAATATTCTGGCTGAGACTATGGTGCTCTATGGAGCATTTATATTCTTTAATAACATCCAGATAAAGACTAGTAATAGATCAGCCAGAAAGGAAACTAGGCAATTATAGTCAAGATAATAGCAACCAGGAATGAAGAAAATAGATGGCTTAAAACATTTTCTATTAAAATAAAAGTAAATGGAATTTTTGAAAGTAAGCCAAAAAGTTTACTTTCCAAAATCTAAATTGTTTTTACTGGTAAAATAGTAATGATATGAAAGAAGCAAAGATACATACACACACACAAACACACACACACACACACACACACACACACACAGAGAGAGAGAGAGGGAGAAATACGAGGCTTATGTGTTAAAGAGCTATGTTATTAAAACAAAGCTGAAAAATAAAGCTCTTTTTATTTTTCTGGAGTAGTCAGAAACAGCTTCTCTTTCACTTAGTGTAAAGGCAAAATTACTTTTTGAGTAAAAATGAAGAAAACTTAAATCACTAAGGAGAAGTCATGATTACTGACTTATCTCAATTTTAACATTGTAAGTGCTTTTGCCCCTTCAGAAACTGACAGGATGAAGGTAGACTTAGTTTTGTAAAAATAAGTCATTTGGTTTTGTTGAGATGGAATAGCATGGAAAGACTATGAACATAGAACCACAAATTCTTAAAGCAATGAGAGGCTAAAAAAGAATTCTGGGCCAGGCATGGTGGCTCACACCTGTAATCCCAACACACTGGGAGGCCAAAGCAGGTGGATCACCTGAGGTCAGGAGTTCGAGACTAGCCTGGCCAACATGGTGAAACCCCATCTCTACTAAAAACACAAAAAATTAGCCAGGCATGGTGGTGGATGCTGTAATTCCAGCTACTCAGGAGGCTGAGGCAGGAGAATCTCTTGAATCCGGGAGGCAGAGGTTGCAGTGAGCTGAGATTGTGCCATTGCACTCCAGCCTGGGCAACAAGAGAGAAACTCTATCTCAAAAAAAAAAAAAAAAAAAAAAATTCTGACTTTTCTCTTTCAACCATTATGCATGGTATCCAAACCTATCAGTAACACTTTGCATTATATAAAAGTAGAGGAATGTCATTTGAAAGTCACCCTTTCTCCGTGTCACCTCACCCCCAATTTCAGAACCACTCTCCTAAGGGATCATCTGAAATTGGTGTCAAGGCAGTTAAACAGATTGTCTTAGGTTTCACTAAGTATTATCCATTATCTGTCAGGCCCTGCACTAGGCTAAAATGTGAGCACAAACTAACAAATCTGAGTTCTGGAAAAAGACATGTAAGCAAAAGGAGAGAGTAACAAATAGTAATAACAATCAAACAACTTAAAAAATAATGACAATTATTAGCTTTAACTAGGTTAATCACATCAATATAACAAGCAAAAAATGTTCATCAAAACTACTTTAAAGCATTTAAATTTACAGATGAGCTTGCAAGCAAAGGCTATTGGGCCAAGGGAATTTCAGGAATAAAGAAAATTCACTGAGGTCTATTCCAATGATGAATCCATTTTGCATTTTCCATAGCATACCTTAATTTCTGAACTTATCAAGCATCTCAAGGGAAGAAGTATGTAAAGACTTCAGTCTAGAATCTCAATTCTCAGGTTAATGTGGGGACTCTTATATTCCAGAGTGCTAAGTAGTACCATGAATTGATAACACTGATATAGATGTTTTCTCATCAAGGTACCAGCAAATTAAGAGATGAATTGATTCTTGTAGCTAAACTGACAACCTATATGAAGAATAAAATATTAATTTAGGTTATATATTCCATCATGTTTTCACTAGTAGATTTGAAAATTAAAAACCAGCTATGTGGCTGTGGAAGGAATTCAGCTAAAGCACCAGGAAGTAATCTAATCTCAAGAATTAGAGTTAGGTCTTCCTCTCAAAGCAATATTCAGACAGACTGATACTCTGCTATACTTAAACATGGGCTCCAGACACACCTGTATTATTTTGCTCCAGGATCTTTCAAAAATATATTCAGAACAACTGGGGTAAATTACAAAGTTATCACAGCTCTCAATGCCTTCTTTGTACTTTTTAATCCCATCAGATATTTCTACTCATTATGATACTGGCTTCAAAGTCCATACCACCAATTAAGTCTAGAATCATGGCCAATCTAAACACTGAACATCCATTCTAAACACAGTTGTTTGTTGTCCTTAAATTCTAAGTTTGAACAGAGTATTTTCCTGGTAGAGACCCTTTCCTTGTCTCCTGGAACCTTGACCTTTTAAACTAGCTAACATCACTCTGCTTAGTACCAACATAATCTCTACATTGTCCAATATTTTAGCCACTCCCCTCAACACTTACAATTAAATTATATAAAAATAAAAATTCTGTTCATCAGTCACACCAGCCATATTTCAGGTATTCAGTAGGCACAGGTAACTAGCTAGTACCTCTATACTGAACATTGCAGAGAGACCATTCACCAGAAGAGCTGAAACTTCTATTGGACCACGAAACTTTGCAGTGTTTTTAATGAGCATATAAGAAGTTACCTTTTACCCTAATAACCATTTTCCATATTCTTTACTCTTAAAATTATCACTACCAAAACATAAGCTTTTTTTTTCCTTACTGAACACCAAACAACTACTTCATTACCATGAAACATGTGAAATAAAAAATGCTGGACTGAATAACAGATCTAGAATGAGTTCTAGCTCTGCCACTAGTTTACTTGTGTGACCTTGGGTAAACCACTTCATGCTTCACAGAACCTTCATTTTACTGTCATCTGGAAAATGAACAGGTTAAACGATTTCTAAAGTTTCAACTCTTAAACTTCCATCCTGTATTTGATTCTTAGTATTGGTAAGCAGTTTTTCTAAGATGGTTTTAATGTTGCTTTAAACAGACTTAAAACAAAACAAAGTTATTTGAGAAAAAACACTCTACTAAATTGTTATAAAAAGTAGTACCTGAAAATTGTAGAGTAAGCAGTTAAACAATTTTACCCAACCTGTACTATCTACTTGGTTAACAATTCTAAACTTTTGGTAATGTTTTAACTAGAAGGTAAATAAAAACCAGCTCTTTCAAAAGAAAGTTACTTTTTCAATAATTCTAATCTTTATAGACTTGTTACAACATTTTTTTAAAAGAAAAAAAGCTCACCAAAGTATGGAACTAGAGACAAACTACGAAGTTATTATTTGAGAAGCTTTCCAATTCTTTAGGAAAACGGAAATGAACCCCCCGACCCCTGCATAGCAGCTGTGAAAAAAAATTCCAGGCCGGGTGCGGTGGCTCACACCTGTAATCCCAGCGCCTTGGAGGCCCAGAAGGGTGGATCACGAGGTCAGGAGTTCAATACCAGCCTGGTCAAGATGGTGAAACCTCCTCTCTACTAAAAACACAAAAAAATTAGCTGGGCGTGGTGGCACGTGCCTGTAATCCCATCTATTCGGGAGGCTGAGACAGAGAATTTCTTAAACCTGGGAGGCAGAGGTTGCAGTGAGCTGAGATCGCACCACTGCACTCCAGCCTGGGCAACAGAGCAAGACTCCTGCTCAAAAAAAAAAAAAAAAAAAATCCAAAAGGTAAAAGGCCCCAAATACAACTCTATTATCCTATATTAAAATTTTTATGTCATAATTTTATGTCATAAAATTTATATATTATTTTCATGTCTTAAAAATTGTAATATATTAAATGTCAACACAAAAACCTCAATCAATGTCCTAAAACATTTCAAAAACACAATATAACACTCATATAATAAAAGCTTTGTAAAAGCTTTATGCAGGAGGCAGTAATATGACCTCTCTTAGTACGAGTAACATCTAAGATACACATCCCATTTCCTGACACTTAGCAGGGTTTCCAATCATTTGTACTTGTTTCTGATGTGGTGTCAATTGTAGCCATCAATAGGTGTCTCAATAAATACACATCGGCCAAAAAAAGAGGGTATTATCAAATACATACATTCTTTAAATTGGATATTAAAAGGTAAAAGAGGTGTTCCTCTAGAAGCTGTTAACCAGTGGGACTTTCTGCAAAGTGTGCCGGTACTTTAAAAGAAAACAGCCTTTGTGACCACAGTACACATGAAAGAACTTTTTGATATATTAAAAAGAAAACAAAAAAGGAGGAAAGGAAGACGGAAGGAGGGAGGGAACTCTCTAAGCATGGCAGGTTATGATGCTATGTGTTCAGTCTGGGAGCTCAGGACAACCACTATTATTTAAGCCATCAACTATCTGTGTTAATGGCAGCTAGGGGCTGGGGGAAGTGGGATATTAGTTTGTTTTTTTTTTTTTTTGTGTGTGTGTGTGTGTGTGTGTGTGTGTGTGTATGTGTTTTTTTTTTTTTTTTTTTTTTACCATCACAGTGTCTGCTGCATAAAAAGTGATTTAAATCAGGAAAAGTAAATTCCCTATTTGATCCAAAACAACTTGGCAATAGTTTTTACATTTTGTTCTATATCACAGGTCCTTTTTCTACAGCCATCAATTCACACTCCCTTGTTTGCAAATCTGAAACCCAAAAAGCTCTAAAAACTCAGATGGCAGCAAAACTTGACCCATTTAGTGTACACAGCTACACAGCACAGCTGTCATATATTTCACTACAAAAATATCACTGTTACATAGTACAGCCCCAGTCTCCACGGGGGGTGTTTTGTAATATATGGTAGATGTACAGTAGCCCCCATTATTCACAGGGGATACATTCCAAGGTCCCCCATTATGTAAGTGGATGCCTAAAACTGCGGACGGTACCTACCCTATATATGTTTTTTCCAATAATACATACCCCTTATAAATTTTAATTTATAAACTAGGCATAGTAAGAGATTAAGAATAATCTCTAATAAAACAGAACAATTGGAACAATATGCCAATATCACTACTCTTGTGCTTCTGGGTCACTATGAGGTAAAGTAAGGATTACTTGCACACAAGTGCTGCAATAGCAGGACGCTGATCTGATCACTGAGATGGCTACGAAGTGCCTAACGGGCAGAGAGTGTAGACAGCATGGATCTATGGACAAAGGGAAGGTTCACGCCCTGGGCAGAATACAGCAGGTCTGTGTGAGATTTCATCACCATACTCAGAGCATCATGCCATATAAAACTTATAAATTGTTTATTTCAGGAATTTTCCACTTAATATTTTGAGAGGCAGTTGACCACAGGTCACTGAAACCTTGAAAAGTGAAACTGTGGATAAGGGGTGACTACTATTAAACTGTGTCTTTTCTTATTCATTTTTCGAAGTATAATTTACATATAGTTAAATTCACCTTTTCAGATGGTTCTGTGGGTTTTGAAAAACTTATACAGCTGTGTGAACACTACACTTCAAGACAGGAAACATTTCTATCACACCAAAAAGTCAGGCCCCTCTGAAATCAATCGCCTACTCCAATCCCCCTCCCTCCATGGTAACCATGGATATGATTTCTGTCCCCAGTTTTATTTTACGGAATGCCATGTAAATGGAATCACAGAATATATAAACTTCTGATTCTAGTATCTTTTACTTAGTATAAATGCTTTTAAGTTTCGTCCATGTTGTTGGACATATCGGTACTTTGATCCTTCTTATTGTTAAGTTATATTCCATTATATGGATGTATCTCAATTTGTTTATCCAATCACCAGCTGCCAGACATTTGGGTTGTTACCAAATGTCTTTGGGTGATTATGAAGAAAGCTACTGGCAACATTTACAGAGAGTATTTTTGTATGGACAAATAACTTCATTTTTCTTGGGTAAATATCTAGCAGTGGGGTTGCTGGGTTATATCATAAGTATCTGTTTAACCTTGTTAAGAAATAGCCAAACCATGTCTTTTTTGAAATCTGAAAAATTCTCATGTCACCTATAGAAAAGAAAAGAAAAAAAAGAGAAAAAGTTAACTACTGAGAACTATGATGGCACTGCCACAATTTCACCACTGCAGATACCAACCTTGCCTCATATAGGGGCAATTCATCTGGCCTGAACTAATTTGCACATCTTTTAACTCTTTCCTTCTCACTTGTTATCTGCATTAAAAACAAAACAAAACAAAACAAAAAACCAGCATTTTCTATCTTAGGTTCAGGGTAATAGGCATTCCATATATATTTAGAAATGATGGTAAACATTTATTATGGACAAATTCTACAATAAAGTTCTGGATAACACATAAACTAAAAACTAACCCTGGAAAAACTATTACCATCAGTGTCTTACATCATAGCAAGGCTTTGTATGCATGAAGTCTGATGTTTATCACAAGTTAATCCAAGCAGCTTTCTAAAAAGCAAGAGGAACAAGTTAGTTCTGAGTTCTCACCTAACAAAAGCTAACACCACCAACTGAAAATTATATATATCTAAAATCTACCCTCTAAGAAGTGGTAACTAGGCAGACAAGTTTATACCAGCACACCCAAAAGAGGAGGAATGACTCCAATTTCATTAATATAACATTGTTTTAGGTAGAAATGTTGATACTCTATTTTACTAGGTATTTAAAATAAGAAGAAACTACACAATAAAGCTGACATTAGGGATGGGATTAAATATATTCAGATAAGAAAATTAATATAAACAGCTGATATGTGGCTTCATGCCCTCTACATACAGGCGAATGGTTTCCCAATAAGATAATTTTAAGATGACCTAAATTTGAACATCTCCACCTTCCATTTCTCCTGCTACTTCGAATAAAAATGTTCTCCTGACTTATATTTAGACAGACTTGAAACAACTTTCTAATGCAAAATACCACAAACTAACTTTTGAAAAAACCACTAACATGCCTTCTTCATTTCCTCAACTTACAAAGTGTCCTCCATATTTTTCTGAAATCATAATAAACATTTTCATACATCTCCTTTTCAACTGAACGAAATGTGGAAAGGAGATCAAGGTAAAATGAAGCAAGTTAAAACCAAAAGCAATCATGACATCACAATAGCCCATAGTATTAACTTTATAATAAGAGACGGTTAATTATGTTTAGTAAGTGAATGTTCAACTGCACTGAGTCACTTTTTTTGAAGCTAATATTACGCTTAGGAGAAAAAGCAAACTGGTTTTCTAGACATTATATCTCAATAGCCCTTTTTATAGCCTTTTAGATATAATATTTAGCAAAATTGCTTTCCTTGGATAATATTTTCTTTAAAACGTCTGAAACTCTTCCTGACCAAATTGCGAACCCTCTTGAAACTGGCTATATAAGAAGTAAAGACTGTTAAATTTTAGCCACTAGATTACTAAATGAACTACATTATTTAATTAGGTTATTCCAAATTAATGAGCATTTCTCTATATGTGAAGTCTGAATCCGTGGTAATATATCCATTAAGTCCAAGCTGAATCAATTGTGACTTCTGCTATAACTATGTTCAGAAAGATTATTGGACAAAGTATTAATCTAAATATAAATGTAAATATTTTTACTTTTACCACTCATTTACAGATATGTAACATGATATCCCTAGTTACACATTAACCTAACACATTAAAATACAGATTCTGCTACATTATAATCCATACAATGCCTTGTCCCTACTTTCTTTTTTCCATTCTTTTTTTTTTTTTTTTTTTGAGGCGGAGTCTCGCTCTGTCGCGCAGGCCGGACTGCGGACTGCAGTGGCGCAATCTCGGCTCACTGCAAGCTCCGCTTCCCGGGTTCACGCCATTCTCCTGCCTCAGCCTCCCGAGTAGCTGGGACTACAGGCGCCCGCCACCGCGCCCGGCTAATTTTTTGTATTTTTAGTAGAGACGGGGTTTCACCTTGTTAGCCAGGATGGTCTCGATCTCCTGACCTCATGATCCACCCGCCTCGGCCTCCCAAAGTGCTGGGATTACAGGCGTGAGCCACCGCGCCCGGCCCTTTTTTCCATTCTTATTGCTACAATTTATTTATGTACTTTTTCTTTCACCCACCTCCTATAACAGTCCTGTAGCTAATCCCTAAATTACTCCTTAATCCCTTGTCTCTAGCCCTTAATTCAGTTACATTAATTCCTGCTTTAATTAGTTTATTCTCCTATTCAATAATAATAATAATAATCAAAATAGTATAAATGTATGAGTCCCCATACCTGTCTTACAAAATGGTGTTCAACCCTACAGCTGAATAGTCAAAATCCTTTAAAAATATAGACTAAATTTATTCAATTTATTATTCACTGTTCCCTATTCCACCTTACCTTCTCAACACACACTATCAACTCTACATCACTCACTTTTACCCAAATACACCTTGCATTTTCCTGAATGTCTTTGCTCATGTTGACAATGATCTAAGCTCCAATCATTTGCACTTGTTAAAATCTTGCCACAAACATATGGCCAAACTTACACATAACTTCCTTCATGAAATCACTCCACACCATTTCAGTTAAAAACACTGTCAAAGGGCACAGATTCCAGTCCTAGCTTTGACACTACAGTTTTAAAATTTTAGGCAAGTTATTTGCTTATTCTGAGTCTTAATCATAAGGATATCAAACTAGTTTATCTTGTCAAGCCTGTTCTAAGATTATATTTCTAACCATTATGTGTACATCAGAAGTTCTTAACCTCTGGTAATTTCATGGAATTCAAAAATTCTGTAAATACTTGACAACTAGAGGCAAAATTTGAGTGTATGTTCAAATGTGCAATGTATTTTCTCCCTAAGGAGTGGATCTAAAGGTGCTTTTATTAGCTCCTTAAAGTGGTCCATGACCCAAAAAAGGTTAGGAACCATCATTTCTCTGATCTAAATCTTTTATTTACACAGACATAAACTGATACAAACAGCCCTTACATACCAATGGTAAATCTCCGAAAGCTTTAAGAATATAGTGCTTGGCGCTGTTATTTCTTAGAAATGATTCCGAATGATTTTTCCTCAACACACCTGACAGATAATGTTCACACGGGTGATTACTTTCATCAGCAACAGCTGGGCCCTGCAGTCTACTAAATGAACAAGTTGCTGCGGGTTTGGTGCCACTGCTAGCATGCTAGCTCTAAACTCCATCACTTTCTCCAACAATTCAAGATTTCTGTTATCTGTATCAGTGCTGTATTGTGCTTGGCATATTGTAAACAGTGCCTGTATATTTGTTAAATGAAAAAATAAATGACGTGATTCAAAGAGAACTAGTAAATGAATGAGACTCAAAAAAAAAAAAAAAACCCAGAAGGGCTTAAATGAGAAAGGATATTAATCAGACTTCACTAAAGTCAATGAAATCTAACACAGTAAGAGATTTAGTGATACTTTTGGGAAAATATAAGAAAAAAATAACTGAAGTGTGTGCAGCTGAAGAAGTAAATCACAATTGGTGCTTCTTGAGGAAACCATAATTGCACTCACTACATCTTTCTGAGACGTTTTGTAAATCAATGACAGACTATGAAGGATAAAATGCAATCATACACAATAATCACAACAAAGACAAGACAGTTCTGACATCATTCAAAAAGCAGTCACATGCCTCCACATCAGTCTGCAATTCCTCAGGATGATATGGTTATAAGATGCAGAGGTCAGGCAATCCCTGAATAGGCGACTCCCAAAACTTCAGCCCTCAGTAGGCTTACGCATCCAGGGGCCAAGCATCCCGATAAGAGCAAGGGCTGTAGGAAAGTAATTTTCTTTTCACAGACAATGGCCTGGTTCCTATAAATCACAATACGCTTTGTTCATATATCCTGAGAGTTCTGAGATTGCAGCTACTACATATACAGCAGTTTCTTAAATGAAGAGATCATATTGGCATACTGGTTTAAACAAAAATGAGTTCTTTCTGAAATAATTATTTCAATATAAATACTTCACATAAAAATAATACAAATATTAAGAAGAATCTCTGAAGAAAGTGTTTTTGAGTATTCTGTCGTTTCTATTTGTTGAATGACTTATGTTCCTCCCATAAATTTATCAACTACCCTCATATAAAAATTATCACTTTGTCTTATTAGAATACTGCTACCATAAAAATCGGAACACTCAAGAACTAAATCATTCCAGATAGCCAAGTTTTTAACATAACTGCTAATTTAGCATTTTAATTTCTCTTTTCTTGATAGAATTTCTTTATGAAATATATTACATACCTCTATACACTGAAAAACAGATCACTCCAAACATAATTTTACTCTTCTTGACAATTCAGGGCCAATTATTATGAACCTCCACCAGCCTTTGGAATAATATAGCAATGCTCTCTGGACTACTGAGATGTGCAGGGACATTTGTACTTACTCAAAACGGTTCAAGATTGCTATGTATTTTACTTTTTTTTTTTTTTTTAGATAGAGTCTCACTCTGTCGCCCAGGCTGGAGCGCAATGCAACCATCTTGGCTCACTGCAAACTCTGCCTCCTGGGTTTCAAGCAATTCTTGTGCCTCATCCTCTCGAGTAGCTGGGACTACAGGCGTGAGCCACCACAGCCAGCTAATTTTTGTATTTTTAGTAGAGACGGGGTTTCACCATGTTGGCCAGGCTGGTCTCGAACTCCTGGCCTCAAGTGATCTGCCAGCCTTGGCCTCCCAAAGTGCGGGGATTACAGGCGTGAGCTACCACACCCAGCCATATTTTACTTTTTAATACGTAATTTATTTCTCTCTTTTCCTTTGCATAAATTAATCTCTTTATATATTTCCTTTTAGTTTAGAATGTTTGAAAAGTGCTGTCCAGTAGAAATATAAGCTTCCTATGTAATTGTAAACTTCCAGTAGCAATGTTTAAAAAAGACATGAGTTTTAATAGCACGTTTTATTTACCCTACTATATCCACAATATTACCATTTCAACGTGTGGCAGCGTGTTCAGCAGCCAGCTGTGACGAGTGGCTTTGTGCTGGACAGTGCACATCTAAAACCATCATGAGCTGGAAGCTTACAACAGTAAAACGGTTGTAATCAGTCAGCAGCAAAAGCTGTTACTACAGTAGGAGCAAATTTGCGCTGAGTAAGATGAGGATTCTCCTAGGTACAAGGAACTTCAGTTTCAGAGCATGACTTTGCACATTTATTTGGAGGACAGAGAGAAAAAAAGAGGAGGGGAGGAAGAAGAGAGAAGAGTAGTAAAAAGAGAGGTAGGAATGAGGTTAGGGAGGGGAAAAGGATCCAATAAAAATATTCTTGAGGTGCGTAGACTCTGAGGAGGCTTAGAGACTCATAAGGCAACATGAGGCCTTTCTTAGTAGTTACTCTAGGGCTTGTAAAGGTGCATGCAATAATAATGGGAATTCACGAGAGTGAATTCATGAGAGTTGAAGAATCCTTGCACCATGCTCCAGTATCCAGAGAAAGAGACCAGTAGAGGTTAACAGTGACTCCTGAAAAGGCAGCACAAGGTTATTATGAGGCTACCTCATTCACATGTATATGCCAAGAGATGACTGAGAGTATGCTTAAGACAACAGGTCAAACACACTACTAATCCCTTTTATGGAATCTTGTAGAGATGCACAACTTTACCATAAGAAATACAGACCATTTCTAGTGACTCTGAAGTCCTGGACAAGGGACCAAAGGCATTGGTGAATTCAGCATTTCTTCCTGCTAACTTAAAAGAAGTGGAAATACGAATAAAAAACAGAAAAAGTAAATCTGGTTTGCAGAATGATGACTCCCTGGCAACTGCTGAAGAGCATCACATGATTGACAAGAACATTTAATCAGGATAAAGGCAATGTCCTGCTATTAGAGCCCTTCTCCCCTCAAAAACAGTCAACTGTTCAAATATGTAAGTGAAGAAAGACTAAAAACTGACTCCAGACTAGCCCCAGTAAAAATATTTTGAAGCTAGTTTGACAGGAAGCTCAAGGAAACCAATGTAACAAATTTCAAAACAGCAAATGGAAACTTACGTCAACAGAATTTTAAAAAGGAGGGGAGGAAAACTTAGTCTAGAGTACAAAAGCTTGAAGTGATAGTAGGTGGTGAGTATAGGAAAGGTCTTGATTAGCATTGTCAGTATTTCAGAGAGGGCTCTCAAAAGGAAAAACATCCTTATACGATGTAGTTCCAAAAAGAAGTTACTATATTTGGCTTAATGCATAGAAGTATTTCTAACCATTTAAGTTACCCAACAATGGACTAATGGCAGACAGCACATAGGGATATGGTATAGAAATGCCGTGTAGTAATATAGTACGGAATCCTTATGGGGTAAAAGGTTAGATTAGCTAACCTCTAAATTTAAGGTCTCTTCTAGAGTCATGAACGTGTGACTTTTATTAACAGTTGTATACTTGTTAATTATATAAAATTGAACTTAAATTACACATGCATGCGTTTTTTATTTTCTGATCTTCATTAGAACCATCTTCAGTTCTCTAAATGCAGTTCATAATTTTATGTACATTACCTGTATATGTACTGTGAGTGATTTATAATAAGAAATATGTATTTGGTCTTCCTTTCCTGGCACATAGCCCCTAAATCTCTTGGAATTTCAGATGAGTGTCTCAGATAAGTGATAAGTACATTTTTATATGTTAACGTGCTACAGTTTGAATGTCTGTGCCTTCCAAATGTATGTTGAAATTGGATGCCCAATGTTGGAGGTGGGACCTAGTAAGAGGTGTCTGAGTCATGGAGGTGGATCCCTCATGAATAATTTAATTTGCGTTGGAAGGTGCACGGGGAGGAAGTGTGAGTGAGTTCTCACTCTATTAGTTCCTTCAATAGTTGGTTGTGAAAAACAGCCTGGCACCTCCCTCTCCATCACTTTGCTTCCTCCCTTGCCATGTCGTCTTTGCACATGCTGACTCCCCCTCACCTTCTGCCAGGAGTGGAAGCAATCTGAAGCCCTCACCAGACATAGATGCTGGCACCATGCTTCTTGTACAGCCTGCAAAACTGTGAGCCAAATAAACCTCTTTTCTTTATAAATTACCCAGCCTCGAGGTATTCCTTACAGCAACACATTAAATGGACTAAGATATAATGAGACGACTGATGGCTGGGGGCTCCTGGATAGTCTCCAGATAGGGGCTGGTACCAGAGGAAACAATCATGTGACTGGATGGGTGGAACTTTCAGCCCCATGCCTGATCTCCAGGGAGGGAATGATATAATCAATTGGCCACAGTGAAGCCTCCAGAGAAACCCCAAGGGACAGGGTTGAAAGTGTTTCTGGGTTACTGAACGTGTGGAGGTGCTAGGAAGGTGGAGCACTGGGAGGGAGTATGGAAGCTCCTTGCCCCTGCCCACTGACCTTGCCCTATGTACCTCCTCATCTGGCCATTCATCTGCAGCCTTTGTAATTCCTTTATAATAAACTGGTAAACATATCTTCCTGAGTTCTGTGGGCACCACTAGCAAATAATTAAACTTGATGAAGAGGTCATGGGAACCCCCAATTGACAGCCAGCAGATAAGAAGTATAGATGACAACCTACTACTAGCGAGTAGCCTCTAAAGTGGGGTGTAGTCTTCTGGGACTGAGCCTTTAACTCACTGGATCTGACGTTAATTCCAAGCAGACAGTGTTAGAACAGAATCAAATTATAGGACACCTAACTGCTGTTGGAAGAGTGCTCATGGTAGGAAAAACTTGCAAATTTTGGTGACCAGAAGTGAAATAAGCAGTAAAACAAAAAAGAGGTTTCTTTTCCTTTACACATACATATACACACACGTGTTTGTATTTGACAAGCACTTTCCTTGAATAAACTCACTTAATCCTCAAATAATGCTCTGAGGTAACTGGGCAACAAAAGGTCAAACACTTCAGATATTAGTTTCCTATTGTTATTGTAACACAATACCAGAAACTAAGTGAATTAAAACACACATTTATTCCCACACAGTTCTGGAGGTCATAAGTCTAAAATGGATGAGCAGGGATGTGTTCCTTCGGAGCCTCTAGGGGAAAACACATTTCCTTGTCTTTTTCAGCTTCCAAAGCCTGCTCACATTCCTTGGCTTGTGGCCATGCATCACTATGACCTCTAATTCTGTCATCAGATCGTCTCTGATTCTGAGCCTCCTTTAAAGAATCCTTGTGATTATACTGGGCCTATCCAGATAACCCAAGATAATCTCTCCATCTCAAGATTAACTTAATCACATCCGCAGTCTTTTTATCCCATAAGGTAACATAGTTACAGGTTCTGGGGATTAGTATGTTGACATCTATGGGGGCTAGTATTCTGCCTACCACAACTAGTAAATGGCAGATTGAGGATTTTTAACAACAGTGAATGATGCCTCTCAAATACTGCTCTTTCATTGAATGAAAAGTACATACTTTTTTTAAAAATTTTATTATTATTATACTTTAGGTTTTAGGGTACATGTGCACAACGTGCAGGTTTGTTACATATGTATACATATGCCATGTTGGCATGCTGCACCCATTAACTCATCATTTAGCATTAGGTGTATCTCCTAATGCTATCCCTTCCCCCTATCCCCACCACACAACTGTCCCCGGTGTGTGATGTTCCCCTTCCTGTGTCCATGTGTTCTCATTGTTCAATACCCACCTATGAGTCAGAACATACGGTGTTTGGTTTTTTGTCCTTGCGATAGTTTGCTGAGAATGATGGTTTCCAGCTTCATCCATGTCCCTACAAAGGACATGAACTCATCCTTTTTTATGGCTGCATAGTATTCCATGGTGTATATGTGCCACATTTTCTTAATCCAGTCTATCGTTGATGGACATTTGGGTTGGTTCCAAGTCTTTGCTATTGTGAATAGTGCCGCAATAAACATACATGTGCATGTGTCTTTATAGCAGCATGATTTATAATCCTTTGGGTATATACCCAGTAATGGGATGGCTGCGTCAAATGGTATTTCTAGTTCTAGATCCCTGAGGAATCGCCACACTGACTTCCACAATGGTTGAACTAGTTTACAGTCCCACCAACAGTGTAAAAGTGTTCCTTCCTATTTCTCCACATCCTCTCCAGCACCTGTTGTTTCCTGACTTCTTAATGATCGCCATTCTAACAGGTGTGTGAGATGGTATCTCATTGTGGTTTTGATTTGCATTTCTCTGATGGCCAGTGATGATGAGCAGCATTTTTTCATGTGTTTTTTGGCTGCATAAATGTCTTCTTTTGAGAAGTGTCTGTTCATATCCTTTGCCCACTTTGTGATGGGGTTGTTTGTTTTTTTCTTGTACATTTGTTTGAGTTCTTTGTAAATTCTGGATATTAGCCCTTTGTCAGATGAGTAGGTTGCAAAAAATTTTCTCCCATTCTGTAGGTAGCCCGTTCACTCTGATGGTAGTTTCTTTTGCTGTGCAGAAGCTCTTGAGTTTAATTAGATCCCATTTGTCAATTTTGACTTTTGTTGCCATTGCTTTTGGTGTTTTAGACATGAAGTCCTTGCCCATGCCTATGTCCCGAATGGTATTGCCTAGGTTTTCTTCTAGGGTTTTTATGGTTTTAGGTCTAACATTTAAGTCTTTAATCCATCTTGAATTAATTTTTGTCTAAGGTGTAAGGAAGGGATCCAGTTTCAGCTTTCTCCATACGGCTAGCCAGTTTTCCCAGCACCATTTATTAAATAGGGAATCCTTTCCCCATTGCTTGTTTTTGTCAGGTTTGTCAAAAATCAGATAGTTGTAGATATGCGGCATTATTTCTGAGGGCTCTGTTCTGTTCCATTGGTCTCTATCTCTGTTTTGGTACCAGTACCATGCTGTTTTGGTTACTGTAGCCTTGTAGTATAGTTTGAAGTCAGGTAACATGATGCCTCCAGCTTTGTTCTTTCAGCTTAGGATTGACTTGGCAATGCAGGCTCTTTTTTGATTCCATATGAACTTTAAAGTAGTTGTTTCCAATTCTGTGAAGAAAGTCATTGGTAGCTTGATGGGGATGGCATTGAATCTAGAAATTACCTTGGGCAGTATGGCCATTTTCACGATATTGATTCTTCCTACCCATGAGCATGGAATGTTCTTCCATTTGTTTGTATCCTCTTTTATTTCATTGAGCAGAGGTTTGTAGTTCTCCTTGAAGAGGTCCTTCACGTCCCTTGTAAGTTGGATTCCTAGGTATTTTATTCTTTTTGAAGCAATTGTGAATGGGAGTTCACTCATGATTTGGCTCTCTGTCTGCTATTGGTGTATAAGAATGCCTGTGATTTCTGCACATTGATTTTGTATCCTGAGACTTTGCTGAAGTTGCTTATCAGCTTAAGGAGATTTTGGGCTGAAACGATGGGGTTTTCTAGATATACAATCATGTCATCTGCAAACAGGGACAATCTGACTTCCTCTTTTCCTAACTGAATGCCCTTTATTTCCTTCTCCTGCCTGATTGCCCTGGCCAGGACTTCCAACACTATGTTGAATAGGAGTGGTGAGAGAGGGCAACCCTGTCTTGTGCCAGTGTTTAAAGGGAATGCTTCCAGTTTTTGTCCATTCAGTATGATATTGGCTGTGGGTTTGTCATAGATAGCTCTTATTATTTTGAGATACGTCCCATCAATACCTAATTTAATGAGAGTTTTTAGCATGAAGGTTGTTGAATTTTGTCAAAGGCCTTTTCTGCATCTATTGAGATAATCATGTGGTTTTTGTCTTTGGTTCTCTTTACATGCTGGATTACGTTTATTGATTTTCGTATGTTGAACGAGCCTTGGATCCCAGGGATGAAGCCCACTTGATCATGGTGGATAAGCTTTTTGATGTGTTGCTGGATTCGGTTTGCCAGTATTTTATTGAGGATTTTTGCATCGATGTTCATCAAGGATATTGGTCTAAAATTCTCTTTTTCTGCTGTGTCTCTGCCAGGCTTTGGTATCAGGATGATGCTGGCCTCATAAAATGAGTTAGGGAGGATTCCGTCTTTTTCTATTGATTGGAATAGTTTCAGAAGGAATGGTACCAGCTCCTCCTTGTACCTCTGGTAGAATTCGGCTGTGAATCCATCTGGTCCTGGACTTTTTTTGGTTGGTAAGCTATTAATTATTGCCTCAATTTCAGAGCCTGTTGTTGGTCTATTCAGAGATTCAACTTCTTCCTGGTTCAGTCTTGGGAGGGTGTATGTGTCGAGGAATTTATCCATTTCTTCTAGATTTTCTAGTTTATTTGCATAGAGGTGTTTATAGTATTCTCTGATAGTAATTTGTATTTCTGTGGGATCAGTGGTGGTATCCCCTTTATCATTTTTTATTGCGTCTATTTGATTCGTCTCTCTTTTCTTCTTTATTAGTCTCGCTAGCGGTTTATCAATTTTGTTGATCTTTCCAAAAAACCAGCTCCTGGATTCATTGATTTTTTTGAACGGTTTTTTGTGTCTCTATCTCCTTCAGTTCTGCTCTGATCTTACTTATTTCTTGCCTTCTGCTAGCTTTTGAATGTGTTTGCTGTTGCTTCTCTAGTTCTTTTAATTGTGATGTTAGGGTGTCAATTTTAGATCTTTCCTGCTTTCTCTTGTGGGCATT
Organism: Homo sapiens; assembly: GCF_000001405.40. Taxonomy (NCBI): domain Eukaryota; kingdom Metazoa; phylum Chordata; class Mammalia; order Primates; family Hominidae; genus Homo; species Homo sapiens. Next base: position 3,691,945 of record NW_018654717.1, read on the forward strand.
TAGTGCTATAAATTTCCCTCTACACACTGCTTTGAGTGTGTCCCAGAGATTCTGGTATGTTGTGTCTTTGTTCTCGTTGGTTTCAAAGAACATCTTTATTTCTGCCTTCATTTTGTTAGGTACCCAGTAGTCATTAGGGAGCAGGTTGTTCAGTTTCCATGTAGTTGAGTAGTTTTGAGTGACTTTCTTAATCCTGAGATCTAGTTTGATTGCACTGTGGTCTGAGAGACAGTTTGTTATAATTTCTGTTCTTTTACATTTGCTGAGGAGTGTTTTACTTCCAACTATGTGGTCAATTTTGGAATAGGTGTGGTGTGGTGCTGAAAAGAACGTATATTCTGTTGATTTGGGGTGGAGAGTTCTGTAGATGTCTATTAGGTCCACTTGGTGCAGAGCGGAGTTCAACTCCTGGATATCTTTGTTAACTTTCTGTCTTCTTGATCTGTCTAATGTTGACAGTGGGGTGTTAAAGTCTCCCATTATTATTGTGTGGGAGTCTATGTCTCTTTGTACTTCACTAAGGACTTGCTTTATGAATCTGGGTGCTCCTGTATTGAGTGCATATATATTTATGATAGTTAGTTCTTCTTGTGGAATTGATCCCTTTACCATTATGTAATGGCCTTCTTTGTCTCTTTTGATCTTGGTTGGTTTAAAGTCTGTTTTATCCAAGACTACGATTGCAACCCCTGCCTTTTTTTATTTTCCATTTGCTTGGTAGATCTTCCTCCATCCCTTTATTTTGAGCCTATGTGTGCCTCTGCACATGAGATGGGTTTCCTGAATACAGCACACTGATGGGTCTTGACTCTTTATCCAATTTGCCAGTCTGTGTCTTTTAATTGGAGCATTTAGCCCATTTATATTTAAGGTTAATACTGTTATGTGTGAATTTGATCCTGTCATTATGATGTTAGCTAGTTATTTTGCTCATTAGTTGATGCAGTTTCTTCCTAGTCTTGAAGGTCTTTACAATTTGGCATGTTTTTGCAGTGGCTGTTACCGGTTGTTCCTTTCCATGTTTAGTGCTTCCTTCAGGAGCTCTTTTAGGGCAGGCCTGGTGGTGACAAAATCTCTCAGCATTTGCTTGTCTGTAAAGGATTTTATTTCTCCTTCACTTATGAAGCTTAGTTTGGCTGGATATGAAATTCTGGGTTGAAAATTCTTTTCTTGGCAGCCGCCGCCGCCCGACCGCCGGGAGGATGGAGTTCAGCGGGCAGCGGAGCTGTCTCAGTCTTTGCCGCCGCGCCGGCGAGCGCCGCCTGGGAGGCAGCGGCTGGAGGAGCGGACGGGCCCCGCGGGGCCCAAGGGCAAGGAGCAGCCGCCTGCCTTGGCCTCCCAAAGTGCCGAGATTGCAGCCTCTGCCCGGCTGCCACCCCGTCTGGGAAGTGAGGAGCGTCTCTGCCTGGCCGCCCATCGTCTGGGATGTGAGGAGCCCCTCTGCCTGGCTGCCCAGTCTGGAAAGTGAGGAGCGTCTCCGCCCGGCCGCCATCCCATCTAGGAAGTGAGGAGCGCCTCTTCCCAGCCGCCATCACATCTAGGAAGTGAGGAGCGTCTCTGCCCGGCCGCCCATCGTCTGAGATGTGGGGAGCGCCTCTGCCCCGCCGCCCCATCTGGGATGTGAGGAGCGCCTCTGCCCGGCCGAGACCCCGTCTGGGAGGTGAGGAGCGTCTCTGCCCGGCCGCCCCGTCTGAGAAGTGAGGAGACCCTCTGCCTGGCAACCACCCCGTCTGAGAAGTGAGGAGCCCCTCCGCCCGGCAGCTGCCCCGTCTGAGAAGTGAGGAGCCTCTCCGCCCGGCAGCCGCCCCATCCGGGAGGGAGGTGGGGGGGTCAGCCCCCTGCCCGGCCAGCCGCCCCGTCCGGGAGGTGAGGGGCGCCTCTGCCCGGCCGCCCCTACTGGGAAGTGAGGAGCCCCTCAGCCCGGCCAGCCACCCCGTCCGGGAGGGAGATGGGGGGGTCAGCCCCCCCACCCGGCCAGCCGCCCCGTCCGGGAGGGAGGTAGGGGGGTCAGCCCTCCGCCCGGCCAGCCGCCCCGTCTGGGAGGTGAGGGGCGCCTCTGCCCAGCCGCCCCTACTGGGAAGTGAGGAGCCCCTCTGCCCGGCCAGCCGCCCCGTCCGGGAGGGAGGTGGGGGGGTCAGCCCCCCGCCTGGCCAGCCGCCCTGTCCGGGAGGGAGGTGGGGGGGTCAGCCCTCCGCCCGGCCAGCCGCCCCGTCTGGGAGGTGAGGGGCGCCTCTGCCCGGCCGCCCCTACTGGGAAGTGAGGAGCCCCTCTGCCCGGCCAGCCGCCCCGTCTGGGAGGGAGGTGGGGGGGTCGGCCCCCCGCCCGGCCAGCCGCCCCGTCCGGGAGGTGAGGGGCACCTCTGCCCGGCCGCCCCTACTGGGAAGTGAGGAGCCCCTCTGCCCGGCCACCACCCCGTCTGGGAGGTGTGCCCAACAGCTCATTGAGAACGGGCCAGGATGACAATGGCGGCTTTGTGGAATAGAAAGGCGGGAAAGGTGGGGAAAAGATTGAGAAATCGGATGGTTGCCGTGTCTGTGTAGAAAGAAGTAGACATGGGAGACTTTTCATTTTGTTCTGCACTAAGAAAAATTCCTCTGCCTTGGGATCCTGTTGATCTGTGACCTTACCCCCAACCCTGTGCTCTCTGAAACATGTGCTGTGTCCACTCAGGGTTAAATGGATTAAGGGCGGTGCAAGATGTGCTTTGTTAAACAGATGCTTGAAGGCAGCATGCTCGTTAAGAGTCATCACCACTCCCTAATCTCAAGTACCCAGGGACACAAACACTGCGGAAGGCCGTGGGGTCCTCTGCCTAGGAAAACCAGAGACCTTTGTTCACTTGTTTATCTGCTGACCTTCCCTCCACTATTGTCCCATGACCCTGCCAAATCCCCCTCTGTGAGAAACACCCAAGAATTATCAATAAAAAAATAAATTAAAAAAAAAAAAAAAAGAAAATTCTTTTCTTTAAGAATGTTGAATATTGGCCCCCACTCTCTTCTGGCTTGCAGAGTTTCTGCCGAGAGATCAGCTGTTAGTCTGATGGGCTTCCCTTTGTGGGTAACCCGACCTTTCTCTCTGGCTGCCCTTAACATTTTTTCCCTCATTTCAACTTCGGTGAATTTGACAATTAGGTGTCTTGGAGTTGCTCTTCTCGAGGAGTATCTTTGTGGAGTTCTCTGTATTTCCTGAATTTGAATGTTGGCCTGCCTTGCTAGGTTTGGGAAGTTCTCCTGGATAATATCCTGCAGAGTGTTCTCCCACTTGGTTCCATTCTCCCTGTCACTTTCAGGTACACCAATCAGGACGTAGATTTGGTCTTTTCACATAGTTCCATATTTCTTGGAGGCTTTGTTCGTTTCTTTTCTTTTTTCTCTAAACTTCTCTTCTCGCTTCATTTCATTCACTTTGGCTTCCATCGCTGATACTCTTTCTTCCAGTTGATCGCATTGGCTACTGAGGCTTGTGCATTCGTCACATAGTTCTCGTGCCGTGGTTTTCAGCTCCATCAGCTCTTTTAAGGACTTCTCTGCATTGGTTATTCTAGTTAGCCATTTGTCTAATTTTTTTTCAAGGTTTTTAACTTCTTTGCCATCGGTTCAAACCTCCTCCTTTAGCTCGGAATAGTTTGATCTTCTGAAGCCTTCTTCTCTCAACTCATCAAGGCCATTCTCCGTCCAGCTTTGTTCTGTTGCTGGTGAGGAGCTGCGTTCCTTTGGAGGAGGAGAGGCGCTTTGATTTTTAGAGTTTCTGGTTTTTCTGCTTTGGTTTTTCCCCATCTTGGTGGTTTTATCTACCTTTGGTCTTTGATGATGGTGACGTACAGATGGGTTTTTGGTGTGGATGTCCTTTCTGTTTGTTAGTTTTCCTTCTAACAGTCAGGACCCTCAGCTGCAGGCCTGTTGGAGTTTGCTGGAGGTCCACTCCAGACCCTGTTTGTCTGGGTATCAGGCAGCAGTGGCTGCAGAACAGCGGATATTGGTGAACCGCAAATGCTGCTGTCTAATCGTTCTTCTGGAGGTTTTGTCTCAGAGGAGTACCCAGCCGTGTGAAGTGTCAGTGCGCCCCTACTGGGGGGTGCCTCCCAGTTAGGCTACTCGGGGGTCAGGGACCCACTTGAGGAGGCAGTCTGCCCGTTCTCGGATCTCAAGCTGCGTGCTGGGAGAACCACTACTCTCTTCAAAGCTGTCAGACAGGGACATTTAAGTCTGCAGGGGTTTCTGCTGCCTTTTGTTTGTCTGTGCCCTGCCCCCAGAGGTGGAGCCTACAGAGGCAGGCAGGCCTCCTTGAGCTGCGGTGGGCTCCACCCAGTTCGAGTTTCCGGGCTGCTTTGTTTACCTACTCAAGCCTGGGCAATGGTGGGCGCCCCTCCCCCAGCCTCGCTGCTGCCTTGCAGTTTGATCTCAGACTGCTGGGCTAGCAATGAGTGAGGCTCCATGGGCGTAGGATCCTCCAAGCCAGGTGCAGGATATAATCTCCTGGTGTGCCATTAAGCCCGTTGGAAAAGTGCAGTTTTAGGGTGGGAGTGACCCGATTTTCCAGGTGCCGTCTGTCACCCCTTTCTTTGACTAGGAAAGGGAATTCCCTGACCCCTTGCGCTTCCCAGGTGAGGCGATGCCTCACCCTGCTTCGGCTCACGCATGGTGCGTTGCACCCACTGTCCTGCACCCACTGTCCGGCACTCCCCAGTGAGATGAATCCGGTACCTCAGTTGGAAATGCAGAAATCGCCCGTCTTCTGTGTCGCTCACGCTGGGAGCTGTAGACTGGAGATGTTCCTATTCGGCCATCTTGGCTCCACCCCCAAGTAGATACTTTTTAAGGTATTCCCTACAAGTTGCTAGGAACACAGGAATCTAAGAACACAGAAATCTAATTCTAAGATACATGAAATCTATCATCTAGAGGTACAGCTTGCAAAGCAACAAATAGAATTTTACCTGACATAGACTTTCTTTTGAAAAAGAAGCTGTTTGAACAATATATGATGAACATCTAAAGTAAAACAACTACTCTTCTTTTTGGTTAAGTTTGCAATGAAGTGAAAAACATTCTTTAACCAATAAAAACATGTTTGTGTATTCTGAAACTTAAACATTAATGCTGAAATTCTGAATATCCTCATTTATATCTCCTTTCAGTTGCAAAGGTATTAAAATTTAATTTTTTTTTGTAAAAGCATGTTTTTTTAACACAAGAAACACTCGATTTTTAGTTAGCAGTACTAGTAGGTTAAGAATAAACTATAGAAAATATAAATCTAAATAGAAAAGCACAGTAGGCATGTTATTTTTATCTGCCAAATGCCTGTTAGAATCTTCCAGTGATCTCTCAAGTATGATTTGGGGAATTGCTCTCCTCTATTGAGATCTTGTGATTCTGGTGCAGTTCCCAATCACAGCACCTTGCTCCACTTCTGGTTAATCATCACACTCTATCTGCAGAACAGTGACTAATGCAGGTATAGATATTTGGCTGAAACAGCTCAGAATTGTTCCTTGAAATTTTTTACTGCACAACTGGGAAAGACCTCTGCAGCTAAAGGGCTGTGGTCCCAGAGCTGCTAATGGCCATATTCCTCAAACCATGAAGAGCCTAAGGAAACAAAAACCATGCAGATGCAGACAGGAAATGGAGACACAGAGGCTGAAGTCATCTGGTAGCAGGGAAAGGACTAGAGGGAGCACAGAAGGGAAGGAGAAAGAATAGGAGAGAAAGATCAGAAAGGGAAAGGAACAAGAGTGAGGGGAGCCAGCAGAAAGAAAGGGCAGAGAATGAAGCAGAAAGAAGGTGGGTAGTTGTTATGGGCTGGATGTGGTTTGTCTCCACCAAAATTTATGCTGAAATTTAGTTGGCAATATAATGATGCTGAGAAGTGGGGCCTTTAAGAGGTGATGATGTTGTGAGAGTGATTAGTGCCTTTCTCATTGGAGTAGAAGTGAGTTCTCCCTCATGGGACTGAATTTGCTACCACGAGAGTGAGTTGTTATAAAGTGTGGTTGCCTCTCATGCTTGGCGTCTTTGCTTGTGCCCACTTCCCCTTCTTCTTCTCTGCTGGGTTAAGACCCAGTACGAGGCCCTCACCAGAAGCTGATCAAATGCAGCTGCCCAATCTTGGACCTCCTGGTCTCCAGAACTGTGGGCTAAATAAACCTCTCTCCCTTATAAATTACCCAGTCTTGATTATTCACTTATAGCAATAGAAGGCAGAATAAGACAATGTTTTACAGAAACAGAGACAGTCGGATGCATGATACAGTTTGAGTCCCCAGATCCAGCAGACCCTGAAGTCAAACCTATCTTTGCTTGATGTGGTTAGTTCATTAAGCAACAAACACTGTCAGCATAAACAACAGTAATTTGATTCATGCATGTTTAAAATGTGCTTTGTGTCCTTCCTTTTAATTTCTTTCTCCCTCATTACTTCACTATAGCAGTCTTTAATCTTTCTTCCCTTCCCCTAACTTTATGACTTTCATCCTAAACATGGGCAGGTGAACATGTCCATGGAAACTGCATGAAACCCTCTAGCAACGTCTTTGGAGGTGTGGCCTGTGCCTGGCTAGGGAATCACTGGTGAGTTCTAACAAGGAGGATAACCTCTAGGGCTAGACATTTTAAATGAATCCTGGCTCTGCCATTATCTAACCATGTAAGTTTGACCAAATCATGTAACCTTCCTCTGAGTTTCATGTTTCTCATTTTTAAAAAGAGAAGATAATATTTATCTTCTGTGGTCGCTCTGAGGGTCAGGGATAATGGAAATAAAACACTCAATGTTTGACTCACAGAAAAACTCTAACACAAGATGATAGTGATGATGATGATAATAATGTGATTCAAATCTTAAAGTATTTGATTTACTAACAATTGTTTCTTATTTCTCTCTGTGAATCACCAGGAAGACAGGACCTCCTTTTCATTAATGTCAGTGAAAAAAATTTTGATGAAAAGAATTAATATTTAAATAAGCTGAGAAAACAGATTTCTCCACACTCCACTAACTTCATAAGAAAACATATTTTATTTAAACAAAAAGGAGAGGTATTTTTTATCTTACTATCCTAAATATTTTCCTGCATCCCTAGAAAGTTATAATCCCAATGTGAGAAGCTACAGAAATTGATTTACCACATTAATAAAACAGTGGCTAAAAAAAGACAGGGCCTTAAATAATTTCCAAGAAAAAGTGAAATGTATTCAAACGAAGATAATTAGAAAAATCATGCAGATCAACTTTCCTTTCTCCTCTATACCAAAAAAGATAGAACCTTATTGAGATCGATAAAACCTTACCAGGAGTAAATATCCACTTCCTCATTACAGAGAAGAACCTCACTCCAAAAGAAAGAATATTGGTAATAAGTTCCTGTCATACAAATATCTATCTGATAGTTCTTAATATTCTAGCTGGTGACCTATTGACTTCTAACAGCTTCAAGTATATCCATATGTCAGTAATTATAAAAAGCTATGATGAAAGTAAAGATTTGTTTCTATATTTAATACATGTCATTTTTCATTAATTTTAAACTTCATATTTACTTTAAATTATGCATACAATGACTGCATGAAACGCATATTGATTGTGGCATATTTTTATGCCATAGAAATGTACCAACCCTGCAGTGTAATAATCCTTATGAAACTCGAGTGAAGGATAATATGTACATTAGTATTTTGAAGTATGAAGTTTGGGATAAATTAAAAAATTAACCTAGGATCAGCAGTATGTTAAATATTGAGGAACTACCAATTTGCCTGGCTGATAATGACTATTTCCAACAGGATATGGAACAAGCCCACATAAAAGAATGTTCTTATGCAAGCCCATACCACAGCTAGAAAAGTGGCCAACAATCTTTTCCTCCTAGTGACTTGCTTTCTGACTAATGACATCACCAGCCTGGCTTCATTCCTCCTGCCTCCCGAACAGATATTTCTGAACTACTGAATTGCACTATTTCTTGAGAGTATCCAATCTGGAACTGATCCCAGCTTCCCAAATCCCTTTTAGAAATATTTAGTACAAGTCTAGACCCTACAAGAAGCCCCTTCTAAGTCCTCCTCTAAATTCTCTCAAAGCTCTTCTGGGTGTGTCCTCCCTTGAGGCAACAAGCGAAATAAATTTAACTTTGTTAATCACAGATATGTTTCTGGTGGTCTTTGACCGATGGCATTCAACAAAAGACATATGCATATGTCAATCACTTTCCTATATTTTCTATCCTTATATTAAAGTAAAAGTTATTATGCTGGTTGAATACATAAACATAAACTTTAGCTGCTATTTTTATATATATTACACAATTAAAGATTAAAAAAACCAACAGAAGTGAGCCCCACTTCATTTATTTTTATTTAAAATTTTGTACTACTCCAAATAAAAGACAATTAGTTGGAACAGAAGAGAGGACCCAGAAAGAAACCCAAGTACTCACAGCCAACTGATCTTCAACAAAGCAAACAAAAACATACGGTGAAGAAAGGACACCGTAGTTAACAAATGGTGTGGTATAATTGGCAAGGCACATGTAAAGAATGAAACTGGATCCTCATCTCTCACTTTATATAAAATTCAATTCCAGATGGATCAAAGACTTAAATCGAAGACCTGAAACAACAGAAATTCTAGAAAATAACATCAGAAAAACTCTTCTAGACATTAGCTTAGGCAAAGAATTCACAACCAACAACACAAAAGCAAATGCAACTAAAACAAAAATAAATAAATGAGACCTAATTAAACTAAAAATCTTCTGCACAGCAAAAGAAATCATCAGCAGAGTAAACAGACAAACCACAGAGCAGGAGAAGATCTTTGCAAACTATGCATCTGACAAAGATGACTAACTAACATCTAGAATCTACAAGGAACTCAAACAAAGCAAGAAAAAAAACCAACCCCATCAAAAAGTGGGCAAAGGACATGAATAGATAATTCTCAAAAGAAGGTACACAAGTGGCCAACAAACATATGAAAAAATGCTCAACATTACTATCAGGGAAATGCAAATTAAAACCACAATGAGATACCATCTTACTTCTGCAAGTATGGCCATAATTAAGAAATAAAAAAATAACAGATGTTGGTGTGGATATGGTGAAAAGGGAACAATTTTACACTGCTGGTGGGAATGCAAACTAGTAAAACCACTACGGAAGAAAGTGTGGAGACTAAAAGAAGTAAAAACACAACTACCATTTGATCCAGCAATCCCATTACTGGGTATCTACCCAGAGGAAAGTAAGTCATTATACGAAAAAGATACTTGCACCCATGTTTACAGCAGCACAATTTGCAACTGCAAAAAATATGGAACCAGCCCAAATGCCCATCAATCGACAAGCAGATAAAGAAACTGTGGTATAGGCTGGGCACAGTAGCTCACCCCTGTAATCCCAGCACTTTGGGAGGATGAGGTGGGTGGATCACCTGAGGTCAGGAATTTGAAACCAGCCTGGGCAACATGGTGAAACCCTGTCTCTACCAAAAATACAAAATTAGCCAGGCATGGTGGCACATGCCTGTAATCCCAGCTACTTGGGAGGCTGAGGAAGGAGAACTGCTTGAACCCAGGAGGTGGAGGCTGCAGCGGTGAGCCAAGATCATGCCACTGCACTCCAGCCTGGACAACAGAGTGAGGCTCCATCTCAAAAAAAAAAAAAAAAAAAAAAGAAAAGAAAAGAAAGAAAGAACTGTGGTATATATATACACCATGGAATACTAGTACTCAGCCATAAAAAGGAATGAAATAATGGCATTTGTAGCAACTTGGATGGAACTGGAGACCATTATTCTAAGTGAAGTAACTCAGGAATGGAAAACCAAATATCGTGTATTCTCACTAATAAGTAGTAGCTAAGCTATATGGATGCAAAGGCATAAGAATGACATAATGGACTTTGGGGACTTGGGGGGAAGGGTGAGAGGGGGATGAGGGATAAAAGACTACACACTGGGTACACTGTACACTGCTCGGGTAACAGGTGCACGAAAATCTCAGAAATTACCACTAAAGAACTTTTCCGTGTAACCAACCACCACCTGTCCCCCAAAAACAATTGAAATAAAAATTAAAAAATTAAAGACCATTAGTTATTATTCATTTCTTCTTCAGTGTAACTTACTTTATATTCTACTAGTGAAGTGTATTAAATAGCCTGGATATGATCTTTAAAAACGTGAAAACTCCTTGCCTCATCTTATTCGCCATGTATAATTTGTCCAGTATTCTCTGGAGAAACAAGAAAATGAGTTATTTGCTTAGCACAAACGGCTACATATTTGATTGGTTGACTGATTGCTGTCAAAACTTTTTCTTCTTCCTATGGTAGTTCAAGTAGCTCTGTGCTCAAAACTATCTGCCTTGCTTTCAGGGATAAGAAACATGTTTTTAAAATCTAACAAGTATAGCACACCAAACTTTGTAATGAAAAGTATGTTTATATGTATATGATTATAATAATTTCTTCACTGAATTAGTAGCATAACAATTTCATTCAGCAATTTCAAATAGCCACACCAAAACTGTGTTTACTAATCCTGTTTATGTATGACACTACTTTCTAAGTCTATACCCTAAACCTATCCCACTGTTTTTTTTTTTTTCTCCCAGGAATTTCCTATACAATCCTGTAATAACTTTCATTCTTAGTTCTAAGCCTAGATATAACAGACCCCTCTGTCATCGCAATGGTGTTTTCCCCAAGATGAGACATTCTTTTTAAGGTATGTGACTCTAAGAATGGGAAAGTGAGGGGAACAGGTACAGTCATGTGCCACATAATGACGTTTTGGTCAATAAGAGACCACATATACAACAGTAGTCCCATAACATTAATAACACAAAGCTGAAAAATTTCTATCACCTAGTAATGTCACAGTGGAAGCATTACTCACGTTTGTAGTGATGCTGGTGTAAACAAACCTGCACAGCCAGTTGTATAAAAGTATTGCACATACAATACATGAAATACATAATACTTGAAAATGATAACAAATGAATATGTTAGTGGTTTATTGTCCACGAAGACCTTTCAGTGGGACGGCATGGGGAGGGGAAAGCCAGTGATAATGACGATCCTAACCCTCCACAGGCCTAGACTAACATGTGTTTTTGTGTCTTAATGTTTAACAAAAAAAGTTTAAAAAGTTTTAAAATCAGAAAAAGTTTATAGAATAAGCATATGTAAAGAATATTTTTGTACAGCTGTACAATGTGTTTTATGCTAAGTGTTATCATAACAGTCAAAAAGTTAAAAAAAATGAAACTTTTACAAAGTGAAAAAAGTTACAGGAAGCTAAGGTTAATTCATCGTTGAAGAAAAAAAATTTTTTTAAATAAATCTAATGTAGCCTAAGCATACAGTGTTTATGAAGTCTATAGTAGTGTACAATAATGCTCTAGGCCTTCGCATTCTCTCACCACTCACTCACGGACTCACCCAGTGAGTCAACTTCCAGTCCCGCAAGCTCCATTTATGGTAAGTGCCCTACAGAAGACATACTGTCTCTCATATTTTATACCATATTTTTACTGTACCTTTTCTATGTTTAGATAAACAAATGCTTACCACTGTGTTATAACTGCCTACAGTATTCAGTGGAGTAACATGCTGTACAGGTTTGTACTCTAGGAGCAACAGGCTATACCATATAGCTTATGTGTGTAGTACGCTATACCATGTAGGTTTGTGTAAGTATATTCTATGATGTTCACACAATGACAACTACCTAATGACGCATTTCATAGAACTTATGTCGTTCATTAAGTGATGCATGACTATATTCTGCTGTATTCAATAAAACGCAGAGCATTCCCAGAAATATAATGAATATAAGATATGGCCCCTGACTTCAAGGGGCACAAGTCACACAAGAAGACAGACCCACAAATGATTTTCTTAATATAATGTCTGAAGTGTTATGGAGCACACAGGAAGAAGCAATTAGTTCTCTGCAGAAATTACTAAAGCTATGAACTCAGCAGTTACTGCCTCTGGGTTGTTCTCTAGCCTCTTAAAAGGCTTGGTATTTTCTAACATTTGTGTATTTTTCCATTTAGAGTATTTTACTTTTCCGTATTTTTGCTCAACAGTGGCAAAAGCATATGGCCTAGACTAAAACCAAATGATCTTATTCAATTTCACTCTCTAGTTACTGCTGGGTCATGTAAGAGCTTGGTGCAAAATAAATGCAATGAACAAACTAAACAAAAAGGGGCAAAATCCAACTGTTCTATCCCTTGTACTCAGCAACAATAGTATCATTTGACCAAACAGATACCAAATAGAGGCACTGAATGATCAGAATCATTACGCAAAAAGTGAACAAAGGTAAGTATTGTCTAGACTGAGGGTAGAAGTGTGCTTGCATGTGTGTGTCTGTTTCTATGCGTGTTTGCGGGTTGTTGCTTTTTAAAGTTATACCTTTAACAAAGCTGGAGGTTTTTTCTGGAGACAGTAATAGATAGCAAGTGCTCTTTTCTTTAATTTTCCTATGATATTGGCTAGAAAATGGAGTTTTGCAAATCTGATCCACGTTTTAGTTTAGCCATCTTTGCTCTGCTACCTCTCTGCCATCATCTACTAAGGGATATAAAATTTCCCAAATTTTTCTTTTTTTAAAGACAGTTATAAAAGAGTTTTAAAGTCGCATAATAGTGCTCTTCAAATACTTGATGAACTGCCAGAGTACAAAAGGATTAGGTTTACTCATAGGACCCCAAAGGATAAAATTAGGACTAACGGGGAAAGAGACCTAACAAAGCACCAAAACCTAGAAGCTGGACTAAACTGACTTGGAAAAGAAAAAACCTATGTAAGCATGAATGAGAGAATTACTTGATAATGGTACTGAAATATCCATGCACTGTATGATTATTTGGACTAAATGGCCTTCAAGGTCCCATTTAACCTTGAGATTCCATGAGTTTCTGATAATAAACCTTAATACATGTCATTTAATATTGATTCCACTTAAAAGGGAACATGTTATGAGATTAGGGAAGTCACCAATCACACAATGTGACTTCAAAAAAATTAGAAACTTCTCTGTATAAAAATGAGAAAATCTCAAATGTTTAGAAACCAAAAAAATGAGAATGAAATCAGATGTGAAACAGATTTCTATTTGCAATAATACAAGCTAGAAAATGAAGAATAATAACTACAGATCACTGAAGGTCGAATTTAAAAAGGTGAATAAAAAAGTTATATTTAATATATTGCAGGTAAGGCATTATTCGTTTGGAGGCCAAAGAAAGACATGCAAGAACTAAGCGAAAAAAATAACATTCATATATTCTATCTGAAAAAAACAAGGAAATCTTTTTAAAATACTATAAAAAAAGAAATCTCAAGAGCAAGAGAAGACCAAGAATGCAAGCAATGTAAGTAAGCAAGCAAGCAATAAATGTTTGCAATATACAAGTAAGCCCAAATGGATAATGATAATGCAGAAGGAAATTATGTGTTAAGCAGGAATTTCTAAAATGAAGAGATATAATATACTACTAGTCTAGAACTAAAATCCTCAACTATGAGAAATTGAAGAACTGAGAAGGGTTGAGGGTAGGGCAATGGAGAAATAGTAAGTAAACGTCTTGGGAACACAGTTATTTTATTTTGCCAAATCAGAGAAACAATGTGAATTTAAATATGGCTGTTAAAGAAAAGATAACTATGAGTCAAAACTGTATTTTCAAAAACAGAACTTTCAGGAAGGGAAAACACAAGAAAGAAACTTGTTTAAATCATCAAAGTAAGTTTCAAAAAATACTAAAGAAAAAGTTAAAATGACAGGAATAAGATCAAACACAGAGGATCCTCAACTTATGATGGGGCTATGTCCTAATAATCTCATTGTAAACTGGAAATATTTTAAGTTGAAAATACATTTAGACCATGATGCCTGTTTCCCCTCTACCTAGATTAAGTATGTGCTTCATAGTCCCCCAGCACTAATATACCTGGAATCTGAGGTCCCTGCAAATCTTTTAAAATCCTCGCCTCACTCTCTCCACCCAGGTAAATTTAGACGTCAGAGTGAGAGTATGGGGCTCGTGTCTCTTTCTGTTAAAATTGTTCTGAGGTTCGTCCTGTTTGTGTGTCTTTATCCCTTCAGACTATGCAGACAACTCCTTTCCTGCCTTTTCCTTGCATAAAACTGTTTACTAACATCTCTGTGCAGCATGGTCTTTGAAAACTCTGACCACTGTGGTGAATTCACACCATTCCAGTATGAATGGGCTTCTCTTCATAGGTAGCCACAATCCTGGAGAGACCATGTCTTCTCCCTGATCTTGGGATTCTACAAACCCCACCCTGCTCCCAACCCATCCCCCACCCTTGTCCTCCTTAGACCAGATCCTTCTGCTTACCCGTCCTCCCCTTTGCATTCACCACTTCTCCTGATCTTAAGATGGGGTAGGTGACTTACGCCTGTCTTGTGACATCCAACTTTCTGCAACCACAGAACCAGTCCCATCTGGTTTAACTTTGTGTAATAAAATGGTGAAGAAAAAACATATATTTAATACACCAAACCCATGATACATCATAGCTTAGCCTAGTCTACCTTTACATGCTCAGAAGACTTACATTGGCCTATAGTGGGGCAAAATCATCTCACACAAAGCCTATTTTATAATAAACTGCTGAAGATCTTCTGTAATTTATTGAATACTGTACTAAAAATGAAAAACAGAATGGTTGTATGGGCATCTGAAGAATGGTCTCCACTGAATGTGTATCACTTTTGCACCATCATATAGTAAAAAAAACCAAGGTCAAACTAACATAAGTCGAGGACTGTCTGTATATAATTTCATATTTAATTGCTAAAGGAACAACGCACAAAGCAAATTAGCTCCTGAAGGTGCTGTTGTGGGTTGAATGGTGGTACGCCAAAAGAAATGCCACCCAATTTGTTTAAATTATGCCAGCCACTAGAAACTAAAACAGGTTCCAAACAACATGGGAGACAAGCCTTCAGTAAAAAGTCCAAGAAATGGAAGCACTTGATAAGAAAAAGTTCTAGTGGGAAACGTTAAAATTTCTCTTTCAGATATTTGACCAATGAAGTAGTGAAAATATAGGTTCAAGCAAGTAGCAGCATGCAAATATCAAATGAATATAACTAAACTATAATGATAACAGAGTCTTCTCAAATTGGAAAGAGCCAATTGCCACTTTACCCAATAGAATAAAAAATCTAACCAGAAGGATGAAAAAATGTTCATTTTATTTATTTATGGCATCACCTCAGCCACTACCAGAGCCTCACCCAAATTTATCACCTTAACCACTTTTAAGTACACAGTGGCATTAAGCATACTCACACTGTTGTGCTACCATCACCAAGATCCATTCACAGCACTCTTCAACTGACAAGGCTGAAAATGTACCTATTAAACACTAATTCCCCATTCCCCCCTCTCTTCAGGCCCTGGCAACCACTAGTTTACTTTCTGTCTCTGAGTTTGGCTATTCTAAGTAACTCCATAAGTGGAATCCACATTATCTGTCCTTTTGTGACTGTCTTATTCCATTTAGCAAAATGTGTTCAAGGTTCATCCATGCTATGCATGTGTCAGATTCCCTTCCTCTGTTTAAGTCTGATTAATACTCCATTGTATTCCATACCACATTTTATTTATCGGTTTATCTCTTGATGGACACCTGGGTTGCTTTTACCTACTGGTTACTGCAAATGCTGCTGCTATCAACATGAGTGTACAAATATCACTTCAAGCCCCTGCTTCCAGTTCTTTTGAGCATATACCCAGAAGCAGAATTGCCGGGTCATATGGGAATTCTATTTTTAATTTTTTGAGGAGTCTCCATACTGTTTTCCATAGTGCTTACACCATTTTACAATCCCACCAACAGTGCTCAAGGGGCCCAATTTCACCTCATCCTTGCCAATACTTATTTTCTATGGTGGTGGTGGTGGTTGTTGTTTTTAATAGTAGCTGCTATGGATTGAATGTGTCCCTCCAAGTTTGTATGTTGGAAACTTAATCCCCAATGCAATAGTTTTGAGAGGCGGGACCTTTAAGAGGTGATTAGGTCCTGAGGGCTCCACCCTCATGAATGGATTAATGCTATTATCGAAGAAGCCATTTAGTTATCACGATAGTGAGCTTCTTATAAAAAGCAAATTCAGTCCCTTCTTGCTCTCCTGCTCTTCTGCCTTCCACCATGGGATGACACAGCAAACAGGCCCTAACCAGACACGGGTCCCTCAACCTTGGACTTCTCAGCTTCTAGAACTGAAAAAAATAAACTTCTTTTCTTTATAAATCACCCAGTCTGTGTTATACTATTAATAGCAGCACAAAATGGACTAAGGCAATAGCCATCCTAATGGGTGCAAGGTGGCACTGCCGAAGTTCTTATGTATTTCTTTCCAAGATTATGTCTAATGAGTAAATTTTTAATAAAAATGGACTTCTCAAGCTTTTATAAATGAGTGAAAAACACGGGCAACCCCATCTCAGTAATTTCTCATATTCAATTATATTCAATAAAGTAGATTAGGGTTTTCCTTCCACTGACTTAAAAAAGTATATAAAAATTAGGTAAAATATTAATCTCTCCTTACTATTATGGGGGTAGAGTATAATCAGTTACTTTATAACAATAGTACATAAAGAAATACAGTACTTACATACTTTTAGTCAAGCTGTTATTATGATATTAGTTCTCCAACAGAGGTAAAATAATTTTCTACATTTTGAGTTTACATGAACTTTTATGAGATTCTGAAGTATGTACATTTATTAAAAGAGGTGTCATGTTTTTACTAAACGTCCAAATACTCACTTTAAGAGAATTAAAGTATCTACAGCAAAGATCTGATGAGAATTTAGGGCTAAAAAAAGAAAAATGATGTTCAATATTCTAAACTGCAGTATATTAAACTAAAATCTTATTTCAAGAACACTGAAAGATTTACTTTAAAACATTATGAAAAAGTCTAACAAATTATGTAACTAAATGGTTCATGACTGATCACGTTTATGAAGGATGACATCATTCTGCTTTATCTTGTACCATTTCAAATTATTTGTCCTCAGCCCACATAGTATTTAGACAGAAATAAAATTTAAATATGTGGAAATCCTAGTGTGACAAAAGTAGAAAACTGTTTCAAATAAATTGACATTTCTAATTTGTGACTATGTAAAAACAGTCATATATTTAAGAGAATACAATAATTAAGGAAAACTAGCACCGTTCAAATACTAAAAACTATTCTCTCTTTACATAATTTCTCATTCTGTGCTAGCAAAAGAAACGACACATTCATTTTGAGTAAATGTGGTTTAATTGATAGAATCAGCCATTTGTATAATGGCGTCTGCAAATAATTACCTAGGAATGGTAGCAAAGACTACCTAAGCAGTTTGCAGTTGGTACAAAATTTCACCAGGCTATTTTCAGATTCTTTAGAGGCTAAAGTTTTCTCATCTTGATAAACTTAAAAGATTTAAGCCAAACACTTCTACATCAAGCTTGTAAAGAAGCAACTGTTGTAGTTCAGAAGTGCAAAAAATTGAAATTCGAGGTGTCCAATGATTTGCCTTGGAAGACAAGGCTTTGTGAGGTTACTTTCTAAAAAGCAAAACTAAGAAACACTTCATTCTCTCAGAAGTAATTCATTCTTTGCTTTGTGTGAGATCTACAGTTTCATATCTTACAGAAAACGACTTGTGCAGATAGATATATTGTAGGGCAGATGATGAAACTAACAGTAATTCCAGAAATTCTTTTACAAAACGCACATAATATATCATCATAACTGGCTATCAGGTGGTTCTATGTAAATCATTATTATTGAGTTGCAAAGTAAATGTCTCTGTGTGTCTCTATTCCTCTAACACACACACATAAAAAAAAAATACATTCTCAGAAAAATGTTTTTCTGAAAAATAATGTTAGAAATACTCAATGGCACTAGAGTTTTTGTGAATAAATTCCAAAAACACAAGTTCTGTCAATGTATTAGGCAATGGTAAGTAGAATTCCATATCCTATACAAAATTAAGAAATTCTCAAGTATTTTTATTGACTCTTATTAAAATATACTAAAATGAGTCCAGTGTATGAAGCAGAGATATTTATAAATAAATCAGACTCATTTTTATTATCACTTGGAAATATCTCAATTACCCAGTTTGAAATTTCCTAGCAGGCCTTTTTTATCCTTATATACTGAACAACTATCAAAGTGCCTGATAGTCAAGTGGTAAAAAAAAAAAAAAAATTCTGAATTGAACATATGCATATATAAAAAGTTAACAACACATTCAACTCCTAAATGCTGGGGATGAAATTTGCACCTTAAGAAATATCTTTAAGGAAACTGTTAATGTTCTCCAGCCAAAGGCCATACTTGTAACTGAACAGGAACACACCTGTAACTGAATAAATTGGGTGCATTACTTAATGCAGTGAGGGAGAACACACACCATGGAGAACAGTGGGGCATCTTATTAAATGGGTGTTAGAAATAATCTATTAAAGCGTTTGGGCTTTGGTTGGGAGATTTAGGGAGACGGGCTAAGGAGGTAGATGTTTGTTCTGGATTGGATGCTATTAGAAAATGAGGGGCAATGTATGACTGGGCAAAAAAGTAGCTGTCATTCACATTAGCCAGGTGAGAAGGATGTTGGGTATGTTGTGAGTTACACAGTGACCTTGTTTAGGTCTGTGCTTAGATAAAATTGTGAAGTGATCTTGTTTCATATCACTTAATCATGGTCTCAGGTGACCTGATCTGATTATTTATATTCCATGAAATTGTTCAGATCCAACCAGAGAACAACATGACCTAGCTATGTCAGGCCAGCTCCTACATTAGGTGCTATTTTCTTTCTCAAAAGGAATTTAATTGATAAAAATGATGAACCTGTCTTCAGAGTACTCTTGCTATGTCAAATTTAATTCTTAATCATTACCGTGCATATAACTTAAGGCAGGTTCTTGAATATAATGGATCCAGTCAGATAGTTATTTACTTCCCTATTCAGTAGACACATTATAGTCTGACTAAAAATGCTCTGGGTAAACAATTACCCATTAAGTAACTCAAATAGTATAGCTTTATGATATGGTTTGAATGTATCCCCCAAAGTTCATATGTTAAAAATCCCCAGTGCAACAGTATTGAGAGGGAGGAACTTTAAGAGGTGATTAGGTCATGAGGGCTCCGCTCTCATGAATGGATTAATGCCATTTTTCTGTCTTGCCCTCTGCCGTGGAATAACACAGCAAGAAGGCCCTGGCCAGATGCTGGCTCCTTGATATTGGACTTCCCAGCCTCCAAATTTGTGAGAAATTGTGAGAAATAAAAATTCTTTTCTTTATAAATCACCCAGTCTATGGTATACTGTTACAGCAACACAAAATGGATTTCCTTATTTAAGGAAACCCTAACTTTGGTATAATCAAGATATGAGACTATCAAAATTGCCAGAAAGACCCCTTGATATATTCCCTGTATAGGCACTTTTTAGCTAAAGAGTTCACACATAGTGGAAAAGATTTATAGCAGCCCACGATGCTTTTCTACAATTATCCTTCGTTGAGTAAGTAAAAGCACAATTCCCACTGTTCTTGAACCGTCCCGATTAGTCTTTTGGAACATAAGCTTCACACAATTTACTGGAAGATATATGTAGAAATATATGTGTTTTAAAGGAAAGTGAATGAAAGAGTCTAATAGAGCTGCAAATACTCAAAGAAGCCCTTTTGCTTCCCCACACTTTTCAACTAACCCTTTCACCCTAATACACTTATAGCACAAACCAGAATCCCCTAAGATAACAAGAACTCATCACAGTTGCTGAGGAATAGCCTCAGTAGTTAAAATTAAGTTTATTTAATTAAGTCAGGGATAAATACAAAAGTTACTGAACTACAATAAATATCTAAAACATAGTAAATATATTTTACAGTCTCTTACATAATGAAAAGATACAAGATTGAAAGCTACTCAGGAAAAACCAGAAAGCCAAAAAAAAAAAAGGCTTAGATAAACAAGATTATATAGTGAAAACAAAATTATCTATGTATACATTTTAAAGTGACCATATTTATTTTTTCATTTCAATAAAAAATAAATGTTTCATTTTTTAGCCCACAGAGAAATGAGTGGTCAAAATCAAAAGAAAGCCACTCTTACATCCTGGCAATAAACTGTTCATAAGCTACTCTCCTTATGTTTAAACAACTGACAGTTTGTAAATGTGCATTCCTTCAAAGCTTAATTGGTTTTCATTCCAATTAAAGATAGGTCTACTTTAAAAAATAAACGAGTTTTCCTGAATTCTTAAGCTTCAAGAATTTACAAGGTAGTACTGTTATTTGCTCTGAATAACATAGAAAATATTCAGATTCAATTATATCACACTACTGGACAATAGCAAACCTATTGGCAGAGTATGATGATAAAAGTCTAAATACTTTTCAAGTCAAGGTTCACAGGAAGAAAGTTAATTTAATAACAGAAGTAGGTTAGACAATAATTTGTTTTGAGGGAAAACTCTGTTAATACAATTTTCAAGACACCCCCATCCTCACTTCCATCTCTTTTTAATTAAGGTATAGAAAGTTCTTGGAATCATTCACTCTTTTAGGTTCTTTTGCCCTGTCATTTGGGCACCAATTTGAAAAATAGATATACACTCAGTTCTCCTGTAGAGCTTTGTATTCATCCTCATCCTATTTTTTTTCCATTATAAATAAGATACCAGTCTCCTTTTGGATCTTATGGCTTTTCACACATTTAAAATAATTTTCTACCTCACATTTTTCAAAAATTTCTTAAGGGAAACTATCTTTACTTCCACTCTTTGGTTAAATTATGTTTTAAAATATCATTTCAACTTTTTCCTAATCATTTTTGTCTGAAAAGAATGACATAAATATTTAAAGCATAATAAACTTAGAATAATTTCTCCTATTCTCTTTTCTTTCAGAAACAAAGTATATAAACTGTCATTCAAAATTATCTCCTTGGATCTAGAAAAAAAGTAGGTAAAATGTATGTATACACATGTAGGTATATATGGATGCAGCTGCATGGGCATAGCTGTTTTCTTCTCCAGAAAACAGAAGATTTTTAGTTCCAAAACCAGCCATAATTCAAAGTAGCATTCACAACATTTCACCATAACATTTGGCCCAAGGTATACTTTAACTAATGAGAAAGTAAGTAACATTGACATGGAAGCCATGATTAAGGCAAACACAGGGAAATATAAGAATTCAGGCTGGAGGCAGCACCTTATATCTGTAATCCCAACGCTTTAGGAGGCTGCGGTGATAGGATCTCTTAAAGCCAGGAGTTTGAGACTAGCTTAAGCAACATAGCAAGACCCTAGCTCTACAAAGAATAAAAAAGTTAGCTAGTTATAGTGGCGTACGCCCATAGTCTTAGCTACTTGGGTTTGGGAGGCTGAGGTGGGAGGATACCTTGGGCCCAGAAGTTTGAGGCTGCAGTGAGCTATGATCATGCCGGTACACTCCAGCCTGGGCAACAAAGCGAGATCCCATCTCTAGAAAATGTATAAGTAAATAATAATAATAAAAAGAGTTCAAATATTCAGAAGGGCACACATTAAAGTATAACCTTAAGAAAAAGGAGTAAATAAAATCACAAACTTTTGGTGATAGTAGTACATATAAAGTGGTTTAAACATTGCTTGCATTCTTAATTGAGTTTCTTTCCCTTCTTTATTCCTGGCTAGATTTCTCTCCTATAAAGCATCATTAATATTTCTACTTCATGTGTTTTTGTTTTTCTTTTACAAAGAGTATAAGCAAATGAGCATTTTACTTTCCCTTATTAGGTTTTTAAAATAAGAAGACTTATTTTGTAAACAAATTCACAAAATTTGTTGCTCTCCTGGAGAAAAGGATACTGTCCCATTGCTGTCTGTCATTGCCACTGGCATTCTAATAACTTCTTCAAAACAAGAGTCATTTTTATGTCCCATCATAAGCAATTTATCATTCACTCTCAGTGCATTAAAAGGGTAATAGAATAATAAAAAACAACAACATATGGAAAGATTATAACACCAATAGAGAAAAAAGAGTATTTTTTATTCACCTGGGGCCCATTTTCAAATACTGGAGCCAAATATATATAACTAGAATTATAAAGAGCAATGTTTCCCCACAAAGAAAGAACCTGAAGGAAGGAACGGAAACCAAAACTGGTACACAGAACCAGTCTGTATCGTCAGAAAGAAAAACAACATGATACTCACAGGCAATAACAAAGTTCTGATAATCCACAAATCAATGGACAGTCTACAATTGAAAAGCATTCCTTATCTAGGACTGATTTCCTGTCTAATTAATTTCCCAAATATTACTTCTTTTAAGAGAAATTCCCATATCTAGAACGATAACTCATAGTCATTTGAGATAATTATGCAGTTTCCACTTTCATTCAAAAAAATTTGAGCATATTCTTCACTGTATTCTTCTGCATGTCCACTCAAGCTGTCAATTCAGATGATTTCCAACATCCACATCAATAAAGGTCTAGCAATTTTAAAACTGTCAAGAGGCTAATGATCAAACATACAATATTAAGGTACTCTAAATTACTGACATTCTAAGTAGGCCTGATGTTTTCCCAAAGAAGAGAAAGTAGTGATTACTTACATATTGCAGTCATATATACAAAGCTAAGAAGGCTAATTTGGCTAATAAGCTTTCTGGGAACTAGTTAGTACTCATCTGGTGTCCATCTAACGTAACGTATTCTCAAAGAGTGAAGTGAAAGCACTCTTGACCAATTAGGAACACTGAATCTATTGTCATCTTATGGAAAAGGCAAGACAAAATGACACAGATATCATTTGCTTCAAAACAACCTCACTGGATGTAATGCCCAAGAGTTTTCTTCAGAACAAGATAGAAAGCAAGGAGAGTTAACAATTATAACAATGCCCATAAAATGCTCTGATCTGAAATGAGGCCTGGGAACTTTTAACTTTATTCATAGAAAAAAAGACATTTAATTTTGAAACAATAATCAATAGAAAAGACCATCAATGCAGTTAGAAGTAAAATGTAAAGAAAAAGAAAAAAAAAGTCTTGAGCTCTTTATAAGCACTAATAATTCAAAAAAGAGGCTAAGGTCAGAAAACCAGAAAAGCTAGTATAGATGGCATGACCGCATAACTTATTAACATCAATCAGTTTTCCTTTTTCTTTCTTATGCCCAGCATGATCACTTTGAATAACATTTTACTTGAAATAACTTCAAACAGAAAATTTGCAAAATTAGTACAAGGGGCTCCTCCATATCCTCCATCTCACCTACTTATAATCATCTGCCCATGTGCTTTATATCCTCTCGCTTATGTTTATGCACATAGGTATATGTAACAACCAATTTTTTATCCATTTGAGAAGGCTGCAATACATCGATACATTATTTCTCCTTGCGTTTAGTACTTCAGTGCCTATTTTTTAAAAACAATACTTTTTTCATGTAACCACAGTACAGTAATTAAATTCAAGTAACACTGGTACAATACTTTTCATCTAATATACAGTATGTGCTCCAATTTTGTCAGTCATTCCTATTATAGCCTTTATAGCATTTTTCTCCTCTAGTCCAGGATCATATATTTTGCATTTAGTTGTCATGTCTCTTTAGTTTCCTTTGATTTGGAGTAATTCCTCAGCCTTTGTCTTTCAAGACACTGACATTTTTTAAAAATACAGGCTATTTCGTAGAATGAACCTAAATTGGAATTTGTTTAATGTTTTCTCATGAGATTTAGTCATGCCTCCCTAGCCAGAATACAACATAAGAAATGTTGTGACCTTCTCAGGTATTACATCTGCCAGCACACAGGCTTAATTCATTCTCATTAGTGATGTTAATTTTGATATCCGAAAAAAGTATTGTCAGATTTTGTCAATGTATAGTTTCTCCCAAGTAATTATCAATCTATGAGCAATCATGCTGAGAATCATATAATTATACAGCTGCTCATCAAACTTTGCCCCTGAGATTTGGCATCCACTAACGATTGTTGTCCTAACCAGTCTTTACTATCATGGTTGCAAATGGTGATTTTCCAATTCCAACAGTCCCTCCACATTGATTAGTAGGCATTCTACAGTAAGAAAGTGTCCCTCCCCATTCGTTCATGTATTACCACTGAAGAATTCCTATTTCATACAATGGGCTATACAATCCATCACTATTATGATACACTTTGATAGTCAAACTATCCCGGATATGTTCATTGGGAGCCCCTTCAGGATGGTTCCTATGTTCTTTTCATGTGTCTCCATTATTTCTTTGAGCAGTTCATTACTTTTTTTTTTTTTTTTTCCCCGAGACGGAGTCTCGCTCTGTCGTCCAGGCTGGAGTGCAGTGGCGCGGTCTCGGCTCACTGCAAGCTCCGCCTCCCGGGTTTACGCCAGTCTCCGGCCTCAGCCTCCCGAGTGGCCGCGCCTACAGGCGCCTGCCACCGCGCCCGGCTAATATTTTTTTTTGTATTTTTAGTAGAGACGGGGTTTCACCGTGGTCTCGATCTCCTGACCTCGTGATCCACCAGCCTCAGCCTCCCAAAGTGCCGGGATTACAGGAGTGAGCCACCGCGCCCGGCCGAGCAGTTCATTACTTTCTAGCACAGAAGATGTTCCAGGCTCCTTTTACACCTTCCCCGACCTAGCTTTGAAATCAGTCATTTTTTTTTCAAAGTTTTGGTGTCTTTTAATAAACGGCATGTAGAAACCAAGCTCTTGGAAGCAGGTGTGCTCCACTGCTATTGGGGTCTCACTGCTTCTAGGTCTTTTCTGTAGCAGAAATAGAGGTTTGTTTCCCGCAGTGATTCTGATGCCTACAACTTCAATCCAAATCCACAAGTTTCTCCTCTGTCTTCCCCCTTCCACATTTGTATCTTCTTCTTCTACAGTAAGAGCCCTTGCTCCCAACACATTTACTTATTTGCTTAATCCTACAACATACATAAAATAGTTGCAGAATTACTACACCACACACTGCAAAAAACAAAGAACAACAAACTTAATAAGAAGTCAAAGTTGGTTTGAAATTCCCTTTTCTTTCCTCCTACACCAAGAATATGAAGTCAAAGAATTACGTTCAAAAGTTACTTAGATTAGTTCTTTACTTTCTTCAGTGTGGTTGTTTGAAATATAGGTGGCTCATTTATTTCTGCTTACATTCAAATTTTAGGTGTTTTTCCCCCATCTTCAATTTAATTTTATTTTTTAATATGTAGCACATTAACATGCCTCCAGAAATTAAAATTATACCAAAATGGCATGGTCTACTTAATGTCTTATCTACCCTCTGTTCTCACGTTCTTATAGGTAATCAATTTCAATGTTTTCTGGTTTATCCTTCTTGTGCTTATTTTTGGAAAAAAAATATATATACATATATATATATATATATATGCAGTTAAATGAGTTTTTTTTCCTTAATTCCTATAGTGTATTAGTAATCTATTTCTGCCTAGCAAATTACATCTGGAAATGACAACTTAAAAGAATGAATGTTATTTCACATAGTTTCTGAGGGTCAGGAATCTGGGAATGGTTAGCTGGATGATTCTGACTCAGCATTTCCAACAAGGTTGCTGCCAAGCTATACATGGGGACTATCATATCTCATCTCAAGGCTTAAATGCGGCTGGAAAATCTGCTTCCAAGAATCTTCATGTGGTTATTGACAAGCCTCAGTTTCTCACTGGCTACTGGCCAGAGACTTCAGTACCTCCCCAAATGGGCTTGTCTATAAGGCAGTTTACAATATGGCAGTTTGCTGCTTCCGGAGCAAGTGATCCAAGTGAATGAGAAAAACAGCCCAACATAAAAGCCATAGTTTTTATGACCATCTTGAAAATGGCTTATCATCAGCTCTGCCATATGCTAGTGGTCACACAGAAAAACTCTTCTACAATGTGGGAGGGGACTATACAAACGTGAATACTAGGAGACAGGTTGATTGGGCACCTTCTTGGAGGCTGGTTATCACTTATTGTTTCTGACAAAAAGGATGGCATATTGTAAACAATCTTTTGTACTTTGTTTCACTAAACAATGTATCTTAGAAAGTAATCCATCAGTAGTTCTAGAGAACTTCACTATTGTACAGATGTAAAATACTCTATTGTGTATTTGTACAGATTATTCAACCAGTCTCCTATATTTGGGCACTTAGGCAGGCTCCAATATTTTGCAATTACAAACAATGAATAACCTATTACTTATATATTTTTATTGTTGAAAATCGTAAACTTAGAAAATCCAGTTCCGGATCACCTATGAATTAAACTCCTCTGAGAAGGTTAGTAGTACATTTTTGGAAGGAAGAGTAAAAAATCTTAATTTAACTTTTAAAACACTTTCACCATGCATTTCTTCAGTGCCTAATGTAAGCAGTAATGTACCATTTTCCATAATGCCAAAACTTGTATTCAACTATCTCTGCAAAGAACAACATAGAGGGCCGGGTGCGGTGGCTCATGCCTGTAATTCCAGCACTTTGGGTGGCCGAGGCGGGCAGATCACGAGGTCAGGAGATTGAGACCATCCTGGCTAACATGGTGAAACCCCATCTCTACTAAAAATACAAAAAATTAGCCGGGCGTGGTGGCAGGCGCCTGTAGTCCCAGCTACTCGGGAGGCTGAGGCAGGAGAATGGTATGAACCCGGGAGGCGGAGCTTGCAGCGAGCTGAGATCACGCCACTGCACTCCAGCCTGGGCGACAGAGTGAGACTCCATCTCAAAAAAGGAAAGAACAATATAGAGTAGTAACATCATTAAACCAAAAGTAAAAGAAGTAAAAGAAAACAAGCAAATGTTTCAGTAGATATTGAAATGCACCTGTAGAAAAGAGGTGACAGCTAAGTAGAGGTGAAATGCTATACCAATTTCTAAGTGTCTCTGATAGGGTTCAAGCAGCTCAAAAGCAGCTGAAAGAAAGAGTTACCTAGTATTGATGGGAAAGGTCAAAAGCGAAGAAATTTTTCATGAAACGGTAAGAAGATGAATTGTCCAATAAATAGTAGTATTGTATTAATGCTTAATTGCTGAGAAGAAAAAATATATAGAGGGAAAAGAATAAGAAATACACCCTGAAATACGTTAATAATTGGTGAATCTATGCGAGAGTATACAGGTATTCATCTTAGTATTTTTTAAAACTTTCCTGTAAGTTGGAAATTTTTCAAAATACAAATAATAAAAATTTGGAGAAACAGTCGTAGGGAAGCTTGACATTAGCAATGACATATGACTCATAAAATTCAAATAGCTCAACTGACTTAGTGGTTTAAAGTACAACTTTGAGGCAAAAACTGCAGTTGAATTTGAATTAAACAGAAGTAAAAACTTCTTTGTATTTTAATACATGAAGTCTGGCATCTTTCTACTTATCAAAGGTCTAATTATAAGTTTCAGCTTTTAATATCATTAAGCTTTCAGGGAATACAAACAACAATAACAAATAAAACTGCCATTAATACTCTGCTGAAAGCTTTGTCAAAGGTTTTAATGAAGAATTTGATTTTAATGAAGAATCTGATTACTTTTGAAGATACCAGCCAATGTTAATCTCCTCTTTCCCCATACGGTTTGTAAATGAGTAAACCATTAAAGCATGTATCACTGCCATCTCAGCTGCCATTTCTTAGCTATATCTGCATTCTGTTGCTGGATTCATGTTGAAATTCTTAAAAACTTGACACTTTTTCTTGAAAAAAAAAAAAAATCAACCAACCATGTCAGATTTTGTTGCAGCGTTATTTTGGAAAAGACTTACGACTGAAGAAATAAGATGGAAAGTCAAAAAAAGAGTTGGAAAAATTAAACACAAATAGGCTCACAAATATAAAACTTAAAATTGTGTAGACTAGAATGAATGAGATGATCTCCCTATATTCTAAAGCAGAAGACAAATTTGATTGTGATAACTAAGTCTACCAAATAGAGACAAGAGTGTTTATCAAAATGATAGAATGCCAAATTAGTTTAGTTTTTAGTAAATTTTCTTCTACTACACTAGATAACTTATTTTATAGAATAATTACCAATGGCTTCTTTTTCATCAGTACATTTTATGACTTATAAGCATGATGTGAAAGTATACTCACAAAAATCATAACTCAATGGAGCAGGATTATTCTAAGACTTAGATAGTTCTTAATCTGTTGTCCAGCCTACACACCCTAAAATGGCTCATGATTGACATGGCTGGGTACGTGAGAAGATCACATCCCTTTTGATGTCCTTCAGAAGCACAGGAGGATTCTAGCTATGTAAAGATTTGGGGTATTATAATCATAATGTTATAAAAACTACTTTATGAACTAGTTAACGGTTAGATGAGATATTTGAAATCAGTACATTTGTAGATATGAGGCTTCTAATACTTAGCCAAGAATATCTAGTTTAAAAAAGCAGCCTTGTGAGAGAATTGAGACTTGTTTTGTTTAAAACTAAGCAAATTAATAAAGGTATTCTATAAATGAATGAAGATTTTAGAAAAGGTCATGAAAATGTATGTACTGCTTCGTCAAGGAGAAAATACAGTAAAAAGGAGGCTTTACATTAGATATAGTAAAGAATTTCTGGATAAAATTATTTAATTTTTTTAAAGATCTGAGAATGTTTCTAGAGCATAAGGCAATCAATAAATGTCAATTGAATAGAAAAGTTTTAGAATCTCTTTCTTGATATGTTATTTCATTCATTTACGATGATTCTGCCTAGACTACAGAAACCTAATGACAATTCTGAATGCAGTCTGCAAACAAGTGATTCTCTGTAATTTTTCTTCAATAACAAAGGCTATTATTGGAGTACTAGTATGGGCCAGACATTGCATACTCTATTATAGGAAATTTTATATAGCATGAATTTATAAATAAGAAGTGTTTTCCCCCCATTAATGTGATGGGGATTTGCTGGGGTTTTTTGTAACTATCTAATTATTTGAAGAGTAAGTCTGTTAGTTTATTTAAGAGCAGCTGAAAGTAGAACTTGCAGATTCTGAGACCCACAGACCAACACAGATTTAACAAACAAACCAACCACCAGACAAGACAACTTATCAAAGGTCCCTTTTCAAATCTTCTCATTGTCAATTCCAGCTTGCCTCCCTAATATTTCTTGTACATTTTATACTGCTGGTATGCTGTTTTGATTTTACCATGTTGTGCTGCTATAATGTAACAGTGCTAGTCTATGAAGCACCCACTGGCGGAATGATCATTCATTTAACAAATATTTATTGAGTGCGGGAACCATAACAATGAACAAAGGAGAAAAAAATCGACTTGTTATGAAGCCAGTACTGAAAGTCAGGGGTGGGAATCAGGTCATGAATAAACAAAACAGTAAGTAAATGAAATCACTGCAGACAGTGGGAGACACGGGATATACAGGGTGACTGGTGGCTGGACTAGATACTAGCCCATATGAGAGGTCAGGAAGAGCTTATTAGCAGTGGTGATTTTTAGGCTGAGACCTAAATATTAAGAGAAAGTAGTTGGCCGGACACGGTGGCTCATGTCTGTAATCCCAGCACTTTGGGAGGCCGAGGCGGGCGGATCACAAGGTCAGGAGATCGAGACCATCCTGGCTAACACGGTGAAACCCCGTCTCTACTAAAAATACAAAAAATTAGCCAGGCATGGTGGTGGGTGCCTGTAGTCCCAGCTACTCAGGAGGCTGAGGCAGGAGAATGGCATGAACCGGGGAGGCGGAGGTTGCAGTGAGCCGAGATGACACCACTGCACTCCAGCCTGGGCGACAGAGCGAGACTTCGTCTCAAAAAACAAACAAGCAAACAAACAAAACCAAAAAGAGAAAGTAGTTAAGCAAAAATTTGAGGAAAAGAACATTTCAAACAAAGCAACCAGCAAACTGGGAAGAGAAGAAAGGTAGAAAAAGAACCCAAGAGAGAAACCAACTTGAGTAACAGCAAGGAGGCAACTATGGCTGGAATACAGGAGCAACAGGAAAAGCACTAACCATTGCAGTCAGACAGGTAGATAGGGGCCAGATTAAAAGTCTGAATGTTTTTCCAAGTGAAAAGATTTTTAAGGGGGTGAATGAAATAAACTAGTTAACATTTTTAAAAAGTTTCTGTCTGCTATGTAGAGAACAGACTTAAGGAAGCCTGACGTACAGCAGTCAGAGGGCTATCAGCTATTAGTCTACAGCTGGGCTGCAATGTCACTCCTCGGCAAGATTAGGAGTCTGCATCAGAATGTACTGCTTTTTCAACAAGGAAGTCTTGCTATTAGAAAAAGAAGTCAAGTAAACTAAAGGTGTGCTTAGTGATACCATTGATTTATATTCTAGTGCCAGCCCCTTACCTCATTGCAGGCCAGAAACAAACAGGTCATTGAAACCAGCCTACAGACTACACGTTGGTGAGACCTAGTATAAATCAGAATGTTTGCTGGCAGTTACAACAACTAAGAAAAATGGATTTGGAATAGATTTTGGAGGTAAAACCAACAAAACTGGATGATGAACTGAACACAAGGTAAGACAACAAGAGAAGAATAAAGTCCGACTTGTAGGTTTTTGGCTGGAGCAACCGGGTAGCTTGTGGTAATATTTCCCGAGAGGGAAAGAATGGGGTTCAAGTTTGGTGGGCATGGCAATAGGGTTGGATAGGGAGATAAAGAATTCTGTGTTGGCCATGTTAAGGTTGAGACATCCAGACAACTCATTTGGAAATGTCAAGTAGGTAGTAGGATATGTACCTCTGAAGAGGGCAGAGCAACACTAGAGCTATAAACTGGAAGGTAGGAGGTCTGAACGAGAGGGGTCTTTAGCACATAGATGCCATTTAAAATGGACTCGATGAAATCACCCCAAAGTTAGATGGGGAGGAGTAAAAATCCTAGGACTTAACCTGGGCCTTTCTCATAGCTGGATGTGGAGCAGAAGAGAAAGAATCATCATGAGAAAGATCTATCGATGAAATGAGAGAAAAAAAAAAGCAGGAGGAATTTGTACCTTGCAAGTCATTAGAAGACCATTTAAAAAAGGAAGTTGTAATAAATTTTGTTGAATGCTGCTGAGAGGCTCCACGAGAAAGTGGCCAACGGATATGCAAGACAGAGTTTTTTAAAAAACTCAGGGAGAAAAAAACAAACAATAACAATAGCAAAAAGGCATTTTAGTACAGTCGTTAGGGATGAAAACAGTACCAGGTGAGTTTAGTTCAGACTAAAAAGTAAGAAAGTAGTGAGCAACCATGGGCAGTTCCGTATACTCTAAAGGGAAGCAGAAAAACAAGTGACTAAAGAGTGGTGTAAGAATTGACACAAAAGAATGTGTTTTTTTTATTTTATTGTTGTAAAAGATGTGAGCTACCAGAATTCAATACATATGAGCAGATGGATATAAACCAGTAAGCAGAGCATAGCTGCAGGAAACAAATTCCTGAGAAGGTGAGATGGAATGAAATCCAGAGCAAAAAGTAGACGAGAGGTGGCCTTAGAAAGAAGCAGGATGTTTCTCCATTGAATGAAGAAGGAAAGCATTGTACACGAGTGCAGCTGCAGCTAAGTTGGTAGAATTGGTGATAGCAATAAGTTCTTTTTGATGGCATCTATTTTTTCAATGAAATATGAAAAAAGTAATAAGCTGAGAGGAAAAAATTAAATGTGTAAAAAGAAATGGCTGAGGCAAGGATAAAAACACACTTGAGATTTATGGTTATGATTATAAAGTGAAATCTGACAATTACACATGTATTTTTCTTTTTTCCGGCTACATTCATTTCTTGATTACGGCAACAAAATAGGCCAAACAGTGAGTGGAAAAACACAAACAAACAGTTTTGCCTCTGCTCTGGCACCACCACAATCAACACAGAAGATTTCTGTGACTGAATGTGTGGGGAGTTTTCCCCAAACACCAAGCAAGCAAGCAAGCAAGCAAGCAAGCAAGCAAGCAAGCAAGCAAGCAATTTTGCCACAGGCAACAGCAGGATGGCCTCCAAATCAGTCCTGACACTACCTGGAGACAGCATTAGATGCCACAAGTTGAGGGCTCAGTCCCACAAAGACTACCTGCCATTTCTGATGCCAATTACACATCCCAAGTTGTTTTACCTGTGCTTCTGACTGACCAGCTATAAATTGGGGTTCCCATGACCTCCTCTTTGGGTTTAATTTATTTGCTAGAGTGGCTCACAGAAATCAGAAAAACACTTACTTACTTACATTTACTGGTTTATTATAAAGCATTTATAAAGAATACAGATAAAGAGATGCATATGGCAAGGGATGGGAAGGGGGAGAGGCGCTTCCATGCCATCCCTGGGGCACCAGCTGCCAGGAACCTCCACATGTTCAGCTCTCTGGAAGCTCTCCAAACTCTGTGAGTCTTCATGGAGGCTTCATTACATAGGCACAACTGATTAAACTACTGGCCACTGGTGATCAACTTAACCTTCAGCCTCTCTCCCTTCCTCAGTGGTTGGGCTGAAAGTCCAACCCTCTAATTATGCTCTGGTCTATCCAATGACCAGCCTCCATCCTGAAGCTACCTGGAGACTGCCAGGCATCAGTAAACTCATTAGCATACAAAAAGACATGACTTCGAAGATTCTAAATATTTTTAGGAATTGTATGCCAGGAAACTGGTTGAAGACCAAAAACACATTTTATAGTATAGCCATTGCGATTAATAAATACTATAGCATTCCCAAGCAAGTACACTGACAGGAGAGGCAGCAATAATTAAAAACTCCCTCATGGGTGTCAAAAGTGACCAGATAGGGAACCTAGACTTCTACCCACAACTGACTGTAAGGTGGCAGTGTCCTTCCCCAACCCCCACAATTCTCCTGCATGAGTGCGTCAAATTAAGCCAGCTAAAACAAATTCACATAAGATCCAGGGTCTTACAGCATAATACTCAACATGCCTAGGTTTCAACAGAAAATCACTTGTCATACCAAGAACTATGAAGATCTCAAACTGAATAAAAAAGACAACCAATAGATACTGTACTAGTTTCCTATTGCTACTGCAATAAATTATCATAAACTTAGTAGCTAAAACAACACACATTTATTACCTTACAGTTCTAGATGTGAGGAATTTGCCATAAATCTCACAGCGCCTAAGTATACCAATTCAAAAACAAATTGTCAGCATGGATGAGAAAAAATGACTCAACTAATATGCCATCTAAAAGGAATTCAGTTCAAATATAATGATATTGGCAGGTTGAAAGTAAAAGAATCGAAAAATCTGTGTCACACAAATCTCAATTTTAAAAAGGCAGGAGTGGCTATGTTAACATCATATAAAGTGGAATTTAGAGCAAAGAAAATTATGAAAGAGTTTTTATAAAATGAAGAAAGGGTCAATCACATTTATAACAATCCTAAATGTGTATGCAACAAAGCTACAAACAACAAAGCTACAAAATATATGAAACAAAAACTGATAGAAGTTAAAGGAGAAATAATTAAATCTACAATTATAGTTAGAAACTTCACTACTCAACAACTGATAGAACAACCAGACAGAAAATCAGCAAGGATATAGAACTCAATGATACCATCAACCAACAGAATCTATTAATAACAGGCATTTATAGAACACTCCATCCAAAAACATCAGAAAATACATTCTCTTCACATGCCCATGGAACATTTACAAAAATAGTCCATGTCCTGAGCCATGAACTTTGTCCTACCTTTGTCCAAATAAAGATTTAAAAATCAAAAAAATTGAAATCATACAGAGTATTGTTCAAGCACAATGGAATCAAACTAGAAAGTAACATGAGAAAGGTAGCAGAAAAATCTCCAAACAGAATCTAAACAACCATACTCTAAATAGTCTGTGGGTTAAAGACGAAATCTCAAGAGAAATTTAAAAACATACAAAATTTAACTGAATGAACATGAAAATGGAACAAATCAAAATGTGCGAATCACAGCAAAAGCAGTACTTAAAAGAAAAATTATAACATTAAATACATACATTAGGAAAAAGGGGAAAAAAGGTCAATTTTCTAAGCTCCTACCTCAAAAACCCAGAAAAAGAGCAAAATGAGCCCAAAATAAGCAGAAAAAAGGAAATAATAAAAAACAAAAATCAACAATATTGAAAACAGAAAAAGAATTTGAATAATGAAATAAAGAAATGGTTATTTGAAAAGATCAATAAAATTGACAAAGAAAAGGAGAAAACACAAATTACCAATATCAGGAATGAAACGGGATTATTACTACAGACCCTGCAGGCACCAAATATCTGATAAAAAGAAACTAAAAACAACTCTATGCACAAATTTGACAACTTAGATGAAATTGACCAATTCCTTGAAAGACATAAATAACTAAGACTCACACAAGAAGAAATAAATAACCCAATTAGTTTCAGACCTACTTAAAATTGAATCAAATAATAATAATAATGAAATGATTAGGCCCAAATGGTTTCACTAGTGAATTCTACCAAACATTTAAGGAGAAATACAGTTGGCCCTATGTATCTGTGGGTTCTGCATTTATGGATTCAAGCAACTACAGATTTAAATAGTAATAATAATAATACAAATAAAATATAGTATAACAAAACTACTTATACAGCACTGACTTTGTATTAGTTATTATAACTAAAGCTGATTTAAAGTATACGGGAGGATATGCCTCCATAGGTTATACTATGTAACTTTTTATAAGGGATTTGAACATCTGCATCTTCAGGGGATCCTGGAACCAGTACCCCTGAGGACACCTAGGGCCGAATGTATTACTAACACATTACAGTCTCTTCCAGAAAATAAAAGGAAAACTAACTCATTCTATAAGGCCAGGTTTACCCTAATTAAAAAAACTAGTTAAAGGTATTATAAGTAGAGAAAAGTACAAAACAGTATGTATGTATTTCTATGACAGAAATGTCCCATATCTTGACTGCATCAATGTCAATATCCTGGCTGTGATGTTACACTACAGTTCTGCAAGGTGTTACCACTAGGGGAAACTAGGAAAAGGGTACAAGGGACTTCTTTTTATTACTTCTAACAATTGCATGGGAACTTACAATTATGTCAAAATAAAAGTTTAATAAAAATCTTAAAGAACAGAGCTAGTAACCATTACAATAGCAAAGCATTAATGAATTCTAATGTTACATGTGCTACTTTAAGAAAGCAAATATTAACAGTAATTTATTATATTTTAAAGAACCATTTAAAATACCAATTTGGTTGTAGCTGAAGTTCTAATCCAAATTGCAATACAAATGTTACAGAGTTGCTATAATTTACTAGGGAAAATGACAGCTGCTCTCAGAGTATACACTAAGAAGTTATCATGCTTCACAAATATGTCACTTTTTTTAATGATGTAAGCCTGGTGGCTTTAATTACACAAAAAGATTCATTGGAAGGACTTGAAGTACTAGAGTGGTGAGATTATCCAAACAGAAAGTTAGTTGTTTTTTGTTGTTGTTGTTGTTGTTGTTTTTCCTTTTTTCTTGAGACGATGTCTCTTGCTCTGTCACC
This sequence comes from Homo sapiens, assembly GCF_000001405.40. Classification (NCBI taxonomy): domain Eukaryota; kingdom Metazoa; phylum Chordata; class Mammalia; order Primates; family Hominidae; genus Homo; species Homo sapiens. Next base: position 3,727,516 of record NW_018654717.1, read on the forward strand.
CAGACTGGAGTACAGTGGCATGATCTCGGTTCACTGCAACTTCTGCCTCCCGGGTTCAAGCAATTCTCCAGCCTCACCCTCCGGAGTGGCTGGGATTACAGGCGCCCACCACCACGCCCAGCTAAATTTTGTATTTTTGGTAGAGACGGGGTTTCACCATGTTGGCCAGGCTGGTCTTGAACTCCTGGCCTCAAGTGATCTGCCTGCCTTGGCCTCCCAAAGTGCTGAGATTACAGGCATGAGCCACAGCACCCAGCCCAGAAAGTTAGTTTCTATTCCCTCCCACTCCATAAACAACATACCTCATTTTATTGCACTTTGCAGATATACATTTTTTACAAATTGAAGGTTTGTGGCAACCTTGCATCCAGCAAGTCTATTGGCACCATTTTTCTAACAGCATGTGCTCACTTCGTTAGCATTTCTTAGCAATAAAGTATTTTTAATTAAGGTAGTACTTTTTTTAGACATAATGCTACTGCACACTATATAGTACGAACACAACTTTCAAAAGCACTAGGAAACCAAAAAAAAAAAAAAAGTGTGTTTCACTTTATGGCAATATTTGCTTCTTCATAGTGGTCTGAAACCGAATCTGCACTAACTCTGAGGTATGCCTGTACACAGGTTAGTATCTATAACTAACTTAAGGTCTATTGACATTATTTGATCTACCTCTTACCTATCAATAGATCAAACACCTTAAATACTACATCTTTCCATACAGAGTCTAGTTGTTTTAGGTTTCAAATGAATGTTCATCAACCCTAGTGACTAGAGAGCAAAGACTGAAGAAGATCGTTTATGATATTCCCCATTATCTGCAGTTTCCCTTTCTGTGGTTTCAGTTACCCCCAGTCAACCACAGTCTGAAAATAGGTGAATACAGTACAATTAGATATTGTGAGACACAGAGAGAGACCACATTGACATAACTCTCATTACAGTTCATCATTATAACTGTTCTATTTTATTATTGGTATGGTTGTTAATCTCTTACTGTGCCTAATTTATGAATTAAACTTTATTACAGGTATGTACATATAGGAAAAACCATAGTCTGTACAGGTTTCAGTACTATCTGTGGTTTCAGGTATCCACTGGGGGTCTTGGAACGTATCCCCACAGATAAGGGAAGGTTACTATGCAAAGTTCAAAGAATCAATTTATTACCAAGTTAATCCATTTTATTATAATAATATGATGATGAGTCTTACTGGCAATATTAGGTAACTTGTCTTTCAAAAGGAATAATCTTTAATCTAAAAAAGAACATTATATTAACAGACTAGATTTAAGCCCTGGAGTTTATATTTAGGGGCCACTCTAATTTTATTTTTGTTTTAGGCCATGCCATGTCCTTCCAAATGAACAAACAGGTAAAAAGTCTGATTCTGCACATATAAGAGCACTCATTGATCCTGGAGCCAAACTGCTTGAATTCAAATTCCTGTAATTTCCCTTGATGGTTCTGTGAACTTAGAAGTAACTTAACCTCTCCATCTGTAAAAATGAGTACAATAACAATATCTACTTCACAGCTTCATTGTGAGGATTCAACGCCCTTGAAATAGCACCTGGATCAAAGGAGGATTCAGGCGGTGTCAGCTATTATTATTGTCACTGTATTTTATGTAACGCTAAGTTGTTTGCTTGCTGCAAGAATCTAAACATTCAGTATGAACTATGAAACAAATACCTGCTGCTAATAAAAGAAAAAAGAAAGAAACTAGCTTAGCTGTTCCTTCACGGTGCAAACAACACTTGAAAATTGAAATTAATCTCTTACGTCAGATATAATCTTTTTTAAAAGGTGTGAGTTTTACATTCTTCTCCTAAATTGTCTTCATATTTTAAAAATTTCAAAAAAGTCTTTCAACCACGTTCAATATAAAACTTTAAATTTTCCTGCTCATGTCCAAAATTATACAAGATTAAACTATTCATATAATTTTCTTAGTCAAGAAATTAACTTTTTAACATATATTTAAAATGAGTATTCACATTGCTTTGTTTCAGCAGTAATGCCTTTTAACTTCCTTTGCTGTAATACTAAAGGCAATCTTTTAAAATCAGAAATTCATCTTATTATAAAAATAACTTCCCCTAATAAAATTCATATAGATAAATATACAACTTTTCTTAATAAGTAAGGTAAGATTTATTTCTGCTTGTAGTTTATTTTCTAGGATGCAGTCTGTATAATTAGACTTTCTAATAACTGATAAGTAATTCTTTAAGTTCAGATTAACAGCATGAGAAAAATAATCATATAGTCTGACAGTAAAACATGTATTACACATGGTATGCAATATGCCAGGTTACAGTATAGCTAATGTGCAAAACAGCAAACTAACAGAACAATGGCCAAAAGAAAAAAACAAAAATAAGCCTGTAATTCCAGCACTTACGGAGGCTGAGGTGGGTGGATCACCTGAGGTCAGGAGTTCGAGACTAGCCTGACCAACATAGTGAAACCCCATCTCTACTAAAAATACAAAATTAGCTGAGCGTGGTGGCACATGCCTGTAATCCCAGCTACTTGGGAGACTGAGAGGCAGGAGAATCGCTTGAACCCAGGAGGTGGAGGTTGCAGTGAGCCGAGACTGCACCATTGTACTCCAGCCTGGGCAACAAGAGTGAAACTCCGTCTCAAAAAAAAAAAAAAAGCAAAAATAAGGCCTCGGTTTGACATCTGGATGTCTGATGTGACAGCTGCAGGCAGCTTCATCTTTCCAGAATTGGAATGTTCTCAATCATAAGAGCCATCTGAGAAATCTGTTGATAAAAACTCAGTAAACCTCATCCATCTTACCAATTAAAACATTTTTAAAATGCACTTATGTTTTAAGAAATGTATAGGACTATATGCAATTCAAAACTATTTTTAGGAAGCTAAAAATTTATTAAAACTATTGGCATAAAATGTCAAATAATTAATGGTTAATGAGTATTTATATGACCTGGAAAATATGCTGCCCCCAATTATCAGTAATCGGACCTTAGACATATTTATTTGATTGATCATTTTATGTATTCTTTTGAGTCCTGGGGATAAAGAAGTAAACAAGACAGACAAAAGTCCAAACCCTTATGATGCTTTCATTCTACTGGGACAAATAACAACAACACAATGCAATGCCAGATACCAATAAATCCATGAAGGAAATCAAATAGGCTGATGGCACCAGGGACAAGAAGCCGTCTTTGAGGAGCAGACGTTTGAACTAGAGATTTAACTGATGAACTGGGGAAGTGTTCCAGTTTCAGTAAATAGCTTATGTTAGCCCAGACACAGAATAAGGTTTCATCTGCTTGAGGGGCAGCAAACAGCCAGCTGTAGCTGAAGCAAAGAGACCAAGAGAGAATACAGTAGAAGACAAGATCAGATAAATGCAAGGCAGGAGCCAGATCAGGACAGGCCACTGTTAAAGAATCTGAATTTTATTCAGAGGCTGTGGGAATATACTAAAGAATTTTCTGATTATAGAGCTGATTTATGCTTTAGTAAGACCATTCTAGCTGCAGTGAAGAGAACTGAGCGAAGTTTAAGTAGTGGCAGAGAGATCCATTATGAGGCTACTGCTGTCGTGAAACAGAGGATGAAGGTGTGGCCCAGGGCTAAAGCAGTGAGGATGGTAAGAAACGGTCAGATTGGGAATTTGAAAGTACGGTAGACCTGAATTACTGATAGGTTGGATACAAAGTGTGAGGCAAAGAAAGCAGTCCCGGCCGGGCACGGTGGCTCACACCTGTAATCCCGGCACTTTGGGAGGCCAAGGCAGCGGATCACGAGGTCAGGAGATCGAGACCATCCTGGCCAAAGTGGTGAAAGTCCATCTATACTAAAAATACAAAAATTAGCTGGGCGTGGTGGCGCCTGCCTATAGTCCCAGCTACTTGGCAGGCTGAGGCAGGAGAATCGCTTAAACCCGGGAGGCGGAGGTTGCAGTGAGCCAAGATAGCGCCACTGCACTCCAACCTGGCGACAGAGTGAGACTCCGTCGCAAAAAAAAAAAATAAATAAAAATAAGGAAAGAGTTCCAAATTTTGGTTTCAGCAAAATCTAGTAGTCAAAGCTAGGTGGTCAGGGTACAGAGCATTTAAGTCCTCACTGGTTATGCTAAAGATGTTGGTCTTATCTGAAGGGCAGCAGGAGGCAGTTAGCAGGAAAAAAAAAAAAAAAAAGCAAAGGATTTCGGATACATTTTGCTGACTTACTAAGCCAGTCTCAGCAAGAACACACCAGACACCTCAATATTGCCGGTGGCCTGAGCCACAGCTGATTCCTTATAGAGAGACTGGGGGCTACCCATCAAATCATAGATTTGGATTTCCACAGAAGTGCAATGAATCCAGGTTAAAGCTAATTTATTCTTGAGACACCTGAATGCAAACATATCCTCCTTCCACATCCCCTTAACCCTAAATACACTAGGAAAACACTAGGATCAACCATCTTAGCAATGCTGTGACCATCTAAACTCACTCACTTTACATCCCCATCATCCTTGGTCCTGACAACGACAAACATTCCTTTGGTTATCTATCCTTTTCCAAACTCTCAGGCTCAATCTGCTCTTACCTCTTTCTTTGATTCAATTTTCCACTGCTCCCTCTATCCTTTCCACTCTGCCCAGAGAATCTCCTTCACATAATTAACAAAGACCCTACTTTCTAGCCCTTTTCAACAAACATTCCCTTTGTCAACCACCTTTAACTTAAATGTGGCTCTCCCATAATACCACATGCAGCGCAGCCTTTTTAAAAAAGAAAGCTCCTCATTTTCCAAAGCTTCCTTACTTCAAAGTCAAGAACAGAGGTATCTACCATGTCCATGGATGCTAAGACTGAATGTGATGAAGCACACTTCCAACAGAATTGATTAAATGACTCTAAATTCACAGGGAAGAATAAAGACTGAAAACAACCTACCTAAATGTGAAACACTAGGGAATTCGCTCAAAAAACCAAAATATACTCATAGAAGGGTACTGTGAAGTTGTTATAAACTCAGGTTGTAGAAAAGTACTTAATGTCTTTGGGAACATTTATGTAACTAAATTAGAAAAATATGTACTATTAAGCAGTTTATAACACATTAGGCTGATTTGATTAAAGAGAAATAAGACAGTGGGATGCTCACAGAAGAAAAGGTTATAAATAAAGTACACCAAAATGTTATCTCTAAGTAGCAAAATTACAAATGATTTTTCTTTTTCATCCTTTTCCTGTTTCTCTCAATTTCCAAATGAATGTATTTCTTTTACAATCAGAAAGAAAAGGCCAAAAGTATGTTACTTTAAAAAATTTATAATCAAAACACACAAAAACTGCTCTTCAATAACATTTACATAGGCTGTTTTTGACTTTTCATACCCCTATTTAAAACAAAAAATGAACAAACGAAAAATCTAAATACCTCCAAGTCCTTCAGTTTATTGACCAGAACTTCAGTCATTAGCAGAAAAACAAAAGAAAGCCCTCAAGATTTCTTCTAAGTCTACCATTCACTTACACAATAATTCAGCAAAGAGGATGATGAGTCTCTCTGAGTAAGTCTTCTCATTTAAATATCCAAGTGTGCTATCCAAAACCAATGGCCATGTGCTAGGGTCCCTTAATTGCAAAATTAAGGGTACACTGTTGCTTTGTATAGCTTTATTAAAAAACATGCATTCTTATGTATAAGATGGTATTAGTCACATATTTGTAAATGTTCTATAAAAAGAGACTGTCAGGCAGACAGGTCACCTGAGGTCAGGAGTTCGAGATCAGCCTGGCCAGCATGGTGAAACCCCGTCTCTACTAAAAATACAAAAATTAGCCAGGCGTGGCGGCACATGCCTGTAGTCCCAGCTACTTGGGAGGCTGAGGCAGAAGAATCGCTTGAACCCGGGAGACGGAGGTTGCAGTGAGCTGAGATCGTTCCACTGAACTCTAGCCTGGGCAACAGAGCAAAACTCCATCTCAAAAAAAAAAAAAAAAAAAACCAAAAAAGAGATTGTCACTTTATTAATTGCCTTTAAGGAAAACACATAAATACTTGTACACAGTTTAGACTAATGCACAAAAGTAATAACATAAAACGATGAGATACTGGAAAGACATTTGCAGCAAGTAAATTCCTAAAGAAAAAATATTTAAGAAGGAAAATTTCACTCTCAAGGTAAGTAAGGGTACTACATTTGCATCTGGCATAAAAATAAAGAATGACATATTACTCAGAATGATCTCTAATAACTCTAAGGCATTCCTTTCAAAAGAAACCCTTTTAAAAAAATTAATGTTTAATCTTTTAAATTTAGCTCTGGAAATAATTCTTTCACCATAATTCCACTGGAAAGAATTACTTATTAGAGAACCTGTATGGGCAGAAAAACATTTTGGAATACATTTCACCTAAGTGTTATTTCACTGCATTATATAGCATGAATGTAGAAACAGAACTGGTTTATATTCCAACAAAATTAACCATATTACTAGACTTTTCCTTTTAAATCACATCTGAAAAGCTGTAGATCATTTCCAAAAAAGTAGATATTCTTGAAAAGAACAATTAACTCTAAATGACTCTAGAGATATTCTTGAAAAGAACAAATGACTCTAAATCAGTATTATGACCAAGAATTTCGTATATTCCTATCTAAGCAAAGTACAGTGTTAGATGGCTTTAAAGTCAATTTTAGTAGATGTGATATCTGTCCTCCAGGAATCTTGTGTCTCCACAAGTGATTGTTCCAAAGCTCTTTCCCAAACTAACAACATCCAATATAATCTCCCCTGAAATTCATTACAAATTAGGATATAGTTTCTTGTTAATAACTTATATTAAATTTTGCCTTTTAAAAAAGTGAAAGTAGATCTAAAAGCGTTGTTGCATTAAATGTATCTAACAAATGGACAAAGCGGGTGTTGAGAGTTGGAGAGAAGGAAACGTCAGAGGGAGGACATTTAGATATACAAAGAGTCTTGCTCAGCATTTATAACCTACCCCTGTTACTATGCACTGTATTTCTCCTTTGGTCAGAGACCACTCTAAAGCTGCTATTGTTGCCCAGGGCTTTGTTAAGAGACTGAAAGGCTGTAGAATCTGAGCAGGCCCGAGGCTATGTATTTTAATTTCACTACTTAAAATTATATATTTATACTTAAATTTCTTATCTACACTAATTTAAGTAGGTTTATTACTCTAGTGTATGTTACTGTTATCCAGCAACTAAATACACTAATCTTTGATTGAGAAAAGTCATATTACTCTGAGCAATAATTATATTAATTTTAGCACAGTGCAAAGTTGTTTTTCTATGCAGAGTAATTAAGCAAAATTCCATAGATTTTCAAAGCTTTCTGTACATAAACGTTTTCCCTTCGCCTCAGTATTTTTGCTAAATTTTCACACCATGGACTCTAAACTTAAACAAGAACAAAATATTTATTTTCTTCGACCATGGGCAAATTTAAAAGGTAGTTAAAAGTCATTTACTTTCACATAACCTAAAACAATACTGTTAGCACTGCAGTGACAGAGGCTCATTACGAAGGTCAGTTAAGTAAAAGAGGGCAAAGGCAGCAGGACTCAGATGCTAAGAATAAAAACAAAAATAGATCCAATGCAGCATTTTGAGAATGCAGATCAATGAAAACACTTAGAGCACTATTTTCTATATTGTTATGAGAGACCTTTTCCATTCTAGCATTTCCTCTTTGCTGGTTCTTGGCATTTGCTTTAATAAAACTAATATTTAAGCCACAAATTTGCATTATCTGAAGTAAAAAGATAATAAACGCCTCAGTTAAAAATAACTTAGCTATCATGGTAAAAGTGAAAACATATGATTAAAGTATAAACGGGGTGGCAAGGGAGAGGCAGCGGCATATTTTATTTGACTATCGATCCAAGAAATAAGGCAGCAGGCAGCAGGTTGTCTTTCCAATCAAAACTACTTTTATAGTAATATAAATGCCCTTGCTTGCTCAACAGTAAAGGTCTTAAACAACTGAGAGGATGAGATACAGAAAAATTATGATATAAACCATAAAAATGACTAAAATACAAGTGAAAGATGTTATGATTTAATGCTATCATTCTAAGTAGACCAACAATCTTACTGCTTATGCTTACGACAGCATAGCAATTAATGAGACAGATATCAAATCAATAATAAAGTAGTAGATAATGGCAGATATATTTGCTTAGCTTCATCAGTGAAAAGAAAAATTCAGCATAACAAGATTTTATAAAATCAAGTAAGGAGTTACACAGATATAATCATTCGGTAGCTCTCTGTCTTCTTACCTGTAAGGACAGCTTTTGCTGAAGGATCTGCCAGGTCCAGGGCTGATTTCCCATCAGTGTTCCGAATGTTTGGGTCAGCTCCGTGCTGCAGCAGCACTGTGCAGGGAAAGCAGAAACAGTATCTTACCTCGGGGATACAGAGATTATTTACTGGTAAGTGTCGTCTCGGCATGGTGTAGGCATAAACATACATTGCACAAATTTTTTCTCTTTCAAGAAAAAAAAAGAAAAAAAGCAAAAAAGCACTGCAGCAAAGGAGCCTCTCTAGAGTGAAATGAAGTTGGCAACTTATGGTACAATATTATCACATGACTTAACATCATAAACATGAAACTAGAAAAATCTTGCAATGTAGAGTTTTGGTTTGCCTCCTTCAAGCAGCAGTATGGGAAGCTATGTGCTCGCTGGCTCACACTGTGAAATATGCTAACTGTGAACCTGCCCTCTCTTTACTACCACTGTGGCTGCTTGTTGCTGTCGCTGCTTTACTGCTGAATTTCCAAATGCCTCCTCTCCTCAGAATAGTTATAATACTGTGCAAGCCTTTTAGTGGCTCACCACTTGCACATGAAACTCACCATAACATACTGGATGGCTTCCAAGAAGTTTAACAGACATAGTAATGTGTGTAACCCTGGTCCCCTGGCGTGGAGCTGCAAAAAGGAACTGCCTCTTATACTCATTCTTTCCATCAAAAATGTTTAGAAACAGAAACTCAATCACTATAATATATCCTAAGGCATGAATGTAATGCCTGCCATATTGGGTAAAAAGTAGCTACTGGGAATTCTTAAATATGGAGGTTCCTACAAAAGAAAAAATCACTGTTTAAGTAAAATCCAGATATATTAATCCAAAGCATTTATCAGCCACATCTGGTATGTGGTGTGTATACGTAGGGAGGGTGGAGAGGGCAGGAGAGGAGGAGACTGTTGCTGTAATACTACCCAAACAATGATTAAATCAATGAATGTATTAAAAAGTTGTTCCAGTAAGTAAAATTCAATTGTAAGTTATGAGGCACTACCGTTGATGAGTCCCAAATTTTCATTCATTCATGACAGTTCCATGCTAAAGCACATACATTCTTTAGCAATATTTGGAAGGTAATACTCACACATTACCAAGCCGTAAGTCCTTCTGTTTACAAAGCTCTTCCTTTTCCTTTAATGTATTAGCCATAAAATCAATGGCTTTGTTATAATGGACAAACAACAGCCTTATCCAGAACTAGGACACAGCTGCCAGGAAGGTGAGCCTGTACATCTCATACATTACATTTTGGGGAGTTTCAGACTTGGGACAATAAAAACCAGCTATGGCTTGAGAAGATGCAGTGAGATCTTACAAAGCCTTTCTGTGTTATTTCCTATGTGAATGCAAACAATGAACATTATTGTTTTCCAGATGTTTATAAACTGATTCAAGAGTCAGTAGAATAAAATGGCGAGTGCCACAATATCAAAGTGTAGTTACTCTTTCATCATAATGGGTACAGCTATTGTAACAACATGTTTTTTTAATACCAGGAAGAAATTCTAACGTGAAGATTTGGCTTATAAAAGGTCTTTATCATAAAGCAGACTCAAGTATCAAATGCAAGCTGATAACTATCTCTAACTTTATTTAGTTGCTGAGTGATCACATGCAAAGGGGAAGAAAACAGAAGAAATAATAGCTACCATGAAAAGCAGAGTTTAACTGCATACTTCAGGAACTGCAGAACCTGCTTTAAACAAGAAGTAAATGAATATTTTTATCTGAGTTTGACAGTTAAATGATGGGAGCTTTCATTTTGTAGTTTTTAATGAGTGCTAGAAGTAAAATAGTGAAAGTCTGACTGTTTCTCCAAAGTCACCTAAAACCTCAATCCTTCTTGTTTTAACCCGTATTTTAACTACTATATGTTGCCCATTTTGCAATAGAAATGTGCCATTACAGTTTAGTTGTAGTTTTGTTGTACTTTAGGTGACATTAAAAGAAGTAAACATTTACTTGAAATAGATGTTTTCTAAATATGTTTGGGCCATGCCTACCTCTTTAATTAGACCTGAACACAGACACATCTACAGCAAAGTAATGTAGCAACAGGAAAGAAGCAGCTGAACTTTCTAAACCAGATGCTGATAACAAAATTCACATTAGAAAATATTTAACCATATTTCATTCATCACATATGAATTAAAAATTAAAAACTCAGTAAAGTTAAGACTTTTAGGAGAAGGTATCTAACCCCTCATTAGATCAGCAGGGGTCTAAACTTATCCAGCTTTCATACAAGATTACAAGATTGCCAGGAGGACTGAATTAGAACATAAAGTGACAAGCAAAGGTGCTGGTCAGGGAGCATGACAATCCCCATCAGCTCACCATAATATTTAAAGCACATGTTAAAATGTGTACTCTCAACTCTACCAGTGACGACTAATTCCATGCTTTGCTCTAGGGCAGGGGTCAGCTAACTCTTTCTGTAGTAGGCCTGATAGTAAATATTTTAGTCTTTACGGACTATTTGGTCTCTGTCTCAACTGTAGCTGACAATAACACAAGTTTGAACTGCATCAGTCCACATATATGCAGATTTTTTTCAGTAAAAGTTACACTGAGTGTGCCTGTCTCTGCCACCCCTGAGACAGCAAGAACAACCACTCCTCACCCTCCTTCTCAGCCCACTCAATGGGCAGACGATGAGGATGAAGATCTTTATGGAGATCCACTTCCACTTAATGAATAGTAAATACATTTTATCTTCCTTAAAAATGTTTTCTTTTCTCTAGCTTGCTTTACTATAAGAATACAATATATAATACATATAACATACAAAATAAGTGTTGACTGTTTATGTTATCGAAAAGGCTTCTGGTCAATAGTAGGCTATTAATTTTGTGGGAGAAAGTTACATTCGAATTTTAAACTGCACGTTGTTCAACGGTCCTAACCCCTGCATTGTTCAAGGGTCCTCATCCCTCCCTCGACTCTACCATTATAGTGTGAAAGCAGCCACAGATAATATTTAAATGAATGAGCATGGCTGCATTCCAATAAAATCTTACTTAAGGACTTTGAAACTTAAATTTTATAAAATTTATAAAATATTCTTCTTCTGATTTTTTAAAAAACCATTAAAAATATATAAACAATTCTTAGCTTGCAAGCCATACGAAAACAAGAGATAGGCTGGGTTTGGCCTACGGACCATTTTGCTGACCCCTGACCCTGGGCAGTGCTATATAAATGTGGTCTGTGCTATACAAAGCATATTATACAAAGTTCCATTCCCAGGTCTATGCTATACAAAGCATATTATATAAAATTCGATTCCCAGAACTGTTTACAATCCATCTACATTGAGATAAGAACTGAAACTGAAGGTATTTAGAACTATGTCTGTTGTTTCAAAATTACCTTCTCCAGTACTTCTTTTTATTTATATTTTACAAAATTATTGATCTGTCATGCATTGGGGAAAAAAGAAAACCCAGTTCTCTACCATAGACAATTTGAGAAGCACTGAGCCAGGGCACACAAGAAATTCTCTGGGCCTCAGTTCTCATGACTTTTAAAATAAAGGGGCTAAACTTGATAAGGTGATCTCTACATATTTTAGGAGCGGTCTCAAATCTCTGATAATGCTTTTAAAGTTATAGCCAAAGACCTGAAGCATTACGATCTAAAATATTCAAAAAATAAAAATAAAAAACAGCTGCTTCAAATAGAATCTCTTCTTCTCCCACCCTCTGAATCAAAATGAAAAAAATAATAACAGAAAGGTTTTCATTTATCTTAACTCTTTAAAAAGAACAAACAAAACTAAAAGTTGAGACCAGGAGCACTGAAGGTTATCAGACACATTCTTAAATGTCCCAAACTACAATATTCCCCAAGCAATTTCTCAAATAGAATTTCATCCTAAAGTGCCTTCAAATCTGATCCTTCACACTGTTCTCTATGGGGATTTATGTGGGACTATTTTCTAATACCAGAAGAATGGCACATACATGAGGCAAAGGTAACAATAGTTTTCAAGAATGCCACACTGTACTCAAAGTGGTGTCATCTAAGACTCAATTCTGGATGCTTCAAAATTTGTTTTCAACATTCTGAGCCATTAAAAAGAAAAATAAAATGTGACTATTAACACAAAATAAAATTAGAAATTTATCTTGTAAAATCAATACGCATTGATAGCACACTAATATAAAACAGATTTTTCTGAAAAAGTACCACATTGCTTGATGATACAGTGTCATATTATTTTTAAAAAGTAGCACAAATACCTGAAGCAAAGTTCCCAAAATACACCAACAATGTACAAAGTAAGGTTTGAAAGAAAAAGAAGGAAACTAAAATCTGAGTAACATTCAGTACATAAATTCAAGGGTACTATGGCCATTCACAAAGCCCCCTATACTATCTTTAACCACTGGGACATTATTAAACCTCAAATTCCAGAGAGTAAGTGATTTCTAATTGTTTTACTAATGCGTCTCAGCTCTATTCATCTCCTTTCGAGGTAAGACGGGCGGAGAAAATGTAGCAGCTGGCATAACAAGACAGTTAAAATTAAGGTAGGGTCACAAAATTCAAACACCATTTTCAAATGAGCTATGTCAAGAAGGACACACGATTTTCCCATTTCTGGTACAGGCATTCAGCCACAGGGAGCCAAATTCAGCAGGTATTACTTTAGCTATGTTGTTTCATTTCATCCTTTAAAACTATTCAAGTTAAGCATTTGCATAATTATTGCAAATAAAAACAAAATATTTCTACATTCATACAAAGACTCATTCTGTTAAATTCCTAGAAAATTACAAAGTGCTATTATAATAAATTGTGTTTAACTGCAGGCATTATTAACTAATTTTAAAAGACACAAGACATAGAAACAATGTGAATTTTCCAAGCTAAAAATGTAGCAAGCTTTTTAGAGTAAATTATCAGAAGATGTTTTAGGAAGTTTTTACTTTAAAATTATAAGCATCTAATGCTTTAAGAATAAAGAGATATACATTTATTAGACTGAGTTTCAAAAATAGGATTACATAAAGGACCAAGTTCGTTGAATTTTTTAAGCAAAGAAAATTTTTAATTTTATAGAAAAATATCAAAGGACTAAACTTTCACTACAGTACAGCCTTCAATGTATAAGATTCTTTACCAATACACATGAGCTTTAAGAGACAAACTATTTTTATAAACTGAAACACGATAGATCCTTGCGTTTATGCACTATTTCTTCTACACAAACATGTATATTAAAATGGTATAATATTATATAATGGCATAAACTATGCCATTATATTATACAGTATACATTATATCATATATAGTATGCTACAGTATATATTATACCGTAATAATACAGTATATATATATTATAGATTTTTTAAAAACTCTTTTATCTTTTCATCCAAAATACACATTACTTATTATAGCATAAAAGTAGTCAAGCTAATGTATTTTATTTTTCAAATTATCTGAAGTTGATTTACCACTAACAGTAACTATGAAAATTCAAGGCCGGGCGCAGTAGCTCATGTCTGTAATCTCAGCACTTTGGAAGGCTGAGGTGAGCATATCACGAAGTCAGGAGATCAAGACCACCCTGGCTAACAAGGTGAAACCCCATCTCTACTAAAAATACAAAAAATTAGCCAGGCGTGGTGGCGGGCGCCTGTAGTCCCAGCTACTCGGGAGGCTGAGGCAGGAGAATGGCGTGAACCCGGGAGGTGGAGCTTGCAGTGAGCTGAGATTGTGCCACTGCACTCCAGCCTGGCCGACAGAGCGAGACTCCACTTCAAAAAGAAAAAAAAGAAAAAAAGAAAATTCAAGTAACCAGTGCTATCCCTATATAGGATGGCTTACTGAATTTAAATTAGAATTCAAATGGCACAATTTTCTGTTTTCAGTAACGGCAGAGTAGCTTATTTAAATCTACCCTTAGGCTGTAAACAATGAACAGAACTAGATTTAAAACAAAAACAAAAACACAACTTCTAAAATCATCTATGAGCTAACAAGACAGTTAAAGAATTACCAGCTGAAAACTGAAGAGCAAAGGAAATCTAGAGGGTAAACGTGTATGGAAGCTGTCATTGTTCTGAAGGCAATTACTGATCAAGAAAAATAAAATCTGTCATTTCAATGTCTCATGGAATCAGGGGAAGAGCAATAAAAGCCCACAGGCCCCCAAAAGTAAGGACTATTACGAGACTGTTCCCCACACAACAAGGGTGATACCTCAGGATGAGGATAAAATAGATGTGAACTGGTCCTAGTACAGAATTACAGCTCTGGTTGGAAACTTTGGGTGTCTACGATATCTAAAGCCTAGAATTTGATTTAAGGTGGCCCCAGATTGGCAGTAACTCCTATAAATAAACAGTTGGTAAAATGTCCAGTGCACAGCCAAGATAATGAGGCACATAAATAATCTAAAATGCAAAACCTGCAACGAGCAGAAATAGACAACTCAAGAACAGACCCATAAAAACTTCAGATATCAGAGGTACAAGACATGTATTACAAAAAGAACCATGCTTATTGTGTTTAATAAAATAAAATACAAGCTGAAAGATCTAAAAAAGATGAAACTATAAAAAATAATAGGGCAAATGTATAAAAGAATTAAACAGAACTTTTAGAAATAAAAATATAACGAAAAAATTTTAAATAAAACTTTAGTTTCCAGCCATAATGGAGTAACTGGTATCAGACTAGCTTTCCCTCTCTGACATAACCGATTATGAAATTGGAGAAAATAGATGAAGCAACTAACTGCAGGCAGTAGCCAGCTGCAGTTGTAAACAGTGATCCCTGAAAGAAGAGAAACTCACAAGATGGGTACCATAATCACCCAACTCTCTGCCTAACACAATTTGCCAACCACATAAACACAACAAGAGTCAAAGCAGAACATGGTGGTTACACTGAACTGAGAAGACAGAAATCCAAACTCAAGGCAGAAGAATTGGCTGGAGTCTGCAGGATGGGAAACTAGAGAAGAAGGATCTGTGCAGAGAGCAGGCCCCAGATGTCTGTGAAGGAGTCCCCAGGGATCACATGGCTGGGCTGGGCTGTACCTGTGCAGGACAAAACCCCTGAGGCTTATTTGGCAATAGCTGCTAGGGACTGAGAGCACAACAAAGTGAGTAGAGGTCGCAAGGTGCTAGAGAAAGAGCAGTGCTGAAAGAAATTGCAATTCTAGCCTTGAGAAAGTAAAGAGAACCTAAAAAAAAAAATCGCCTTGTTAACACACCTGACGCACCTTAGCATCAACGTTAGTTATGAATAAGCAGCATGACCTAGAACAGAGAGCCAGGATCTACAAAGTCAAAACTATTTTTATGATAACATTAAGATATTATTCCTTTGTTTCATTATATTAACATTTGCACTGATGATGCAACAGAGGAAAAAACTACTGATAACACAAGCTGAGCATGGTGTCTCATGCCTATATTCCCAGCACTTTGGGAGGCTGAGGTGGAAGAATTGCTTAAGCCTAGGAGTTTAAGACCAGCCTGGGCAACATAGGGAGACCTGGACTTTTCAAAAAGTAAAAAAATGAGCCAGGCGTGATGGCACGCACCTGTGGTCCCAGCTATTCGTGGGGCTCAGGTGGGAGGATCGCTTGAGCCTCAGGAGGTGAAGGCTGCAGTGAGCCATGATCGCACCACTGCACTCCAACTTGAATGACAATGTGAAACCCTGTCTTAAAACTAAAATAACACAAATCAAGGCGGTGTCATCAACATCTATTAGTGATTATTACATTCTTCACTATAAAACATATATGCAGTCAAAAAAAAGGAGTGTTTCACATTAGAATGCCCCTGACAAAGCAGTAAAATTACTGCATTTTATTAAATATTGACCATTAGATTTCTTTAAAATATTCTCTGTGAAGAATTAGAAAGTACTTATAAAGGGCTCCCAAATTCATAGACTTTTCTGCTGACATGGATATAAAATAACAAATGTAATTATTTTATATAGTATAATACAACATGTTAACAAGTTAGGCCTCACTTAGGAAACGAGTATTTTTGATACGACAAATGGAAATCATTACAAAATCATACATAGGTACATAGGCAAAGATGCTTTGCAAGTGTAAGACGACCAGTGGATTGTGATGTTACAGAGTGCAAAAGGTTTTCTGACATGACATGGTTTCAGATTCCACATTGCAGCTAACCACTAAGAAACTACCATTTGTCCAGTTTGCATGTGGAATCAAAGAAGAATATCCACAATTATTGGAAAGGTTATTGATATACTCTTCCCTTTTCTAACTATAAATGTAGATCTTCTTCAGATATTTCAACCCCAAAAAGCCTATCAGAAAAGACTGCATACACAAGCAGAAAAGAGAATCCTGCTGTCTTCAATTAAGTCAAATATGAATAACATTTGCATAAATGTAAAATGATTCCACTCTTAGGATTATTTTTTGTTTTGGAAAACAATTTTTCAAAAAATGTTACTCATGCTAACATGCAGTAAGCTTGCTATTTGCTAAATGAAATAATTTTTTAAACTTCTTTTTTTAATATCTAATACAATATGCATGACCCCCATAAAAGCTCTGTGGAACGCTCAATAATTTTTAAGAATGCAAAAAGAGACTAAACATTTGAGAACTTGTCCCCTAGAATAAGCCCTAGTCTAGACACATAATACTAATAAAGCCCAAAACCGAGGCAAAACAAGGTCTGCAGAAGAGACAATCTTAAAGAAACATGGGAAACACCTTGGGCTTTCCACAGATCTGCACTAACAAAGCTTAAAACCAAACCTCCATAAGTTAAGGGTGATTTTAAACCAGCAATAAGGTGATCTGCTAAAACAAGAATAAAAATTCTTCAGAGGAAGATAATAAACATCACAGAGTGACTACCATGTCCACTACTGAATAAAAAATTATTAAACATATAGAGAGAAAGAAAAATGTGATCTGGTCAAGAAAAAACACTAAAAATCATACCCAGCATATCCCAGATGTGTTAGGGTTAGTTAGCAAAGACCTCAAAGCATCAATTATAAAAAATTTCAAAGACTTAAAGAAAATAAATTCCAAGAATTAAAGGAAAGTATGGTCTTAAGAAGTGAAACATAGACATACTCTGATAATCAAGTGGGAAACTGTGGAACTAAAAAGTTGAAGGACTCACACTACCTAATTTCAAGATTTATCATAAAGCTCTAGTAATCAAGACAGTGCAGTACTAGAATAAGAATACATATAGATATAATAGGACTTCTGCAATTATTGGAGTTGCAAGTTAAACTAGCTACTTTGTGTTATGAAGCATAACTTCCAATTGAAAAACTATGTTATTCAGACTTGGGTATGTAAACCAACAGAACAGAAGACAGCTCATAAATAAAGCAACATATAGGGAGTCAACTGACTTTTCAACAAAGGAAGCACAGTAATTCAACGGTGGAAAAATAGCCTATTCAACAAATCATGCTGAAACAACGGATTCTCTATATAGAAAAGAAAAAAAAAAAAACACAAAATAACTCTTACCGCACACCACACAAACACATTAACTCAAACTGGACTACAGACTTGACATAAAAGACTTAACATAAAAAAGACTTAATAAAATCTGTTAAAGAAAACATGAAAGAAAAATCTTCATGACCTCGGGATGCAAAGATTTCTTAGGAGAAAAAGAAACTAAGCCTTAAAAGAAAATACCAATAAACTGTGTTTTATCAAAATTAAGAACTTCTGTTCTTCAAAAGTCACCATTAAGAACATGAAAAGGCAAAACACAATCTAGAAGAAAATATTTGCAACACATATGTAAGACAAAAAACTCTTCTAGATTAGAGAAAGAACTTCTACAAATCAATCATTAAAAGGCAAACAATACAACTTGAAAAATGAGCAAGAGACTAGGGCATTTCACAGAAGAAGATATATAAATTACTAGTAAGTCCATGAAAAGATGCTCAACATTATTAGTCAACAGAAAAATACAAACTAAAAAGACTGGCAATACCAAGTGTTAATGAGGAGATTCTAAACTGGAACTCTAACACATTACTTGTGGGCATTACAAATGAATGGTTTAACCATTTTGGAAATCAGTTTAGCAGTTCCTTATATAGCTAAATATACACTACTGTATGTCCTAGCATACATACTTAGTCTTAAGTATTTACTCAAAAGGAAACAAACCAAAAACCCATGTGTCCACACAAAAGACTTGCATGTGAATGATCATATGTTTATTTATAATAGTCAAACATTGAAAAAAAATCTGAAGCAAACTATAGCTCAGTCATACAACAGAATACTACTCAGCAATAAAAAGAAACAAACTTTCGTTTCATACAACAGGGATGAAATCTCCAAAACTTCAAAACATGATGAGCAAAAGAAGCCAGACACACAAGAACATATTTCTAGAAGGGAAAATTAATCTATAATGTCAGAAAATAGATCATTGTTGACTGGGGATGGCTGACAAGAAGAAAAATTGACTGCAGATGGGCACCAGACAACTTTTTGGAGTAAACAAAACTGTTGTATTATTTTGATTAGAGTGGTAGTTATATGGGTATACACATTTGTCAAACCTCATTAAAATGTATACTCAAAATATATTCATTTTATTTCATTACTTCAAACTTGATAAAGTTGATTTTTATGTTATACAAAACTAATATTTTAAAAGCTTTATAGAGGGTCTGACTGTGATTAGAAACAGCTAAAGAGAAAATTGCTGAACTGGAAAATATGACAACCAGTATTTCCAAGACTGAAGTACTGAAGTATACAGAGGAAAAAGAGAGTAGGATGGATAAAAGATGGAAACTAAAAGGCCTAACATGCTGCAATTAGTCTTAGAAGAAAAGAAAAAATAAAAATAAAAATAAAATATATATATACATACACACATACATATGTATGTATTTACAGAGCTAATGCCACAGATTTTCCTAGAACTAATAGAAGACCCCAATCTACAGGTTCAAGAAGCACCAACAGGATAAATTCATTAATCATTTAGAAAAAGTTTTTCACATATAAATTAGGAACAACAACTATAAGAAGGTAGCTAACTCAAGAGAAAGCATGCAAGTTAAGAAATTAATAGTACATAAACTACACTGAAGAAAGAAAATTTTAGTGAGCCTAGCTTAATATACGTTATATATGTTAGGCAGATACTTAATTACAATTCCATTTCCATTGAATTCTATTTAATTCTACTACCAACTTGCAAAAAGCAATTATTTTGCAGCTGTAAAAACCCCATATTCCTATTCTTGGAATAGATTGAAGTTTGGTGATATCAATTAAATTATGTTACACTGTTTAAAATATTTTAAATAAATGGCAAGAGTAAAGTAGATACACTCAAAGGTTTTGTACATACAGTAGTATATGTACAAAAGGTAATAAAACAGGGATGAAATCTCCAAAACTTCAAAACATGATGAGCTCAATGTACAGTGAACATAATATATCTACACTGAGGTAATGTGCCTATAATGCATATATAGTATCCTGCAACTAAGGCATAATCTATGTCTGATTAGCCAAATCAGAGAAACAAAAACAAATCAAAACTCTTTGATATAAATGTAGTACTTATTTTCATTTGCAAAATTTCGCATTTTTAAAGAATTTTACTTCCTCTTTTTATTTCTTTTTAGAATCCTCTTCAATTATTAACATCTTTGTTTTTTTAACAGAAGAGTTTCACCTCTGAATAAACTACTCATTGAAGTTCTTTGACTTCTACCATTCAAAGAAAATAATCACTGACTCTGTATACCAGATTAAATTTGAGACACAAAAAGAGTGATGAGTTCTGTTCTCTCTTAATATCCTCGTGCTATTATGTTTCTCTTGAGAACATAAGATAAACATTTCTTTGATGCACAATGGTATCTTCAGCACTGAATGAGCGGTGACATTCACTTAATAAACCAGGGTTCTTCTTTCAACTTAATTAATATCCTTTGGAGGAACCTATGAGAACCTCATCATATCATGTACAGCCTATTGTGCCTTACTCATAAAGCTCTTCTAAAATAGAGATTTAAGAACAGGTATTCTAGTACAATGAACAGGGAACTGAACTGGGTGTCAGGAGAAAAGTTTAGAAGTAATGGTTGTGTGGTCTTAGCCTGTTCTCTTTAGCAATAAAATGGTTAGTAACTTCCCAGTGTTCTAGAGTTATGCTGCCCAATATGGTAGCTACTAGCCACATGTGAGTATCGCATTCTTGAAACGTGACTAGAGAAACTGATAATCTGAATTTTTAGTTGCATTTTAAAAATCATAGTTAAGGTCAGGCGTGGTGGCTCATGCCTGTAATCCCAGCACTTTGGGAGGCCAAGGCGGGCGGATCACTTCAGGTCAGGAGTCCTCAAGCCCAGCCTGGTCAACATGGTGAAAACCTGTCTCTACCCAAAATAAAAAAAGTAGCTGGGTGTGGTGGCGTGCACCTGTAATCCCAGCTACTTGGGAGCCTGAGGCAGGAGAATGGCCTGAAACTGGGAGATGGAGGTTGCAGTGAGCCAAGATCGCGCCACTGTACTCCAGCCTGGGCGATAAAGCGAGACTCCATCTCAAAAAAAAAAAGTCATAGTTAAATTTAAAAATTGATAGTTGATTCAGTTATTGGTAAATGTTTAATATATTTAGGACACCTTGTGTATGTAAACCTAGTTTCTCAACTACAAATTTTATGAAACCCAAATATAGATCAAGTATTGATCATGAAAACGTTGTTTCAATTGAGATATGCTTTAAGTATAAAATATACAACAGATAGCAGAGATTTAGCTGGAAATAATGTTAAAAATCTCACTATTGTTTTAGACACATTACATGTTGAAATAATACTTGAGATACATTGAGTTAAATGAAACATTATTAAGTTGGTATCACATTTCTTTTCTATGTGGCTAATAGAAAATGTTAAATTACATATATGTGTGGCATTACATTGCTAATGAACAGTGCTACTCTAAAATATAGAGTCTCCATTTGAACTACTGACATTCTTGACCAGCTAATTCTTTGCTGGGCGTGTAGGTGTAGGCTACTGGCTCCACCAGGTGCTCTGGAGACTCCGCTAGTATCCTCACAGGCTACAATGATAAAGACATGAACCTCAGTTAATCTGAGTGGTGGCTCAATGCCTTGTGATACCCTGGGAACAAGAGAGGATGGGAAGCTGTCATGAGGCAGTATCTCATCACTTCCCATTTGTGAGGAGGCGTGGGCTTTCTGCCTCTCTCTCTTCTACTGGCTCTTCCAAAACAGGGTATTCCACAACTCTCAGTGCAGTCCTTTGGCCCTTTTCCTTTCAGTGTCATCCTGCGATACGTAGACCATGGGGAGCTGGTACTTTTAGCTTCCCCTTCTTTTTGCTGTCTACGTAAGTAATCAACTAGCTAAACCTACAAGTGGCTTGTTGCATCTTTAACAGCCTAAGTAGTCAGGCTCGGGCTTTTGCCACGGCTTGTCTGTTGAATGCACTTAACGGCGGGGAGCTGTCCTGTGTGTTATGTTTAACAGCACCCCTTACCTCTACCCACTGGATGCCATTAACACTCCCCAACTGTGATAACCAAACATGTCCCCAGATATAGCTAAATATGCCCTCTAAGGGGTAAAACTGTCCCTGCTTGAGAACGTCTACTCTTTAGGTTCCTATGGACCCGTCCCCACCTCCTCATACACATGCAAGGCTTCTCCCGGGCCTCTGAACGCTTTTATATATTGGGCTACTGCATTATATTTCATTTGAAGAAAGATTTATGTGGTTTCTAAACATAAGAAATAAGTAAAGCAATAAAGTAAAACTGTAAATAAGTAGAAAAGATAATAGTAGTAAATAGTAAAGATGATCTCTAAGTATCCTTCTAAATTTAAGGTGCTGTGGTCTATAAATATATCTTTGAGTACTGACTTTATCAAATAGAGCTTTTTTATCACAAAGGATAAAAAACTACTTCAGCTACCTTAATAACAGGAAAATTTATTAAAGAATAGAGGTATTCCATTGAACGCAAAGGCAAAAATGTGCCTCAAAATTCAGGTGTTGCTGTCTTTCTCTGTCTCCCAGACATTCCCCTGAGATACAAACACATACGCCTGTATTATCTCAATCTTAGTTCCAAATTATCATGAAAGAGAATTTGGTCCAGCTTGGCTCAGCATCTGGTTCTGGACTTAAAAAGTTTGGCCAAGGAACTAGAAGAGGCAATACAAACAATGATGATGGGGAAAGAGGCATTGGTTCTCAGCAAAGAGTACTTGTGCAGATATCTCAATGAGTAGCTACTGCAATAATACATGTTAAATTCAAAGTTTTAACACGTGTTAAATTTAAAGTTCATGTTTTAAAAATATGTAAATAGATTTATATGTGCAAATGGGTTCATAACAGAGATAAAAAAACTACTTCAGCTACCTTAACAACAGGAATATTTAGTGTTATATCTGAAAGTGAAATAAACGGGATTTCCACTTTCTATTTTATACATTTCTACACTGTTTTAGTATTTATTACATATATGTGTTATTTTTATAATGGGATATTGATCCTCAGACAAAAATGATCTTTATGCATGCTGTTTAATATGTGTGCAAAACAATGCTTTTTAAAAGCTCTTGCTTACAGAAATTACTTTGTAACGAATAAAGAAAAATTGGATCATTCTTCCTATCAAATGACTAACATTAAATATGGTAACAGCAATGGATAAGACAAATGTGAAATAAATCTATTAATTTAGATTCTGTAATAATGCTGACTGTAGAAACAAATTGAGTAAAATAGTGAAGGGATTATTTCAAAAATTCCAGGGTTTTAGTCATACTTTCATATATGAAAGTCTTTGTCTTTCATATAAAAGTGACCCAAAATTCAGAATTCTGTCAACATCTGGGACTAGCATACTTGGAACAAATTAATTTCACCCCAGTGAACTATGTGTCTCATTACATGTAACTTTTTTTTCCAAGTACGTCAGTGGGAAAAAATAAAAACTGCATTTCTTTTTTAAAAAAAAGTTCAGCCAGGCGCAGTGGCTCATGCCTCTGAAATCCTACCATTTTGGGAGGCCGAGACCAACAGATCGCTTGAGCCCAGGAGTTCAAGACCATCCCGGTCAACATGGCGAGACCTGTCTCTACAAAAAATACAAAAATTAGCTAAGCATGATGGTGTGCACCTGTACTCCCAGCTACTTGGGAAGCTGAAGTGGGAGGATCACCTGAGTCAAGGAGGTCGAGGCTGCAGTGAGCCATGATCACACCACTGGACTCTATCCTGACTGACAGAGTGAGACCCCATCTCAAAAAACCCCACAACTTTTAATTAAAATTCTTAAAAGTTCAAAAAAATAAAGTTCACTACAAAGTCTGCCATGGCAATATGCCATAGTTAGAGTTAAGAACACAGCTGTACTTCAGAGGCTGGCTTCTGGGGCCAAACTGCACAGGCTAGAATACCAGTTCTGCTGCCATTACTTGTGGGACCCTAGCAATTCCTTTACCTCTCTCAGCTTCCATTTCCTTGCCTGTAAATCAGGAGATAATATTAGAGTACCTATCTCATAGGGCTGTTAGGACAAAACAAGCCTATGCACATAATTTTTAGAGATATTAAAAAATATTTAATTACCCACTCAAAAATTCATCCATGTGAATAAAATTACTGAGTTTTACATGGGAGAGGTCTTCTATATATGACTTAATGAGTTAAATGCATCTCCTTCAATCTTTATGGACAAACTCTGGCATGAAATTTTACAATAATAAAAGAATCTTCCAATTCAATTTTGCGCCTGTTGTCAAGTTTACTTATAAATATAGAAAATCAAGACTTTTTTTTTTTAAAAAGGCACATCACATCTGCAGTAACTTAGGTATAGATTATTCTGTACATATACATAGCAGATTTTTATATCCCAGATCAATTTTATCCTTTTTGCAATGAACAAAGTTAATCCAGGACACAATACATTTGTAAAATCAGAATTATCTGCTCACATAACAATTTATTACAAGATAAGGCAGATACTGGAATAAATGTAAGATTGAGTGTAACAAAGTATCTCTCTTTCTACCTGGAAACTCAATAGAGAATAATGACTGAAAGTTCTGTCCCAGGAATCAGATAAACCTCAGTTTTAGAATACTGCTCAATCCTTAGTAACTGTCTGACCTTGGGCAAGTTACTTCACCACTGCCAATCTTAATTTCCTCTTTCATAAAACACTACCTAACACAGTGAATTGCTGTTACAATTAAATGTGACAATATATACAAACTCGGCTTGGCTCTTTGCACATAACAAGAACTCAATAAACACTCTCTCGTATCCCAATGAGAATCTTTTCATCTGTCTTTCAAAAATAGATATACAGTGCTAACAGAAGATCTGCTGGATTGAAATAAAGGTAAACTGATAATAGCCCTAGGAACAATGAATTCATTTGTGCCACACCTAACTGCTATATTATGCTTCTTTTTATTTAGGGGTAGATTACTTTTTCTAAACTTGACTAGATTCAACTAAATGAAATGTCCATAAGGAATAAAGCAAGTATCTCTACAATCTGACCAGGGAAATTTATAATAGGATCATAAAGCTTGCACAACTCTAAGGGACAATGACCACATGTAAAAGGTGCTTCCCAATCTGTTTATGAGACAGAAGAAGGGATAAACATGAGAAACACTTCATCAGTGTTTGTGAATCTTTCCCTAAACTGCTAACTCTACTTCCTCTCTCTCAAGGCCTCACGGACTTACTAGCATTCCAGATAAATTTCTTATGTGTGTAAAACATGAAGACCAATTCATTCATATATATATATATATATATATATATATATATATATATATACACACACACATATACATATATACACACACAGACACACACACACACACACACACACACACATATTTTAGACAAGGTCTTGCTCTGTGGCCCAGGCTAGACTGCAGTGGCATGGTGCAATCTCAGCTCACTGCAACCTCCGCATCACTGGCTCAGTTGATCCTCCCACCTCAGCCTCCCGAGTAGCTAGGACTACAGGCATGCACCACCATGCCCAGCTAATTTTTCTGTTTTTAGTAAAGATGGAGTTTCTCCATGTTGCCCAGCCTGGCAATTAATATTTTTATCACTAGTTACAAGGTTTAAACTTACATATTTAAAACATCCTCCCTCCCAAGGAAAACAGGATTAAACCTGTACCATAATAGTAATAATTTGATTCTGCTTTCAATTTTAGTCTCCTAAGAAAGTATATCATTACTGGCCGGGCGCGGTGGCTCACACCTGTAATCCCAGCACTTTGGGACGCCGAGGCAGGCGGATCACGAGGTCAGGAGATCAAGACCATCCTGGCTAACACGGTGAAACCCCGTCTCTACTAAAAAAATATAAAAAATTAGCCGGGCATGGTGGCAGGCACCTGTAGTCCCAGCTACTCAGGAGGCTGAGGCAGGAGAATGGCGTGAACCCTGGAGGAGAAAGTATATCATAAATATATCATTACTATTATTTTCCTATGCCTCTGACAACTGATTCAACAGACTGAAATGCCAACATTCTGCTGTACTTTCAATCTAAAGGACATAAAGAATATAACTTAAAGAATTCTCATTCCTTAGGAAAGTTATTTAGCTAAAAGCAAATAATTAAAAAAATAAACTGAGTTTTGTGTTTCCATGGGATTTGACACATTATCCTATTATCAATTGTTCTGAATGATAGTATTGAATCACATATTTCACTTCCCACCTCAACTTTTCCCCCACATTGAGGAAAAGACCACCTTTTTCTTTTAACATAATTCCTCATCTGTCCTTTTCCTTGTCTCATTCCTAGTGGGTTACAATTTTCAGAAACAGCAACTGTGATGTCTCTTGGCTTGAAAGAGAGCTGCTTACTCATGAGTAATCTGCTTTAAAAAATATTAACCAATTATTTCATACACTTAATATTTGGTTACAGCAAACCACGATACCCCTGCTATTGAAATATTTGTGGGGAAAATGTTTAAGTTACATTAACGATTCTCCATAATCCTATATGCAATATCTCCACTCACTAGGTTAAAAGAATCTAAATTACAATGAGGAAAAAAGAGCTTCATGTCTTATCAAATCACAACTCAAGTTTACAAAATTACAAAGGATACTAAACAAAGAATGTAACACAAATTCACGCTGATGGTAACAAAGAGCAGCTTATGGGAATGTCAGCCCTTCACTGAGCTTTGATTGAGTGTCCGCTTTGTGTCAGAATACAAAAATAGTCTTGTGTGGCAACCTTACTGTTGCATACAAGAAGAAAGCAAGTGGAAAGAAACAAGTATTTACTGAGACTCTACTTGCTTTCTCTATATTCTTTCATTTAACTTCCCATAAAAATTTTATGCAGTAGAGCCAACGTCCGTTTTATAATTAAGAAACTGAAGCTCAAAGCAAATGTGTAAAATCAGTCTGTATGTGATACATTGCAATTCATACTTAATTGTAAAGCCAAGCACTTATTTGCTATCTTAAATTCCATATAAATGCAAGCTAAGATTATCCCAGAACAATACTCAAGCTTTCTTCCCCAGAAGTAAATTCTAAAAGGCATATCTACATATTTGTCCTTAATACCTCGTATACCACTCCTATATTCAATGTCCTCTTCCTAATAAGCCCATCACAGTTCCCCTGTGGGAACGCTTGAAAAATACCTATGACAGTGAGAGTTCCATTTTAGGGGACCCACTAGAACATTTCCTGGCCTGGTTCCCTCAATCCTCAGAACTCAAGTTTATTCTTTCAAAAGACCAGCACTCAAACCTGTGTCATAAACAGGCAAAACAAAAGATGTGCCCTCTATCTCTAGCCATGATTATGTGTACCACAGTAAATTTAGAAATTTTCAGGCTTGACACAAAAGTCTGAAAGAGTTATTCAGATTTCAGATGTATTGATCCAAAATAAATGTATCTTTGGCTACACAGTGGGAATGCTTGGTAAGTCTTATTTATATGGTCATATCAGGGAGTAGAATATGAAATAACTCACAGTAAGGTTAACATTCTTAATCTTGGATTCTGCTTACATATGAAAAATCTAATACCCACCATATTTTTAAAAAGATAATTAGCAGATTTAAATAATACAAGACACTACGTTTTTTAAAAGTAAAGTACAAATGTAAAGCCTATAAATACAATTATTATACTTAATAGTTTTCTAGCTTGGTCAGTTGAGAATGAGAAGTAAGAAGGACTCCCTACATCTTTATCTCAAATATGGACCTACCTCCACATTTCAGTATTAAAACTGTACAAAGGGAAGCCATACTTCTAATAATATATGAGTTTCAGATAACATGATAAAGATGCAAAGCAAAATCTGCCTGGTTACACAACCCATTTGTCTCAAATACCATTTTCATACAACCCCAAACTTAAGCCATGTATCTCACTGAAAACTACAGTATGTATGTGTGTATGTACGTATGTATGTATGTATATATGTATTTTGAGACAGGGTCCCCTCTGTCACCCAGACTGGAGTCCCATGAAGTGATTATGGCTCACTGCAACCTGTACCTCCCCACTCAAGTGATCCTTCTGCCTCAGCCTTCCAAGTAGCTAGGACCACAGGTGTGTGCCACCACCCCCAGCTAATTTTTAAATTTTTTGTAGAGACAGGATCTCACTTTATTGCTCAGGCTGGTCTCAAACTCTGAACTCAAGCAATCCTCCCACTTTGGCCTCCCAAAGTGCCAAGATTAGAGGTATGAGTCACTGCACCTAACCTAACCCATAGATTGTTTTGAACAATTGAAGTGAGTCTAAAAGTAAATGCAAATGTGTAATGCTTTTATTAGACAGACAGACCTGGGCATTAAGTAAAGCCTTGCATCACTGTAAAAAAGTATATGAAAATTTTTTTTCTAGTTTTTTGCTTTTTCCACCTAATTTAAGCATCTTCAATGTATTTCTTAAGGCCTTGGAAGAGTGAAAGCTTCCATACGGGTGCTTTTCCTGGAATTCTAATAAAACACAATTAATAAGTACATAACATATATATATGTTATGTGTATATCTACCACTATTGTACAGAATAACTGTTAAAACAGTCCCAATTTTATCAGGTAAATGCACACTACTCTAACCTTCCTGAAAGCAGTTGGAACACAAGCAGACAAGTCATCAACGTTAAGAGTACTCAGTGTCAGCGGAGATTATTTCCAAAGGCACAATGACTCTCATTCTGGGCCTCTCTTCTCTGTTTTAAGGATACAAGTATGGAATTTTGTCATCTTTGTTTTTTATGAAAATGCTACACTGAGACTTGTTTAAAAGATCCCAATTCAAGGGTGCCTGTAATCCTAGCTACTCAGGAGGCTGAGCCAGGAGAATTGCTTGAACCTGGGAGGCAGAGGTTGCAGTGAGCCGAGATCACACATTGCACTCCAGCCTGGACAACACAGCAAGACTCCGTCTCAAAAAAAAAAAAATACCAATTCAGGTTTTATATGGACAACTAATGGTAAAAATGCAGAAGGGAAGTATTCTGGCAGGAAAAGGAAAGACATTAATGAAACAAAACCAAGTGAATCAGATTTTCAAGGCTTCACTGAATTTTCAACTAATTTTTGCAAACAGTAAAGAAGGTGTGAGAAATGACTTTTCTTAACCTAGCTCATTTATAAATGATATATAAATAGACAGTGTGACAAACTAAATCAAGAGGTCCAGTGAAGTTCTCCAGTAGCTAAAACTTCTTTGGTCCTTATTAAGAAGCTGTGGCTTTCCAGGAATTTATCCTAAAGCAATTAAGATTTATACATATATGTAATGAAAAGGATATTCTTTATACTACTGTTTATAAAATGGTACAAAAATAGCCTAAATGGCCTACAACAGGTGACTGATTTTAAAAAATGATGATTTCTATATAAATAATTCTTAGAAGCCTTTAAAATGAGATTATATAAAAATATTCACTGACAATAAAATATGTTACTACATAAAGTAGAAAAATAAATAAATAATATGGTGGAATGATCTCATTTTACGTAAAATGGATTGTATACACAGGTTCACTGGGTCTAACAGCACTGTCCAACAGAACTTTCTGTGATAACAAAAATTTCTATGTCTACACTCTCCATTACGATAACCGATAGCCAGATACGGTCATTAAGCATTTAAAACACGGCTAGTGCAACTGAGAAACTAAATTTTTAATTTTTAAAACTGTAATTGATTTTAATTTAATGGCTATCACACTGGACCATGCAAGTCTAAATAGACAAAAAACAAGGTGTGAGAGTTATCATCAGTATATTTTCTCATTTTTCTTTAATGGGCAACTATCACTTCTAATAATGCTGTTAAGAAAAAACCCAGAAAGTTGTTAACCTTCAAAATACTATACTTAAAATAACAGGAGATAGCCGGGCGCAGTGGCTCATGCCTGTAATCCTAGCACTTTGGGAGGCCGAGGCAGGTGGACCGCCTGAGGTCAGGAGTCTGAGACCAGCCCGGCCAAAATGGCGAAACCCCATCTCTACTAAAAATACAAAACATAGCCATGCGTGGTGGCGGGTTCCTACAGTCCCAGCTATTCGGGAGGCTGAGGCAGCAGAATTGCTTGAACCCAGGAGGCAAAGGTTCCAGTGAGCTGAGATCGTGCCATTGCACTCCAGCCTGGGTGACAGAGTGAGACTCCGTCTCAAAAAATAATAATAATAATAATAATAAATAAATAAATAAATATCAAGGGATAAGAATGTACCAAAGGCAGTTGAACACTCATTCCACATTTCTTTCCCCCATCCCCAATCCCGTGCCATTCCAAGTTCCAGGATGTTAACTTCATCAAAGGACAAGTAACCATGGAAGTGGTCAGATAATTTTTTAAACTAAAAGACTTTGTAAAAGGAAATGAAACATATCTTTCTAAATAGCAGACACACAAAAGGAAGTTATAAGGAAATTAACAGAGAGGTATTACTTTAGGAGTAAGTTACACTTGGTTTAAATTTTTGTAGACAGGTTAGTTTTTTGGTTTGGGGGGAAGGGGGTTTGGTGAAGATTATTTTCCACCTTAAGTTTGCTAAATATGATACGGTTTTAAAAGCTAAGCTAAAAATAATTTAAAAGAATTAATTTGGCAGACTTACAGAATGAAATTAACCTTTTATATGTATGATGTATTCTTAAATGAAGCCCACTGTGTGAACAGAACCTTCATTTCTCAATTAAGAAAACATTTCCATTATAACAACTTTCTATCAGCTCTACAGACTGTGGCAAAGTAACAACTTTCTCCTTCTTCACTGGTAAACTGGTAGGTAATCTGAATCATCTGCCTCACACACAGGACACAAATATTAGTGACACTGCTTGGCTAAGTCCTTTGAGAGGCCTCGAGGGAAAACCCTTTACAATATTACGTATCAACTATCCACAGCAACTTTTATAAATTTACCACCATCACCTTATTTTTTCTTATCCCTCCCTACCTCAACTCCTCAGCTCCCAAGAGGGGCAATTCATGGGTTTAATCTGTAAGTTAACAAGAAAAAATGTTTTACTATCCTTTGTGGAAAACCCATTATAACCAAAAGTTAATGCATGATCAGAATCAATATTCAACTGCCCATCCTAATGAAGAATAAGCAGTTACTTGACAAATGGAAGATAATCTAAACATAATTTGCATATGACTATAAAATGTGTTTTATATTTGTATATGAATATTGAAGTGTCTGACATACTGCAAGTTCACATTGCTTTAAAATAAAGGAATCTCAAGATATCACCTAATCAAGAAGTAGAAAATTACTCAGCTTCCTTATCCATGTAACACAGAGTAATATAAAAAAAAGTCAGACAGAATCAAGCCTTCTTCCAGTGAACTGCTTTGTCACTTCACACACGTTTCTTGAATATAATTAGACATCAGTGATAGACAATAAGAATACGTATGAAAGTGGACAAGATTATTGTTAGTTCCTACCACAGAGAACGTGGTACATGCTTAACTTCACACCTTACCTGATTCAGTTTAAGAATCTGGCACCTCATCCTGTGGCTGTGTTAGAAAGTAAACATACTCAGTGCACAGAGAACTACTCTACTTCTAGACGCCAAGAAGAACAGGAAGTTTACAATATACTAGAACTATAAAGACCAGTCTTTGAGTCTTTAATCTGTTTGTATTTCCTGTCTCCTAATACCGGGAATATGAAAAGTATGAGAATTCTACTAAAGCCAGTAAGATGAAGAAATAGCTAAAAGAACATCTGTGAGTCTTTTGATCCTTGAAAAGCAGATAATGTTCACAATGCTAACAGAACACATTAAAGGAAAACACAAACCAAAAAAAATTTAAGTATTGGGAATTAATAAGTCTTCGTTTGTGGAAAGATTTCAGGCAACAAGCTATTAAAAACAGCCTATTTCCCTAAATTTTGGAAATATACTTGCCAATAGTAGGCAAACAATGTCATCTCAGAAATAACTGTGCATATTTTAGATAATTATTTTCTAATTAGTTAAAGTCCACCTGGCTTTTACTGTTAAATCTTAAAAATGAGTCCTATAATATATTCAAGTTTTCACATGAAATAGCTGATTCTTTCATTTTAATCTTTAAAAATATATCCTAAGCAAGTTGTTAGAAAGCATTTGAAGCAGCAGCCCTCAGACCGGAAACTGCTTTCCTGAATTTCCACAGTGTAATTAAAACGATAATGTTATTTCTCTATATACTGCTTTTAACCTAAGAATAATTGTCAAGCAGAAATCTTATTATTCCAACGCTGATGAAACACCAAATACTTTGCTATTTTAACTGATAAATCAGACTTCACCAAACTTAAAAACCTTTGCCTGTATACAGATACCATTAAGAAAACGAAAAGCAAAGCAAAGATTGGGAAATAGCATTCACAATACACACATCCAACTAAGACCCATTGTTACAGCACAAAAAGAATTCTCAAAAATCAGTAACAGCAAAAAATAAAAATAAAACCAAAGATGGCCAAAAGATATGCACACTTCACAAAAAATATACATGAATGACCACTGTACATAAAAATATTCTCAACATGCTCAGCCATTAGGGCAACGCAGCTTCTTTTACAGTCCAATGTGCACTTAGCATTCCACCCAGCAATCCCACTCTCAGGGATCCATCCAAGAGAAGTGAAAAAACATGTCCACGCTGAGACATACATCCAGCGTTATAACAGCTACAAACTGCAAACAAGCTAAACAACCACCAACTGTGCTACATCCATACAATGAAACACCATACAACAACAAAAAAACTAACGATATGCACACACAATATAAACTCACAAACATTTAGCCAAATGGACCTAGGGAAAAAATAAAAGACAACTCTATTAACTAGAATCATACACGAAAGGGAGTAAATTATTACTAAGCTTACAGAAATAAAAGATTATAAAGGAATATTATGAACAACTAAATGAGAAAACTGGATAGCCACATGCAAAGGCATGACGTTGGACCCTTCACCTCACATCATCTCCAAACATCAATTCCAAATGCATCAGACCTAAATACATTTCAGTTACAACTCCTAGATGACAACAGAGTTAAATCATGATCTAGGGTTCGACAATGGATTCTCAGATAAGATACCAAAGCACAAGCAACGAAAGCAGAAACAGACTTTTTAATGTTAACCATTAATCAAATCACCAAAATGTAAAACTTCTGTGCTTCAAAGGACAATATCACGAAAATGAAAAGACAACACAAAGAATGGGAGAAAGTATTTGCAAATCATTTTTCTAGTAAGAAACTTTTATCTATCATAACTCAATAATGAAAAGACAGCCAATTTAATAACGGACAAAGATAGGAATAGACATTTCCCCAAAGAATACATACAAATGGCAAACACGCACATGAAAAGATGCTCAACATCATTACTTATCAGGCAAATGCAATTAAAACCACACTGAGGTTCTGGCACAGAGTAGGCATTTTACTCGGAGCAAGCACAGAGCTTTATTATGCCAGGGATGTGGTGCAAAGTAAGGCAGAGTAGGTTCCTGTGTTTATATTAAGGCACAAAGTTGGGAAGAGTACACAGATGGCAAACAAACAAGTAAATGTATGATTAAATAAGGATATAATTCCAGGTAATAAGTGCTATGGTGTAAAATAAAACATGATAAAAGAGTAATCAAACAAACAGGGCAGGGCAAGAAATTATGACAGCTTTGTCAGGGCACAACTCAGATGAATTAACATTATTAGTGAAAAATCTGGGGAAAGAGTACCGCAGGCAGAACAAGTTTGGTGCATTAGAGAGACAAAAAGGCCATTGTAGCTGGAAGGTGGAGAGAAAGGGAGGGAATTACAGGGACATGAGGATGAAGTCCATGATGTAGACGGGAGCCAGACCAAGGAGGGCCCTGAAGATGAGTCCGGGTGTTACTTAAGTACACCTGGAATTATGTGGAGCATTTTTAAACACGCACATACTGTGATCTAATCATGGGCAGCTTCGCGAACACACAAGCTGTGCAGTTGCACAGGGCCCCAATGCTCTGCTGTCACCACCTGAAATTCTTAGCAATCTTATCTCTTAGCTTGTATTTTGTACGTAACATTCAACGGGACAATGAATGGAGCATGCACATGAACAGAGGAGA
This sequence comes from Homo sapiens, assembly GCF_000001405.40. Lineage (NCBI taxonomy): Eukaryota > Metazoa > Chordata > Mammalia > Primates > Hominidae > Homo > Homo sapiens. The sequence continues at coordinate 3,761,545 of NW_018654717.1, forward strand.
CGTGTTGGGTGGCAGTATATGCATATAGAATTAATTCAGAAGAGTTTGTGGACAGCTATAGAAACATATTATCAGAAGACTTCTTTCACAAAGAGTATTAAGATCTTCGTTGAAGGCATGAGATGGTTCAAAGAATATTAACAGTAATCAATTTTCGAAGGGATCCAAAATCAAAATCAAGCTCATTTTTACTTTCTTCTCTTCCTCACCCACGTGGCTCCCAGCCCCGCTATATCAATTTACTCTCAGTTGTAGATTCCTATGTATAGTGGTGAGGCCCGAGGGGCCAAGTCCACACTAGGAAACGTCTCTGAGACTAAAGCTAACTGATTAAGGGTCAACATCTAACTCAAAGTGGGGCATCAGATTCTTTGCATCTCAGGTTTAGCAACAAGAGTGGACTTGAAGCCAAGACCTCACAGCAACTTTAAGGGAGGATTCTAATGAGAAGGCTGACATACCTCTGCTGCTAAAGTTCTTGGAGCTGGCTTGGTTGTTTACTTCAAAATTCTTGGTTTTCCTGACTGGTGTGTTTCTGTCTCCAACTTTACATGCAGTTATTTACTATAACTTCAAATATTTATCTGATGCTTTACAAGAGACCTCTAGTTTATAAACAATACCTTTCATTAGCTAACTCCACTACTAGGTTCTAGAACCTCCTAGTCAAGCTGATCCTGCTGCTACCCTTGGCCCAGAATGTATGTCCTGCTTCTAGTATCCTACTTTCTGATTACATTTATTCAAGTGAAAGTAGATTATTGTTTCATTAATACAGGTTTCAAGGCTTCTCACTGAGCAAAATCTCTAGCTATAGATTTTTTCTCATGTCAATAGGTTCAGTGGGAGCAGGGAAATAATCCCGTTTTCAGTCACAAACACTAATGAGGACAAATTCCCATACCAATCGAGTTTGTCATATATTCAATTATCTATGACAATAATATCCATGATGTGCTGAATGCTGTCATCTTTCCCCACTCCGATTAGCCCATTAACCTATCCCTCTCAACTTGGATAAGCTTCTTCTTCCTAGTCTAATTTGAAATAAGGCTATGGGGTTTCAATATCACTTTTCCTTTGTTTTCCTGGTCACTAAAAGAACCATAGGCCAAGCAGCTCATTAGAGATGGAACAGTCTGAAAGCACTTCACACAGTAAACCTTTATAAATGGCCACGTGTTTCAGAAACAGACTCACCAGAAGCACAGACCTTATAATCTGCCCAAAGTCACAGGAATTAAAAGGTAGAAAAGAAAGAAATATTGGGGCCCTAGTCTTCAGTTCAACCTAAAATGTTTAATCATGCCTCATATTGCAGACAATAAAATTCCCCTTTTTAGATAAAAGAAACAATTTGGGGCCGGGCGCGGCAGCTCACGCCTATAATCCCAGCACTTTGGAACGCCGAGGTGGGCGGATCACGAGGTCAGGAGATAGAGACCATCCTGGCTAACACGGTGAAATCCTGTCTCTACTAAAAATACATAAAAAATTAGCTGGGCGTGGTGGCGGGTGCCTGTAGTCCCAGCTACTCGGGAGGCTGAGGCAAGAGCATGGCGTGAACCTGGGAGGCAGAGCTTGCAGTGAGCCTAGATCCCGCCATTGTACTCCAGCCTGGGCGACAGAGCAAGACTGTCTCAAAAAAAAAAAGAAGCAATTTGGTTGTCAAGTTACATGTCTTTCAAACATTTTTTATGTGGCACCTGATTACAAAGATTACAAAGAAAATGTTCAGTTTAAACAAGTGTATAAGGACAAGGACTCTCCACACCTAATTTGACACAAAATTTATTTTTTTTAAGTTTCTTAGTAAGATAATTTACCCCAAATCTCAAAATACTTCAGAAACAATCATTTAAGCACAAATATGAGTCCACTACATTATCTGCTTTTTTATAATTATTTTAAGAATTCTTACAAGTATCATTCTTGTATATTTGCCAACATAAAAAACTGCTACTTATCCTCAGTGACCAAATCTTTAAGCATTTCCAAGAAAGCAGTTTTAATTGTATTGAAAACATTCTACTACTCTTTTCAGGAGATGCTCAACCTAGATAAATTTTGCAAAACCGCTGTAAGATGTTTTTATAATATATGCTTGCTATTGCTGCCGTAACAAATTATCACAAATCCAGTGGTTTAAAACAATAACAACAACAAACTTACTCTCCTACAGTTCTGGAGATCCTAAATCTGACGTAAGTCTCATTGGGCTAAAATCAAAGTGTCGGCCAGGCGCAGTGGCTCACGCCTGTAATCCCAGCACTTTGGGAGGCCGAGGCGGGCGGATCACAAGGTCAGGAGATCGAGACCACCCTGGCTAACATGGTGAAACCCCGTTTCTACTAAAAATACAAAAACAAAATTACCCGGGCGTGGTGGCAGAGCCTGCAGTCCCAGCTACTCAGGAGGCTGAGGCAGGAGAATGGCGTGAACCCAGGAGGCCGAGCTTACAGTGAGCCGAGACTGTGCCACTGCACTCCAGCCTGGGCGACAGAGCGAGACTCCATTTGAAGAAAAAAAAAAAAAAAATCAAGGTGTCGGCAAGGCTGAATTCCTTACTGGTGACTTTCATGAAAACCTACTTCCTTGCCTTTTCCATCTTCTTGGGGCTACCCCCATTCCTTAGTTTAGGGAACCCTTTCTCTCTTTTCAAAGCCACCAATGGTGGCTTGAATCCATCTGAAATTATATCATCTGACTTTCTCTCTGCCTCCCTCTTCTACTTCTAAGGAATCTGGTGATTACTTTGGGTCCACCAAGACAATCCATGATAATCTTCCCATCTCAAATTAACTGATTAGCAACCAAAATTCCATCTGTAACCTTAATTTCTGTTAGCAATGTAAAGTTAACATTCCCAGGTTCCAGGAATTAAGATATGAACATCTTTCAACCATTATTTGCCTACCACATATAGCATGTAACTTCTTATAAAAAGTTTTTAAAGCATAACATTATATGTATATGGTTCTTTCTAACGGGAGACCCAACAGTACTCTCCAGGTACGCCGACTCCTGTTTCATTGTTCTTCGCAGCAGACCACGGTGACCCTCAATTACTCTAAGAGGAGCAAAGTCTTCAGTCTTCCCTATTGCTGATAACTCTGCATATTATTAGCCCAAAACTTAACAAGTCAATTGGATTATTTACCACCTAACTTCATACACACACACACACACACACACACACGTTTTAGATATAAATTATATAGACTATATTATAATTTAAATATAAATTCTATAATACTGGCTGTTTTAACATTTTTTTCTGAACCAAGATCTTATCTGGGTTGATATATTACATTTGACTGAATGAATCTGAGTTTTACCTAGTTGAATAATCACAAGCTAAGGTATGTCCCCTACTTTTCCAAGGCAAAGGAGGGGGAAGAAGAGATAAAGCATAATTTTATTTTTGCTCTCTCTCAGCAGAATCATAAAATATAATTTTATAACAAGGAGTCCCTGAAGTATAAATAATGGGAAAAAAAACAGCAGAAATCCTATTACATATTAAATAATCAATTGAAGTTCTGAACTGGGATGGGAAAAATGGGAATTACAACAAATTGCTTTCATTAGTTCATTTAGATAACCAACTTTAATTATGGTATTAAATAATACTATCTTTATATAGTCAGCTTAATTTCCCCTAAGAAGCCAATTTGCTTAGAGACTTTTTAGAAAAATACCATCAGATCTCTATTTTTTCTTGCATTTTCAGTAAATATAAAAGTATCTGGAACAATATAATGTAATACAAGAAGAAAACTATTTCTAATCATGTTATTTCACGATAATAAAAGCAGTTGCCAAATAATGAGCATGTACTTTCTAATTATTATATATAAAATATACAGCTATTGTACAAGGGTGTTTCACGTATATTATCTCATTTAATCCTCTTAACAACTGTATGACATACAGCTATTACCCTCATTCCCATTTTAATGCTGAAAGAAGTAAACAACTCACTCAAGGAACAGGTCTCTTTGACTCCAACCACTATTACGTAATGCCATTCAGCCAGAAAACAGTTATTTTTTTTAAGTCCTAATTGTTAGATTTTAAAGAGCAGCTTGAATTTTGCGCTCCCAAGAAAGATATTCAGTGAGGATCCCCTCAGTCTCTGCATATAAGACAAATTAAACCAAGAATTGTTTGAAAGTATAGAGAAAGAAAGTTGCAGGAGCTTTGTTTCTCTAATGTAATGTCACTTGCTTGATTCAGCCTTTCTTACTCCCAAAAGGCTGCAGAACTGTTCTTTATCAAGGAAATTACAACTTAATCCTTTTCTTCCAGCAGGCTTTAGAAGGTTATTCCATTGTCTTCAAGCTGTCAATATTGTAAATGAAAAGTCCTTTGCCTAATTTTTTTCCCTCTGTAGGCAACTTATTCCTTCTTTCTGGAAAAGTGCAATATACATCTTACTCAGTTTATCTTTTCTCATCAATCTCATATGGAGCTCCCTGAGCCTTTTCAATCTCAAGATAGGTTTCTCTTTCTTATCATTTGTTTAATTATTACTGATCTCTTCCATCAGACTTTTTTTTCTTTTTTCCCCTGCCTCTGAAACTCATATCACGTGTAAGGTTTAAAATGACGTTGATGTTCCCAGATTTATTTACCTTTTTCGTCATGATTTCCATGTTTCAACATTTGTCTCTGTACATCTCACACGTAAGCTTCCAGGCTACTAACATGGTCTTTAATTCATCTACTAAATTGTTTCCTCTGAAAAAAAAATTAGGTGGTGGATTTTTTTTTTATTTCGGTTTTGAGTTTTGGCCCCAGGAAATTTCTTCCCCACTTTATACTTTAATTTCTCTGGGAGATATTTTTTTTTTATTCAGGTATTTACCTGACTCCTTTAGCAGTCCTGGATATGTATTCTGATTGTTGTCTTAATCATCCCTTCTGGCTGAGATGGGCTGTTATTTTTCACTTGGTTTGCTGGGCTTCATGTCTAGATGTTGGGGTATTCCACAGTGACAATCCCACATGCGTTGGAACACCATACACCTCTGTTATCTTTAGAATGATTTGCTGTGGACGCCAGCAAGCTGTCTCTTCCCTAATGAGAGGCACCTGGAAGAGGCCTCCAAAGGGAACATACTCTGTCTCCTTCACTCTTGAGAATTGTAGAGAATAAGGAGAGATGGAGGTGTGGTATACATGTAAACTGTGTGAGGGCAGTGAGACTTAAATAAAGATTCAAGAGATTTATCAGTTTAGAAGCCCCATTCTGCAACTTCCATTTAGCAACCTTCTCAAGATCTCTGTTATCAATTATACTAATTTGCAAGTAACAGAAACCATTGTCTATCTTAGACTGAAATGACAGGAGAGTAGAGGACCAACCTTAGAAACACATAAGAAGCTGTAGAGCTAAGAGTAGGAAGCACAACTGTCTTTTAGTAGGAAACATTATGACCAGGCCACTGCCCACACTAAAGCAAAAATCTGCTGCTATATATGATTCCTTACTATAGCTAAGATTTTGTATTCAAAATTCTACATTTACAAAATGAAGTGCATGACTGGACAAACCAAGACAATCCCTGACTGCAAAGAAGTAGAAGGAAGGAAGATCTGACACTACCAGTTTCCGCATTCCTCTCAGCAAGGAGTGCCCACAGTTTAAAATCTCCAAAATCAGAAAAAGAATTGGATACTAATTAGTCAAAATGAAAAAAATCACAAATATCCATTGTGACTCCCAGATTTTTTTTTTTTTTTTTTTTTTTTAAAGACAGAGTCTTGCTCTGTCACCCAGACTGGAGTGCAGTGGTGTAATCTCGGCTCACTGCAAGCTCCCCATCCCGGGTTCACGCCATTCTCCTGCCTCAGCCTCCCCAGTAGCTGGGACTACAGGCGCCCACCACCACGCCCGGCTAATTTTTTGTATTTTTAGTAGAGACGGTGTTTCACTGTGTTAGCCAGGATGGTCTCAATCTCCTGACCTCGTGATCCACCCATCTCGGCCTCCCAAAGTACTGGGATTACAGGAGTGAGCCACCGCACCCTCCGACTCCCAGATCTTATATCAGACTCCATGAAAAGTATGCTTATAATTTGCTTTTAAAATGAAATTCTCAAGCACTAACAGTCTCAAAAAACCATACAGGCTGGGTGCGGTGGCTCACGCCTACAATCCCAGGACTTTGGGAGGCTGAGACAGGCGGATCACAAGGTCAAGAGATCGAGAGCATCCTGGCCAACATGGTCAAACCCTGTCTCTAATAAAAATACAAAACTTAGCTGGGAATGGTGGCATGCGCCTGCAGTCCCAGCTACTTGGGAGGCTGAGGCAGGAGAATCACTTGAACCCAGGAGGCAGAGTTCGCAGTGAGCAGAGATCGCGCCACCGCACTCCAGCCTGGTGACAGAGCAAGACTCTGTCTCAAAAAAGGAAAAAAAAAATCATATAGCATATATTCAGAAAAGCTATTTAGTGGTTTTGGAGACTATATTTGAGGGGTAGGGAGAAGCAAAGATAAATAAGTTCTAAAGGCAGAAAATGTATTGATTTCTGAAGTAAATTCAATTCAACATTACAGTATAAAAACTGTCATCAACATTCCCAAGACCACAGTCTTAAGTAGTTTGTTTAATTATACAAGCATTTCAAGTTGATTTTTAAAATAATCTCAGTTTGAATTTTCTTCTTTTTGATGGTAAATAGCATCTATGAAAGAAACACATGGGTTCAAGATTTCTAAATGGACTTTTTTTTTTTTTTTTTTTTTGAGACAGAGTCTCGCTCTGTCGCCCAGGCTGGAGTGCAGTGGTGCAATCTCAGCTCATCAAGCTCCGCCTCCCGGGTTCATGCCATTCTCCTGCCTCAGCCTCCTAAGTAGCTGGGACAATAGGTGCCCGCCACCACACCCAGCTAATTTTTTTGTATTTTTAGTAGAGATGGGGTTTCACCGTGTTAGCCAGGATGGTCTCGATCTCCTGACCTCGTGCTCTGCCCATCTCAGCCTCCCAAAGTGCTGGGATAACAGACGTGAGCCACCGCGCCTGCCCCTAAATGGACATTTTTAAGAAATGTCAACAAAGGACAAACAGAGGAAATGGGAATTCTGTACCACACAGGAGCATAATTCAGGCTGAGATTTTAGCACCAACAATAATAATAGTAATTAATAATGGCAATTAATATTCACTGAATGTACACTGTACCTGGTACTCTTCTAAATATTTTATATGTACTAGCTTATCCTCTCAGGAACACTGTGAAGAACAGTATTCTCATTTTACATGTAAGGAAAGACAGAGGCCAAGAAAGTGGCCCATGGCCTCACACAGCTGGAAACTGGTGGGGTCAGGGTATAAGCCTGGAGCATGTGCTCTACAGCAACCTGCCCTGATGTCTCCTGTAAGCTGGTGGTAATGTGGCTTGGCTGGGCTCTAGCTTTTCAAAAATATCAAATGTATTTGCTATTCTACCCCACATATAGAGATATGATTAATCTTTATAAAAATCAGGCCAGTATTTCATCATCTAGGCAAAAACCTTTTAAAAATCAATTTTGTATACTAATCTCTCAAAAACTACTAGACTCCAGCAAAAGGAAAACAAACAAACAAAAAAAAAACAAGGCTTCCCACTTTTTTTATCCAGCTATCCCAAAGCAGAACTCTGCCTTACAGAGAAAAATCTCAGAATTCCTTAACCATATTCAACTCCAGAAAATAAGATATATAAGCTATTACAGGTTTCAGTGAACCTCAGAATAAACCTCCTAAGAGGTTTCTGCAAGCTAATTAAGTATACCGGGGTTTACAACCAATTTTGACTCCCATAATAACTATGATACATACTTTAATAGCAACTATATCCTCATTTATATTTTGAGTATAGTTTCAAAGGTGCCCTTCCCCTTCCCTCAACTTTTATAAGGCACAAGAACTTAAACAGAATGAAGACAATATGTGCCAAAGCCTACTGTGAACTGAGGAAGTAGAGTGCTGCAGGGATCCATTCATTAAAAATTCAAGCCCCATATCTAGTCTTTTATTTCAATAGAACCTAGATAAAAAGAGCATTTACATTATGGACTTTTGAAAGAGGGATTAAGAGGAGGAGGCGAGAAATACTAATTTCAATAAGATATTCAAAGGACTGATAAAATGAAAACTTCAGATGTAGAGGCAGGAAAACAGAAGACTGAAGCCTGGAAAGGATAATATTTTAAGAAAGTGAGAACAGTATAAAATTCTGACTAATGACTGAGAAAAATCCAGTGGCTGTGACAACAAGGTGAAGCAAGAAGCAGTTACAGCAGAGAAGATGAAAGCCTAGAAGACTACGTAGGAAACACATTCCAAGCTCAATAATAGTTATCATTTACAAAAGCAAGTAACATAAGAGGCTTTGTAGTCAGAGAGAGGATGTTATAAGTTGAAGCTTCTCAAGGTAGTTTTATGTAATGACTTGGTCCAGGATGTGGCTATGTTAGTGAGAGACTTAGGAGGAAATGGGAGAGTCAGTTGAAACTGGAAGATGTCAAAAAACTGAAAGGACAGGATATCCAAAGGTCATGTTAGTGGATGCTCAAGTAGCAAAGGATAATGACAGAAAATGTGATTTTTTTAAAAAATAGTTTTATATCAGGCATTGCAATAATTTGAGGAATATTGAAAAATATATTAGAAGCTGCAATAGATGGCTATAAGGAGGAATAATCTTAACCATTATTAAGCACCACCACTATATCTTTTAAAATGTCATGTATATTTTAGTTGCATCATTAAAAAACTGATTATGCTGAAGTGGATGACATCTGGGAAGACAATTACGTAAATCAACCTGCCATGGCTAAACAAACATCCATCATCTCAAGTATCAAAAAACAGATGATACACTCAAGAGAAATTATACTTGCCCTCTAGAAGCTTTTTAGATTTCAAAATAAAAAATTGTATACAGCAAAGCAAAATGTGAATATATATGAGAGAACAAAATGCTGATTGAATACAGCTTCGTTTCATCTAGATACCTAAAATGATTGAAAAGTCCAATTTGTTTGAAATTGCTTTTTCTCTAGACTATGGCACATATTGAAACGATTAAGTTCTGAACTACTGTATTCAAAACACTCAAAACCCCATATAAGCGGGGGGACTACTATACTAGATGAGTTTCCTTGAATCAACCTCAAGTGTTCAAATGTCATCCAACTCAGTAGAATTTGTACTTTATAATGGCTCTCATTGATGGTAGGATAGAAAATGTCCAGTCTTTAAAAGAGACTATAAATTAACTAAATTTGACAATAGTAATCCATTAAAATTGAGTTCCACATCAATAGGCATTTGACTGCATTTGGAAAGTTAATGTTGTGAGTCTTCCCCTAAGTAACTTTAGATTACCATCTCTCTGTTTACCTTTTGATGGAAAAGAACTGCTTCTACAAGAAGCAATAAACCCTTCCTTACCTATTCTCAGGAAACACTATTTGTACCACAAAAAAAGTAAGAATAAACCTTTATTTAAAATTTAGATATCATCAAATGATACTTACCAATGCACACATCGATCTTCCCTTTAATAGCAGCTTCATGCAGAGGTGTATAGTTCCAGTTATCCCTGGCATTTGGATCAGCTCCTTGGCACAATAACAGACTCACAACCTCAGCATGGCCAAAAGAACAGGCATTATGAAGCGGGATGAGACCTCCATCATCACGAGCGTGGACATTAGCACCCATCTGTAGTAAGTGTTCTACAACATCCTTCCTTCCAAAACCTAAAAAGAAACGAAAAAATGTCTTGTATATATATTTGATTTTGTAAAAAGAACCATTAGAATATCTGTAACAATATCAACAAGTATGAACAACTGAAGTACTGCACTCTATAGTAAATGGTGTAAAACAAAAGAAACATTAGCTTCATTCAAACTGACTCATTTCACAGAATTTAGAACTAAGGAAGCTCTTCCTTTAGTCTTTGGGCTGTTCATTCAAAAAACATTTTCTAAACACTTAATATGTGCTGTGCAACAGTGCTAGAAACGCAAAATAAATATGACAAGACTTATCCAGGAACTCACTTTCCCCTCAGGCTTCACAACACAAAACTGTATATAGAAACTCATCACTACATTCATAGAAACAAGGGTTATTTAAATACTGCTGATAAGCCGGGCGCAGTGGCTCACACCCTCACAGCACTGTGTGAGGCCGAGGTGGGCGGGTCACCTGAGGTCAGGAGTTCAAGACCAGCCTGGCCAACATGGTGATACCCCGTCTCTAATAAAACCACAAAAATTAGCCAGGCGTGATGGCAGGCACCTGTAATCCCACCTACTTGGGAGGCTGAGGCACGAGAATCGCTTGAACCTGGGAGGCAGAGATGGCAGTGAGCCGAGACCACGCCACTGCATTCCAGCCTGGGCAATAGTGCGAGACTCCTCAATAAAATAAAATAAAATAAAAATAAATAAATAAATACTGCTGATAACCGAATCTAAGACAAATCACAACACACAGCATTGTATTAGGGAAATTGGGGATGAATGTATGGGTATGAGAAACACATGGTGAACGCTTGGTCAAAGGGAATTTTGAAAAGGAAGAACTAAAGATGATGCCAAAATATCTATTCTTGGGGCTAGTGGCCAAACTATATGAAATGGGTGGTGAACTGGAACAATTCAAGCTTGGATTCACTTAGTTTGAGGAAACGATATGGCAAATGAGTGGGAATACAAGCACTTGGGAATATAAAACCAGAATTTTATAAGAAGTATCACAGTTTTCAGACAAAAATGGGGGTTTAGGGGGAGTCAGAAAGAGTCTCAAGTAGTCTAAGGATGAGGCAAACACTTAGAAAGGTAAGAAATACTAAGAAAGCACAACATCAACATCGTGGAAGTCAAGGAACAACAACATTATGCAAAGTCCAGTACCATGAGGATTTAATGAGATCAACGGAGAAGAAAACAATGGCCATTGGTAATATTAAACTAATTTTAGTATAGTGGTAAAATTACAAACTAAATTGCAATGGGTTATAAAAGGAAACCGCAAATATTCGCATTTTTATATTCACAAGCTAGAATCTTAATTAATGATTCTTTCCCACTTTAAATTGTATTAGGTCTTATTAACTAGGTATCACTACCTCTACTATTATTGTGTAATACTGTTACAAAATGGCATCTTAAATAAAAATAAAAGACAGTAAAAGAGTCACATCTTCCTTTATTTTGGGCATATGTTAAACAAATAAAAACCATGTGGAAAAGAGTAAGGGGAAAAAAGAAATTTATCTCAAGATATGTCTTCCATGCTATCTATAGAAATTCATTCATTCCAGAAAAGCAGGCTCTAAGAAAAAGTCTCCAAAGTAAAGCATACATTTCCACAGATATGTATTACAAAGTCAGAATGAGGTTTCCGTAGAAAATATCCTTAAAAATTAAGCTGATAATTTTAGGTGAAAAGATCAATTTTGTATTAGTAACTGAATCAGTAAAAGCATAGGGTACATGCTCAAGTAAACTGTCAGCATCTTACCAGGGTTCCTGGTTTTGTTTTTTAAATACCTGCAGAACTTTACGGATGTTAGGTTTTCTTTAATTCTCTAACTTCGACTTCCTTCCCTCTACCATCAATGCCCTACTCTTCCACTGGGCCATAAGTGCTGTCCTGACCCAGGAAGGTTGAATTATTCTCCTTCTCTACGGATCTGAATAAAGCCTGAGTGCAAACTTCCATTTCCCTAATCAGCACCAGCCCTTGAGAGCAGCCATGGGAGCTGACTCCTGCAAAGCCACAGGGGTGGAGCCGCCCAAGGCCTTGGGAGCCCACCCCTTGTGTTGGTGTGGCCTGGATGTGAGCCGTGGAGTCAAGGGAGATTATTTTGCAACTTTAAGATTGAACAACTGCCCTGCTGGGTTTCGAAGTCCATGGAGCCTGCAGGCCCTTTGTTTTGGTTGATTTCTCCCTTTTGGAATGTGAGTATTTAGCCAATGCCTGTACGCCCACTGTATCTTGTAACTAACTAACTGGCTTTGATTTTACAGGCAGAAGGGACTTGCTTTGCTTTGAACTCTGGACTTTTGAGTTAATGCTGGAATGAGTTGAGACTATTGGGGACTATCGGGAAGGCATGATTGTATTTTGAAATATGAGAAGGATATGAGATTTGGGAGGAGCCAGGGACCAAAAAATTTGGTTTGGATTTGTGGCCCCACCCAAATCTCATGTCAAATTATGATCCCCAGTGTTAGAAGAGGGGCCTGGTGGTAGGTGAGTGGATCATGGAGGCAGATTTCCCTCTTGCTGTTCTCGTAATAGTGAGTTCTCACAAGATCTGGTTGTTTAAAAGTGTGTAGCACCTCCTCCTGCTCTCCTCTGCCTCCTTCCCTGACCATATAAGACATGCCTGCTTCCCCTTCACCTCCCGTCACGACTGTGAATTTCCTGGGGCCTCCCCAGCCATGCTTCCTGTACAGTCTACAAAACTGTGAGTCAGTTAAATCTCTTTTCTTTATAAATTACCCAGGCTCAGGTAGTTCTTTATAGCAATGCAAGAACGGACTAACACAGCCATTATAAAAACATTTTTACCATTACTAAAAAAAAAAGTCAAAATAAATTTCCTTGTACATTTGTCCTATTCATTTAAGATAAATGCCTCAAAGTAGTAGTACTAGATCAATAGGTATACATTTAAAATTTCACATGTTGCCAAGTTGCCCTCTACCAATTTTCATTTTCAACCAAAATCCTCGTGACCATTCCGTGCACATTTAAAAGCTTTACAAAGAGGCAAAAAAAAAAATGAATTGTTATTTACATTTTTCAGTTCAGATATTTGCTTTTTTACTGTTGAAAACTAAATATATGAATACAGTTGAACTCTTACCCTCAATCCTAGTCCCCTCTTTGCTTCCCCAGAGGTACTATTACATAAATTCAATGTTTGTTATATCATGCAAATTATATACTTTTCAATGTGTGTTTTTTAAACACTTGTGTTTCTATATTTATATTTTATACATTTCATGTTATTATTTGTATATTATGTATTTCATATTCTATGTGATTAGAATATATTTCATATATTCACATTATTTTTGTCAACTTCATATGGTTCAATCTATATTAGTGGAAGGTTGATAACCATAATCCATTCTTCTGGCTGATATGGTTTGGCTCTGTGTCCCCACCCAAATCTCATGTTGAATTGGAATCCCCATGTGTTGAAGGAGGGGCCTGGTGGGAAGTGATTGGGTCACAGGGGTGGTTTCTAATAGTTTAGCACCATCACCCTAGTGCTGTCACATGAGTGAATTCTCATGACATCTGGAGATTTAAAAGTAGGTGGCAACAGGGAGGTGGAGCTTGCAGTGAGCCGAGATCGCCCCACTGCACTCCAGCCTGGGCAACAGAGCCAGACTCCATCTCAAAAAAAAAAAAAAAAAAAAAAAGAGGGGGGTGGTGGCACCTCCCGCTTTCTGCTGTCTCTCTCCTGCCCCACCATGATTGCTTCCCCTTTGCCTTCTGCCATGATTGTAAATATCCTGAGGCCTCCTCCCACCCATGTTTCCTGTACAGCCTGCAGAACTATGAGTCAATTAAAACTCTTTTATTCATAAATTACCGTCTTAGGTAGTTCTTTATAGCAGTGTGAGAATGGACTAATACACTGGCCAACAGAAAGACTCAATTTTGCTCAGACTCAATTTTGCTCGGGAATTGGGCAGGAAATAATATACTAAGAGAAAGCCATCCCTTCCTCAGTCCAGAGGAGGAATCCTAATTAAGCCAATCAGGTAATTTCATTCTGCTCTGTCAGTGACTGGCCATGAGGACAGATGGGAAAATCTAGAAGCTTCTGGAAATATGTTTCTCTCTTCTACACCTTCTACAGAAGGTGTGGGAGGAAGAGTGCCCTTTCTCCTCTCACCCTTCCTCCCAACCGTTAGAAAATTCAACAGAATTATTTTTTTAAATGCTGGCATAGAACCCTTACTACGTTCACAGAACTGAAACCAACTCTTGAATTTCCTACCACTACACTTCTTATCAAGCAGGAAAATAAATGTCCTTAGGCTTTAAGTCAGTTGAAGTTTTAAAATACTCATAGTTAAATCCATGCAAATTGATAAAAGCATCTGTTCCTATGTTTACTAAGCATTCACATTTCAACTCTTGTCAGTTCATTGTCTTGGCCATTTTCTTTTGGGCTATTTGTCTTTTTCTTATGATTCTGCAGGCGTTCTTTACATATTCTGAACATTAATCTTTTCCTACATGGATTGTGATTTATATATAAAATTTAAGGAAACCTTTCCTATTTCTGTACTGTTCCTACATTTTCTTCTAGATTATAATTCTTTCACATTTAGATATTTAAATAACTTGTAACTATGGTGTGAGTTGAAATTTTTATTTTTATTTTTCCTTATCTTTTCTTTTTGGTTGGTCAGTTTGTCTATTTGTTAGTATAACTTTAGAATAAGTCTAGATATCTAGTAGGGTAGAGTTGACCCACCTTGTTCCTCTTAAAAAATTATCCGCCGGGCGCGGTGGCTCACACCTGTAATTTAGGGAGGCCGAAGCAGGCGGATCACGAGGTCAGGAAATCGAGACCATCCTAGCTAACATGGTGAAACCCGTCTCTACTAAATATACAAAAAATTAGCCCTGCGTGGTGGCGGGCGCCTGTAGTCCCAGCTACTCCGGAGGCTGAGGCAGGAGAATGGCGTGAACCCGGGAGGCGGAGCTTGCAATGAGCCGAGATCGCGCCCCTATACTCCAGCCTGGGCAACAGAGCGAGACTCCGTGTCAAAAGAAAATAAAAAGATAATGGAGAGATTCACTTGTCTCACACAATTTGTCAAGACAAAGGCAATCCAGGCACACATAGCAGTTTATCAACGGTATTAGGAGCTCCTTAGAATCTTTCCACATTCTTAGCATCTCCACTTGCTTCTTACCTCACAGTCACAAGAGTGCTATATTTCTAAGCCTCATATCTAGGTTCTCAGACAAGAAGGGAGAGTGAGTAAAGGGGGGCGCGGGGGAGCTTTCTCTCTTGACTTTTTTATAATTAAGGAAGAAATGGCATCTCCAGATACTTTCATACATAGTTCATTGGCCAAAAATGTGTCATCTGTCCAGCTACCAAAAAAAACAAAAAAGGCTAAAAAATCAAGTCTTTCATAGCCAGACACACTACTGCCTTGAACGAAATCTAAGATCTGTTAGTGAAGAATTTGAAGAAAATAAATTTGGGGTACATAACCAACAGTATTTGTCACAACTTTGTAAGTCAAGGGTAAGAAGATTGGGTTTCATTGTAAGTATGTGGGAAACCATTTATTAGGGAAATTACTTGATTCTATTTAAATCTTAAAAGGATCATCTGTCAGCTATGTGAAAAACAGACAAGTGAAGAGCAAAATCAGAGGGACTAGTCAAGAAAATTCTGCAGTAGTCTGGGCAAGAACCGATAGTGGGTTGGAAAAAAACAGTGAAAGTACAGCTGGGTCAAAGAAGAGAAAAATGGATAGGTTATAAAGCAAAGATGACTGGCTCTCAGATTTCTAGCTTAAGCAACTCTATTTTTAGAGGCGCCAGTTGAGGAAGGGTCAGGCAAAGCAGGTAGCAACAAGAAGTGTACCCCGATGAACTGCTTTTCTGCAACAACTATATCAAGTAATATAATGTATAAATTTCAGCACATTCTTTCCCCAAACAGTTCATGAGAAAAAATAACATTATATTACATATTCAAAGCAATTTAAAAATATACTATGTGGTGTGCTGGCAGTGAAGAAACCCAAATTCCTAACACATAGCCTAACCCCAATATACTTAACAATTTTCCTTATTCTAATAGCAAAGAGTTGATTAAGGCCTTTCAAAAATATTTCAATATCAAATTTAAGGTCACTGGTATCTATTCTCCATTCACTTATGTTCAGCATTGTAATCCCGCCTAAAATTAAAGCTTCCATGGAACGATGGCCAATATTAAATCATATAACTGACAACTATGACTTCTGAAATTTAATAAAAGAGAAAAATCTGAGGTGTTTGGAATATTTTTAAACTGATGTTTTTATCTATGGCAGCAAAATCACATCTTAAAGTCATTTTCCCCCTAATTAGACTGTCAGCAAAACTACAACCACTGTACATCACTTGAACTATTAATCTTTTAACCTACACTTATATACCAAATGAGAACATTTATATTACATCTCTCATGCTTTTTAAGCGTAAAAAGATCCCATTACACCCAACAGATAAAGTAACTGTAAACTAAGTTTGGGGTTGTCTAGGAAAATAACTCATGGAACTCTCTCATATACATCTATGTGTTAAATTTAATTTAGCCTGAAGTTGCCTCCTTACATATTTAAGGTTAGGCCTAAAGGTTTCTTCATACATACATCTAACTGGATACGTAAACTGAATGTAACCTACTCTTGTACCAATCACAAAGACTCAGCTAAAGGCAGCCAAATGTTCAAACTGTGTTCAAGTAAGGCAAACAATAAGCTGTAACCAACCAAGCTCTTTCTATACCTTACTTTTGTCTTCTGTACATCACTTCCTTTTTCTATCCATAATTGTTATCTGACCATGTGGCAGCCCTGGAATTACTCTGAACCTATTCTGGCTCTGGAGGCTGCTTGATTCACCAATCATTCTTTGCTCAATTTAACTGTTAAATTTAATTTGACTAAGGTTTTTCTTTTAATATGTGACATAAAGGAAATCAGAGAAGCTGAGTTGGGAAAGATAAAAAGGCACTTGGTGACAAATGTGACTTGTTCATCATTATCTTTAGAAACATTAAGAAAAACTAGAATCTAAAATATGAGAATGGCTTGCTATATATATATATATACATATAACATAAATATTACTTTCCCTATCTTAAGTATTATCAGTCCACTTTCATCCAAAATAAAAAGCAAAACAAAAATTCTTAACAATGAAAATATTGCTTTCAATGAAACAAAATTCAGCTATGACACATTTATGCAATACCTATGAGTTTAAAAAAAAGGTTTTTCCCGGCCAACAGACTTGCCATTCACTAGTTTAACACTAGCGGTTCCAGACACTTTTGAGTATCTCTAAAGGTCCACTAAACACAGTAATTCACAATTTTGCTATTAAAAATCGAATGACACCTGTATCTTGGCTGATGTGCAGGAGGCAGCCTCAAAATTATAGAGGGGTATATAGCACAGCAGCCCCATCTCAACATGACTTTCTAATTCTACTCGCTTTCTCGTACAGGTCTATCTTCTAAAGTTCTTTAAAGTTTTCTGTTTTACTATATTTCATGGAGAAAACGTATCTGCTATAGTGATAGTCCCGAAACTAGGAATTAGGGAAAGACTAGTGACATGAAACAGAAGAGAATAAGAGAAAACGTAAGAGAGATAGAGGATGGGAAGAGAGGAAATATTGTAGAAATAATGACAATACTTTTAATAATTAAAGGAAGAAGTAAAAGTTCAGATTAATATATTCATGGAGTGCCAAACAGCATGGACACTTTGTAGCAAAGTCTAACAACAACAAAGGCCATAGTCTTTCAGAAAGAAAACAAATCAGCTAAAAACAAAAAACAAAGAATCAGTTGACTGAAGTCAACCTTAACTATGAGAAAAGACACTTTCATACTTAATTTCATATATAGCTAACTTTATTTCCATGTAAAAGTCAAATTAATCTCAGATATGCAAAATCTCTAAGGTGAACACAGAAAGATCCTGGTTGAAAACACTCATGACAAAAAATGAATTCAGTAGTACGTGTGTGAGCTTATGTCTATATATCATGAATTAACTCAGTACAAATCTATCCTGTCTCAAGACTTAACACTGACTAATAATCACCCTAACAAATAATTACAATATAGGGTTACAAAGAAAACTTAACCAAGTCTGGGATAGAGACCTTCCCTAATAAAGTGATATTATGAGCTAAGATCTAAGGAATAAGCAATTTACCAGACAAAAGGATAGGGATAAATGTTCCAAAGAGAGTAAGGCACAGTAAATCAAGAGGTGAGAAACTCTTTATATTCAAGTACCTAAAAAAGTTCAGAACGGTTCAAACAGAGAGAAAGAAATAGAGACTAAAAGTGGCAACAACATGGAATCCCCGGGCGCGGTGGCTCACGTCTGTGATCCCAGCACTTTGGTAGGCTGAGGCCCAGCACTTTTGGATCATGAGGTCAGGAGATCGAGAACATCCCAGCTAACACGGTGAAACCCCGTCTCTACTACAAATATAAAAAAATAGCCAGGCGTGGTGGTGGGCACCTGTAGTCCCAGCTACTTGGGAGGCTGAGGCAGGAGAATGGCGTGAACCCGGGAGGCGGAGCTTGCAGTGAGCCAAGATTGCACCACTGCACTCCAGCCTGGGCGACAGAGTGAGACTCCATCTCAAAAAAAGAAAAAAACGTGGAATCAACTAACTTTCTGCCCCAGAAATCATGAAGATAAGCAGATCATCCCTCAAAACAAACACAGTATATCCAAACTACAATTCCTTTACTTTATGTATGTCAGTGTGAAGACTAAGACGATTACCAAAGCGACAGAATTCAAATTTCTGCTATGTGAACTTAGATACAGGTTAAGAAACTGCTAAATATAGATAGGTACCTATATATACATCAATCTTGGCAGCCAAAAAGGAAAAAAGGCTACAAGGATTCTTGAAATTCTGCTGATAGTTTTTGGTGTAGCTTCCTTAAATTCAACATAGAATTTGTTGTAGAAATTACTCTTAAGGCCACAGTAGGGAGGAAAAGGTTAAACATAGTACAATGAATGAATCACAGTAACTGGACATCAAATGAAAATGCAGCAAAATGCCCCCGAATGTAATTTTTAAAAAACAAAATCTACCTCCATTTTTAATGGTTGATTTTTATTTATTTTTTTATTTAAGAGACAGGTCTTACTCTATTGCCCAGGCTGGAGTGCAGTGGCATGATCAGAGCTCACTGCAAACTTGACTTCCAGTGCTCAAGTGATTCTCCCACCTCAGCCTCTCTAGTAGCCGGGGCTACAGACATGCCACCACACTGGGTATACAGTAGACACATGACAGCAATGACTTAGCCTGAGCATACCCTGAGAATGACCCTGTATGGCAGATGCACCTCAATGTGTGGTCACAGTTCCGAGCTAGAGAATACAAGAGTGGCCAACCAGGAGATCCATTCATTATCTACAAGGGACATCTGAGTCCCAAGCCCATCATGTAGAATGGAACATGGGCCATATAGAGGATTGAGGCCCTTTGTTTTGGGTTAAAGGTTGCCAGGTAGAGGTTGCTGGGGGAGGCTGTCAAGTGAAAATGCTGTACTAACCGCATGCTTTTTGCAAGCAGTTGGTTATTCTACCCATCCTAATGCCACTGGGCCATGTGGTAATTCTGTCCACCACGCCAGCAAGGGACTGGTGGTTCTGCCCAGCCCACTGCCACTGGAATCTCTTCCCTGTATTTTAGCCCCCAGGACATTATGTTTCATTCATTGGCTCAGGGATCTTTTTTGGCCTCTTGAACCTGCTGCTATCCCCATTACAGTCAATACAGGTACAGCACAACATCTGGCTAGCTTTTTAAATTTTTTTGTAGAGACAGGGATCTCGCTTTATTGCCCAGGCTGGTCTCAAACTCCTGGGCTCAAGCAATCCTCCCACCTTGGACTCCCAAAGTGCTGGGATTACAAGTGAACCATCACACCTGGCCTATATTTATTATTCAATAAATGGTTCAAAAAACACCTGGCATCTGCTTAAAAAAGAACAATTTTTAAAATATTTACCTCTTAATATATAGCAAAATAAATTTAAAATAGATTAAGGTGTAAAATGTCAAAATGAAACCGTAACAAAATTAAGTGGACAGTTGCATGATCTCAGAATAGGAGAAGCAATAGAAGAAAACAAACAAAAAAAATTTAAGGCAATAGATTTGAAAAGTTTATAGATTAAAAAAACACTTTTTAAGGCAATAGATTTCAAAAGCTTACAGATAAAATTTTAAAACAAGCCAGGAAAATATTCACAATGACTTTAACAAAGCACAGATAACAAAGACACCAAAAGGCAAAAGAAAAAAAGAATACGAAGAGATATAATGCCAAACAGTGAATGCCAATTGTCTTTTAAAAGTAAAACAGTGACTAAGAAATGCAAATTAACTAAATATTGCTTTTATCAAACAACTAAAAAGTTTTCAATGTTGACGTTTACAGACGTGTACAAAAATGTTCATAGCAGCACTATTCATAATAGAACACACATAAAAACCACCCAAATACTCAACAGTAGAATGGGTAAGTAGTGGTATATTCCCACAATAGAATTATACAAACAATGAAAATGAACAAACTACAACTATATAAGATAGATGAATCTCCCACAAAATAGTACTGACTATATAGTATCATGTATCACAAGTTCAAAACAGACAAAATCTATGAGTGTTAGAGGGGTAACGACTCAAAAGACATAGGACAGGAGCTTATGGATTGCAGATAATGTTCTGATTCTTGAGCAGGGCACTAGTTACCCAGGTGTGTTCACTTTGTAAAAATTCACCTCCCGGTACACTTATGATGTGTGTGTGCTATGGAGCTATGTCCACACTAAGAAACTATGGTAATAGCTGATGTCGTCCAGGGAGTGATGACAGGAATTATTAGAATCTTTTAGGAAACCAAACGGTATTTGTTCCCAATGATAAAATCTGAGCTTTCAAGGAAATACTAGAATTCTGTAACACTTGCAACTATTGCTATAAGCTTAACAGTTTCCCAATTCTAAAATACTTTTCTGATGAGATTAGTGGCAATATTAACAATTATGCTTATTATTTTTATTACAAAGTAAAATGTGTCAACATTTGGAATATCTGCACAGCTTCAAGAACCAATATTTTCTAAATGCTCAAAACAAGTACAGGTATACCCGTTTCTGGATTCTAACAATGGATTCTAACACAGCAGAAGTATAAAAAAATTCACTGATTTGGCTTCAGATTCTACGTTGCAACTAACCCTTAGGAAACTATTACTTATCAACTGTGGGTACAGAATCAAAGAGAAAAAAGGCAAAATTATCTGACAATGCTATTAAAATATTTCTTCCTTTTCCAACAACATTTTCTGTTTGAAGAAGGATTTTCTTCATATACTTTAACCCAAACAATATACCAGAATTGGCAGGTAGAAGCAGATGAGAATTAGCTATCTCTTTTTAAGCCAGACATTAAAGTGACTTGCAAAGTGTAAAATAATGCTGCTTCTCATTATTTCCTTTAGAAAATAGCTTCTTTTCATTAAGAATGTTGTTTACACATATTTACATATAATGGAGTTTATCATTTTATTTTTAAAATTTCTAATATTATATTCATTTTAAATTTTTCATACGGTAAGTCTCCATAGACAGAACCCACATAAACAAAAATTATTTCAATTATTTTTAAGAGTGTGAAAAAGCAGTGAGACCAAAAAGTTTGAGAAACACTGCATTTTTACTATAAGCTTTCTTAAGGGCAGGAAACATTCCATTCCCATAATCTTGCTCATATTTCTCGAGCTGTTACTGAACTACTCAAAAACCTTACAGCTCAAGCCAGATCCCTGAGAAACAAACCAAGGGGGAAAAACACACCATGGAATTGCCCCAGTGAATGTTAATTAAACAAGTTGCATGCAGCTTGCTTGAATTTCCATAAACACTTCATTAATGCTGAGCTTCATACTGACAGAGAAGGTCTACAGGTCACTCTCAAAAAATGTGAATCAACAGATAAGATGAAAAGAGTATCCTCAACATAACTGCAGAGATTCAGTCTATTAAATATACTATTTTCCATATTTCGTGTTAGTAATATTAAGAAACGCTCCAGGACAATAGAGAGGCTAAAATGTCCACTATGATACCCCCCTTTTTTTTCACTTAAATGTGGTAAAATACACATAATATAAAATTTGCCATCATAACCATTTTTAAATGTAGAGTTCAGTGGCATTACATACTTTCAAACTGCTGTGACTCCAATATGTTTCAGTTACTGTTCAAAAAATTTTTAACTTCTTCTTCCATGAGTCAAAACATACAGCAAAATTTATCTACGAGATTTTCTAACAACTCTATATAGTCTTTTAAAGAAAGTCGTTGCTGGAAGGGTGCGGTGGCTCAGGCCTGTAATCCCACCACTTTGGGAGGCCAAGGCGGGCAGATCACAAGATCAGGAGAACGAGACCATCCTCGCTAACACGGTGAAACCCCGTCTCTACTAAAAATACAAAAAAAATTAGCCGGGCGTGGTGGCGGGCGCCTGTAGTCCCAGCTACTCGGGAGGCTGAGGCAGGAGAATGGCGTGAACCCGGGAGGCAGAGCTTGCAGTGAGCCAAGATCGCGCCACTGCGCTCCAGCCTGGGCGACAGAGCGAGACTCCGTCTCAAAAAAAAAATAAATAAATAAGAAAGCAGTTGCTAAAATATCCTTCCTTCTTCCATTTAGTTATGAGGTTCTTCAAAGATTACTTCCAATCACACTTTTTATGTTTATAAAAACAATCAACTGAACAAAAGACCAGATAGTCCCAACATTCTAGTAACTGCAAATGTTCCAATACCATACTTACAAAAAAGTTTTACTTTAAATGCCTAAGAGAAGGACTGGAGGGAATATGTCAAAATCACTAGTAGCTCCCTTGGGGTGGGAAGATGATGCCCTACTTTTTACTGTACTTTCCAAAATTTGTAAAGTTACGTTTATTACCAGAAAACCAACTTGAGAAAGCAGTAAGAATCGTCAGATTACAAAATGACACAAAATACAGATTTTATTTCTCATTGCTATCAACTTTCCATTTGAGTAGCACAGACCAAATGATTTTACGACAACCAGATTGGGTTTAAATCTGGCACCATTACTTAAAAGCTAGCTATGTGACCTTGGACTCTGATGACAAAAGACTGGGCTAGGCCGGGCGCGGTGGCTCACGCCTGTAATCCCAGCACTTTGGGAGGCCGAGGCGGGTGGATCATGAGGGCAGGAGATCGAGACCATCCTGGCTAACAAGGTGAAACCCCGTCTCTACTAAAAATACAAAAAATTAGCCGGGCGCGGTGGCGGGCGCCTGTAGTCCCAGCTACTCGGGAGGCTGAGGCAGGAGAATGGCGTGAACCCGGGAGGCGGAGCTTGCAGTGAGCCGAGATTGCGCCACTGCAGTCCGCAGTCCGGCCTGGGCGACAGAGCGAGACTCCGTCTCAAAAAAAAAAAAAAAAAAAAAAAAAAAGACTGGGCTAATATACGAGGATTAATATTTATGTACTTAAGAATGTCAGAAGATCAGAAATCAGAAGTGTTAACTCAAAAAGTTTACTTGTTCAAATACTTACAGAGCACTAAAACAAGCAATTCATTGAATTAAATAATGAAATTATCTTATTATATACCCCATATTTATCTGCTTTCATAAATTAACATAGGATAACAGTTATATTTTTCTGTTGTTAAGTCTGTGTATTTTGGGGCTGGGGAGAAGGAGGAGGCAGACAACTTTTGATAGCTTGCTCAAAGTTTCAAAAATTTATCCAAAAAGTTTTCTTTTTCCAAATAAGAATATTTTCCTGCAAAGAAGAAAAACATAAGTTGGTACCTCAAGACATTAGAAAAAAATAGCTAAGATGTATTAACTAAGTGTAATTCTATGTCATTTCTTTTGAAAATACCAAATTTCCACAGTCAACATGAGAATAACCCAAGCATTTGGAAGAGGAGACCTGCACATCTTATTAACATGACTGATGAGAATGTCAAAATGGTTTCTACGGTTGATGAGTATTATCAGAATGAGGGCATCAGAACTTTTCAATGTCTACTTACTATGTATATAATATATATGTCAACATATAATTTGACATATATAATAAGTTATATACATGTAGACACAAAAAAGTGTGTATACACACACTTTAACAAGGCATCAGGGAGTTTAGTTTATTTTTATTTTTATTTATTTTTATTTTTTTTGAGACGGAGTCTTGCTCTGTCACCCAGGCTGGAGTGCAGTGGCGTGATCTCGGCTCACTGCAAGCTCTGCCTCCGGGGTTCACGCCATTCTCCTGCCTCAGCCTCCCGAGTAGCTGGGACAACAGGCGCCCGCCACCACGCCAGGCTAATTTTGTGTGTGTGTATTTTTAGTAGAGACGGGGTTTCACTGTGCTAGCCAGGATGGCCTCCATCTCCTGACCTTGTGATCCGCCCTCCCAAAGTGCTGGGATTACAGGCGTGAGCCACCACGCCTGGCTGGTTTAGTTTATTTTTGAACTAATGACACAGAGACTATAGCTTTAAGGTTTTTTGAGTCAATCAGTAAATTTAAAACAAATTTTGTTCAGTTTGGACTTGTAGTTCATGGAAATCATCTGCTAACTACCAAATGCTTCCTCACTTTAAAAGAAAATATACCAAAGAAGAAAAAATAAACAAGTCCAAACATCTGCCACCTACCAGCAGTTTAGTTTGTTCTACTGAAAAGGCAAAAGGGATAGAGAAAAAATTTTACATCACGTTATTTTCCCTCTTCCAAAACCAAAATAAATAAATAAATAAATAACTTGTCTAAATTGAATGGGGAGCTGACACACTCCAAAAAACAGCTTAAAAAAAAGTTTACCCTCACGCTGCTTTAATTCTATAAACAGATACCTGAACAAACTGGCAAAACAAGATTCGAGAAGAGAACTCAGTAACTCGCTCTGGTGAAAGCAAACTTAGACATCTGATGAAGCCTTAAAAGAAAAACAACGGGCACACAAAAACAAAACACCTAAAACTTTCCTCAATTACTTGAAATCAAAGTGATTTTTTTTTTTTAATGAGCCCCGGGGTTATCCTGAGCTCCTAGGCTTTAGTAGAAATCCCTAGGAAACCCACCCTACTCATTTTTTCTTGAAGATATAATGCTTTTTATTCACCAAGAAACTGAAAGTCCATTTCTGAATGTTTCTTTCTCGTGTATGTTTCATTGGTTTTATTAAGCCCCGTAAGGGGAGGCTGCACCTAGCCCTCAGACTCCAACCCATCTTATCTTAACTAATCCTATTCAATTCTTACTATAAGTATCTATTAATGATGCATGGTATTAGGTGCCTCAAGAGCAGGGCTACACCAAAACTTAGCTATCAGAAGAATAAACATAAGCCAAAGTAGCTTCAAGGACAATGACATGGGGAAAAATAAAAAGGTAAGAAGCAACTGCCTTCAATTTTATCTACTGCAATATTTTATAGTAAGCTACCCAAAGATTCTTTGTCTATGACACAAAAGGAGGCTGTTAAAAATATTAAAGACTAAACTACTATAGTGTTTTCTCCCTCATGTCATCACAGAGCTCATGTTTATTCCTTTCCAAAACCAAACCTAACATTACAATAAAATTTATTTTCTCAGAATTATTCACATTCCTTGATTACTTTTCTTCTGGATTCTAAGCTTGAGATTTTT
Organism: Homo sapiens; assembly: GCF_000001405.40. NCBI lineage: Eukaryota > Metazoa > Chordata > Mammalia > Primates > Hominidae > Homo > Homo sapiens. The sequence goes on from NW_018654717.1 coordinate 3,787,089, forward strand.
TTTTTTAACATATTTATGCTCACAACTCGACCTTTGATGATATGCCTCCTATCCTCCCAATGTATTTCTCTGGCCTGTTAACTGTCAAAGAATCACTTCCCGTCAGGAAAGAACACCTGGCCTGTGACCTATTCAATTCATTGATGGGGTAGGGAATGCTTTACAGGTGACTGGACTACACTTACCAAAAAGACTAAATAGTAATCTATCAGGAAGAGACTTTATCTATAAAATGCCCTTAGCACAATGTCTCCGGTTAAGGTTCCTGAAAAAATGTCTCATAGGTTATATAAACAGAGGTATAAAATGATGATGTTTCATAATTTAAATGCTACTACTGTAAAAGATGATCCTGCAGACCTTACTGAGAGACTTGATCTATTCTAGGCCAGAGCTGCAGGTGTAGCACAACAAAAAGGGACAGGGGGGATTACCTTAACTATCTCAGACCTTTATTTTTATCCTTGAAATTATTTAGTAATTAATTTCTGTAAAAATGAGCAACGAAAGTAACTGAGGTCAAATACATACAAAATTCTTACAAGAAGAATTTGGAGAATAACATCCCCGCAGACAATTAATACCTAACAGAAAAAAATGCCCACAAAGCAGACAAAATTATAATCAATTATTTTAACACTAGCTAAAAGAGAATACGAGAATGATACAAGATATGAACGTATAGCATGTGCCTGAGTTAGAAATAAAAGGAGAGAGTTCAGAAAATAATTCAAAATAAAAGAAAAAATAATTTCAAGAAAGGACTACAAAAGAAAGAACACAAAATGGAAAAAATGCCACATATAATGCCTTATAACAGAGGTCAGCAAACTACAACCCATACACCAAATCTGGCCCATCACCTATTCTCATAAATAAAATTTTACTGGAACACAATCACACTCATTCATTTACATATAGTCTATGGAAACTTTCACAGTATAAAAGCAAAACTGAGTAGCTATGAGAGGGACCATATGGCTACAAAGCCTAAAATATTTACTATCTGGCCATTTACAGAAAGTTTCCAACTCCTGCCTTAAGAAAAATAGAAGATGAAAGGAGAAAAAAAGTTAATAAAAAAAGAAGATATATATTTTTTAATAGGATTCAAAAGAAAGTGACAGTTATCAGGGGTTTGGGGGCAGATAGACATAGTTTAATGGGTACAAGAGCTTATTTAAGATGACAAAAAATGTTCTGGAAATGGACAATGGTGATGGCTGCATAACATGGCGAATGAACTTAATGCCACAAAACTGTACACTTAAAATGGTTAAAATGGTAAATTTTACATATATCGTATTAAAGAAATGGAGCAAGTAACAAATTTAGAAGAGGCAAAGTTTCAATATACATAAAAAGAAAAGAACGAATAATAAAAAGTATAATTTGAGAAACTTTTCTGAAATAAAAGATCTGAAACTATGTAAAGAAAAGCCATACCACATACCTGAGAAAATCTATCTAGAGAAACGAACACCAAGACATACTGTAATAGAATATCTGGTCTTTAATGGAAGAGAAAAAAAAAATCCTTTGCCCATCTAGAAAGAAAAAAAAAAGGCTAAGGGAAGGAAATTCCCATTCTCATCAGACCTTCAACATTAACAGCTCTTAGCAGGTCCTTGAAAAATAAAAGTTTAGGTATGGAAGAAATGATGGCCAGATGCAACATAGAAGAGGTAAGTAAAAACCCTATAGTTCTGAGTTTGAATTGGAAGTATCAATATTAGTTAATGAGGTAGATTAAAAGACACAGATTGTCAGAATGTCTTAAAAAGCAACACTCACATATATACTGTCTATAATAGACACACTTTAAATATAAAGGCAGATTGATTGAAAGTGAATGAATAGAAAAATGCCACACACAGCATAAGAATACTGAAGTGGATATAGTCACATCTGATAAAATGTAGCTAAAATCATAAAGATTTTCATAGGATATGTATGAGAACTTCTATGACTTGGGGCCAGATAAAAGTTCTTATCCAGGTGATGAGTCAGAGAAAGCAATAACCATAAAATAAATATATAAATTAAATTTAAAATTTCTATTCAAATGACTCTCATTAAGAAAATTAATCAGTAATTCATAGCCTGGGAGAAAATATTAGCACATTTATCCCACAAAGCACTAGTATGCAGAATATATAAAGTACTCTTAAACTTAATAATAAAAGATAACCCAACAAAACTGAATAAAACTGAAGTGTGCCCAGTAGAAAAAAAAAGGACAAAACTTCATAAAAGATATATAAGGCCAGGCGTGGTGGGTCACTCCTGTAATCCCAGCACTTTGGGAGACTGAGGTGGATGGAACACCTGAGGTCAGGAGTTCGTGACCAGCCTGGTCAACATGGTGAAACCCCGTCTCTACTAAAAATACAAAAATTAGCTGGGCGTGGTGGTGGGCGCCTGTAATCCCAGCTACTCAGGAGGCTGAGGCAGGAGAATCGCTTGAACCGAGGAGGCAGAGGTTGCAGTGAGCCAAGATCGCACCATTATACGACAGCCTGGGCAACAAGAGCAAAATCAAACAGCAACCATCAAAAATCGTTGATGGGAATGTAAAATGGTACATATACTTTGGGGAAAGGTGTTGGCAGTTTCTTATAAAACCGGACATTTACCTACCCTAAGACCCAGAGATTCTAATACTAGGTATTTGCCCAAGAGAAAGAAAATCCGTGTCCACAAAAAGGATTTTATAAGAATGTTCATTGCGACTTTATTCATAATAGCCAAAACAGGAATCAGCTTAAGGGTCTATCAATTGAAGGGATACACAAACTGCAGCATATTCATATAATGAAATCTACTCAGCAGTAAAAAGAAACTACTGATACACGTTACAAAATCAAAAACATGCTGAGCAAAATAAGTCTTACAGAAAGACTAAATATTGTATGACTGCATTTATATGAAATTCTAAAACAGGCAACTCTTATTCTATAGTGGAAAAAACATCAGAATGGTGGTTGCCTGAGGGAAAAGGGGTAGTGACAAGATTGAGATAAGGGGTATGAGGGAACTTTCTGAAGTTTCTATAAGGAAAGTCATAAGTTCAGTTACACATGTATCTGCATTTGTCAAAACTCAGTGAATGTACACATAAGATTTGCACAGATTTCACACTAAAAGATAAATCTTTACACAAATACTGAACTTAGATAATGATATGCAAATTAGCATATTTGGAGAAGCTGCACAGATGCCTACTATTTACACTCACATGCTTTAATAAAAAGATGATTGACGGATAAAAGAACATATATGTAGGAATACACATGTAATAGAAATTGTACAGTATTATAATTTATGTAAGCATTTCTCTATTGTTGAACAGTTGGCTTGTTACAAATTTTTTGCTATTAGCAATAAATTTACATATCATCTTATAAATGGCTAATTTGTTCTTTAAATCATTTGCTTCCAAAGAGCAGTATCATTGAGGTAAAAGAAAGAGACACTTTGCACATCTTTCTAACTAAAAGTTCTCTGTAAACTTTTTTTTTTAAAGAGGTACCTTCAGAAAAGTGTTAAGGTTTTAAGAAAACACTAAGTAAAAGGTAATCCAGTTTATAATCAACAATTTTAAGTCTGGGAAGATATTTATGAAACTAGGTCCCTTTCTTCTATTACCAAATTAGACCCTTCTTACATCCTCAGACAGGGCATTTGCTTACAAGTAATATAAAGGATCTTGCCAGGCAACGAGAAGTGTAAGATAATTCCCACTCCAAGACTGCAGCATTCTGACTCATTTTATTACCCACTGATAGGCAACAATCTAGAGTATATGGTGACTTCTATTATTAACAGGAACGACATTTGTACAAAGGCGAGAAATGAAAAAAAAAAAAAAAAAAAAAAAAAAAAAAGACAAGTATGGCCATGCTGAAAAATCTAGAGAAGAGTCAGGAATGAGTTGAAAAATCTCTGTACTGTTAAATATGTATTGTAGTAGATACCATTAAAAACAAAACCCAACAAAGAAAACTAGTTTTTATTTTAAAATACCTCACATTACCTATCATAATCCAAGTCGTATATGTTAACTAACAGGAAGCCCATTTCAAGATTTCTTCAATTTCATGTAAATACTATAAAATCTCAGAATTTAATGTTTTACTAAGGCCTTAATAAAAAAAAGACCTCATTTAAACTTTTCTATAAAAAGAGACGTCTTCAGAATATATGGGTCCTTTAACAAAAATATGTCACTACTAGAAACCATCCTAAGGAGGTATCACTCTAAATTGGTACTATTTATAAAACTATTTTGACTGCTATACTTTAAATAATAGAAAACCAGGGTCAAGGACCACATCTGTAGAAGAAAAAGTCTCATATAAATTCTAGTCAACAATAAAAGAATGGCTCATCTTTACAAAGCCATCTTACAAAGGCATCAAAAATAGTATTTTGAGAACCTGTATCAACAATGGAAACAAGATTTTGTCTTAACTGCAGATAGGATGATTCCATTATTAACACAGTCTCTAAACCATATTCTAAACAAATTATCACAATCCAAGATAGGATACAAAGGATTCTTAATTTTACTGCTGGAAAGAATATGATTATTCTTAAGGTAATATAAATAAAGTGATAAGGATTTAAATATGGTTTCATACCACATCTGAGATCTTTAAAAATGATTTCCAAATACCACATGTTCTCACTTAAGTAAGTGGGAGCTAAACCTTGAGTACACATGGACACAGACAAGGGAAGAATACACACTGGGGCTTACTTAAGGGTGGAGGGTAGGGATGGGGGAGGCTGAAAATCAAAAAACTACCTATCTGCTACTATGCTCATTGCCTAGGTGATGAAATAATCTGTACACTAAAGCCCCCAAGATTCACAATTTACCCATGTAACAAACCTGCACATGTAATCCCTGAACCTAAAAGTTGGAAAGAAAAAAAAATTGTTTCATTTCATTCTATAGAACTGTAAACTCATTTTTAAAAATAAATAAAAGCATTAGTTAACATCGTCCCTTCCAACCTTTGCTTGGCTAGCTTGGGCTCACCCTTTTAATTCCTGCTTTAAAAAAATCTACCTACAAAGACTTCCTTAACTGCTCTAAAACAAGGATAAGAGCTCCTATTACATATTGGGACAGACAGTATAATATACGTTTCCTATCACTCTAGATTAGACACTAGATACTTTATAGGTTTTTGTTGTTGTTGTTGTTTATGCTTCCCCACTAGACTGTAAGCTCCATAAGGGTTAAGGGCTGCTTGCCATTACACAATTGTGTCAGTATTTAACACCCGATCATCTAAGCACACTAAAATATTTCTGGAACAAATAAACTGCAGTTTTTAAATTTTTCCATCCAAGGGATTGTACCAATTTCTCATCTTTAAAACAGCTATTCCGTGACAATTCAATTACTATCATAATAACCAGTCAACTGATAATTTTTTTCATTTCTCAGCCTATACATGATAAAGAAGACTAAAGTTTAATAAAACTTTAATGTTACGAATTCAATCACGGAAGCGTGGCAAACTGACTACAGGACATTATGTTTTCATATCGAGAATTTTATTACTGTGTTTTCCACAACTGAGCTAAAAACTTTCTTAAAAAGCCAATTCAAGGTTAGCTTGTCATAACTACAACATAATTACGGTACTGTTTGATTGTTTATCTTCTAGCTTATCTGGATATACATAAAACTCTGAAACAGAATAACAAGTAACTATTGTGGCAAATAGAAGACACGTGATTTGAGAAACAAGCACTATTTTGTGTGACTTATCCTAAATACATTAATACACATAAATATAACTATCATTTATTGGTGATTACGCATAAAGTGGGATGGTGAGAAATGACATGATTTGTGACGCAATTTGTTAAAATAGGCAAACTTGGAATAAAGTATGCAAAAGTAGACACCTCTGTTGATTAATAAAATCAGACTTAGGCCTTTCATTTAGCCTAAGGAAAAAGAAATGCTATTTCATCTAAAACAAGCAAGACCCTTGAGCAAACAAATAGGCAAAAGTCTGTTTCTGATTCAATTCACTGCATTCCTAATAAGTAGTGTCTGTATATCAATAATGAATCCAGTGACCTAACAATGATTTCCTTTAAGTGTTTCTCATACCACTGGTCACGACCCATTAATGGATCACAAGCAGCATTTGCTAAAAATGAAACAGAATAAAATATAAAATATCAGAGGACAACACATGTATTAAGGGAAAGTATTGTTTCCAGAAACTTTTGATTCAGTTGCGTATGTGACAATGTAAAATGTATTTCTAAGTATGGGCTACAATAAAAAACATGTGAAAGCTACTCTCTTGCATATAAGCCCCTCCGCATTACTACTTCTCCCAAAAATTGGGAACTCTACACTTCAATTACTCACAAAAATGAAAAGTGACCTTAATCCAGGGTTCTGACAGTTTAAGTTTGATTTCACAAGCTCTAAAATCAAACTGCCTGAATTCAAACTCAATTTCCACTATTTCCTGACTGAATTTGGACTTATTTAAGCGATCGATATATGCTTCACTTTTGTCATCTGTAAAATGGTTAATCATATCTCCCAAGTGTGGTAAAAATAAATACTACAGTGGGTCAACACATGTTTTACTGTTAACAGAACAAACTGAAGAAGTGATATATATATATATTAGAAATATAGGAGAAACTTAACAGAAGTTATCTCTGGTGTGTTATCTTTGATGTTTCTGTGTGATGCCTTTCATTTTGTATTTTTCTGTCCTATTTGAATTGTATAACGTACAATATATGTATTTCCAATATAATGTTTCTAATGTATAAAACATTATTACCTACATTTTTAAAATATCAACAATAGGTATCCAGGCAGTGAGATTATGGTCCTTTGTTTTTATTTTACAGTTCTCTTTATTTTATAAACATATTATTAGGTGTCTTTGAGAGAAAATCATCAACTACTTGCAAAAAAAAAAAAAAAGACAAGTGTGGGGTCCAGAGCTTAAGAAATTCACACTTTTTGAGGGAGAACTTTGTGCCAGATACTTCTCACCAAATGCTCGCACAACATCATTTTATGATTTTTGCCCATGAGAAAACTGAGGCAACTGACACGAGGTAAATGGTCTGCTAGACAACAAATAATAGTGGCCACAACATCAAAGCCTATATTTCTTCCATCATCATATAATGCATCCAAATATTCTTCTCCAGTTGTTTCACATTGGCATATTTTGGTCTCCCCGTCTAGACTGCAAACTTCTTTAGAAGAAGGGAAACTTTCAAACACTTCATTTATGTCTTTCATTGGGTTATTAAGGCTACAATAGATCCTCAAACATGTGTTGGGTTGTATTAAACCTCTTTTGGTCTGGACTGTCCTCAAAGGACATACCCTTGTAAAAACAAAATAAACTAGCACACAAACGACAAAACTACTCTAAAGCTGTCCAAATCTAACTGTATTCCTGCACACCAAAAACTAAAGTGTAAATATATCCATATGCAGAGACTACCAACTACAGTGAGTTTTGTAATGAGTACTGTGCAACCACTGAAGAATTCCTTGGATTCACTTATCCCCCCCAACCACGCCCCCATCACCCAGGCACCACCAAAAGAAAGGAACCTCCAGTCTTCTGGTGAGGTGATGAAGAACCATAACCACGCCCCCACTTTGTCCCATCACAATAACCTGTTTTCTTGTCCTAACCGGACCCTGCACCCAAACCCATAACCCTTAATAAACAATTCAAAAGTCTCTGACCTGCAGCGAAGTGCAGGGGAGAAGACTTCCGGCCGGCCATGTCCTTTGCATTTACGTTTGCCGCGTCCACCAGCCTCTTTACCCGGGACACGTCCCCATTGCGACAGGCCTCCAGCAGTTCCCGTAGGGCCCCGCTCACTGCTGGGACCCCTGTCCCAGGTCCTGCTGCCCCAGGCCCCAGTGGTGCTGTGCTGCTAACTCCGGCCGCCTCGGGGCTCTCCGCCAAGCTCGATCCAGGGGAGGATGGAGAGGAAGATGAGGAAGAAGTCGGGGAAGAAGAGGACGACGGTGAATTGTTACTGCCACTGCCGGCTGGGTTGGGAGCGACCCCAGCGGCAGATGAAGTAGAAACCGCTGGGACCACGGGAGCGGCGGCGACGGTACAGATTGTGCTGGTGGTACTGCAACAGCTGGTACCGTCAACCGGGTCCGGGGATCGGGGCCTGTCGGGCGGATCCCGACTGCCATCCCCCTCCGGCAGCGCTAGGCCGTGCCGCGGGGAGGCGAAGGGGGCCAGGCCGCTGGCCGTGGGAGAGGCTGGGGTGGTCCCCGGGGCCAGGCCAGGGCTGAGTGGGGGAGGAGGTGGCGGCGGCGGCGCTGAAGCCCCTGGGGCGGGCTGGAGCTGTTGTTGATGATGGTGGTGATGATGCTGAGAGCGACGCGACGCCGCCATCTTCGGACTCCCCTAGCACTGTCACTGCGGCAACGGCCCCCACCGCCCGCCCTCACTTCCGACTGTCGGACCAATCAGCATCCAGCGCACAGGAAATGATGCTAGGCGGGGTAGCAGGGGCCAAAGAGAAGGAGGGAAGTATTGGGAGCTCAGAGAACAGCCAAGGGAACGGGGCGGGGCTTTGTCACTGAGAGGCGGGCTTTGTGACGTGGTGGCGGGCCGGCTGGAGAGATTTGAATGCTGGAACCAGCTTCTGCCTAGATGGGAAACATTTCCTGCATTTCTCACTTTCAGTCGGCTTTCTTTGCCCTGCTCCGCTCTGTTTCCCTTAGTCTCCCTTTGCTTGCTCCAGAGCCAGCTGTTGAGATGCAGATCAGAGCAAGCAGGGAATGTGTCCGTTATCATCTATTAAGCGTCCTTGTCTGAAAAATGGAACTTATAGTACCAACCTCACAGAATTATTAGCGGGATTAAAAGAGCTAACAGACAAAGCGCTCTGCCAGTAAAACACAAGTATAATTAGCCCGTTGGTAATTTTTTAAATTATAGTATTTCTTTTCCAGGTGTCCCCTTGAGCTCTTGTCCCTTCCCTATAATTTTTCTCACCCTATGTGCTTTAATTCCTCGTTTTTAAATGCTGGTTCAGATTGCTAGGATTGGCGTTCCAGCTCTGCCATTTGTTGTTTATATATGTACTTGCTATTTCATCACTCTATGCCTGTTTTTCTCTGTAAAATTGAAATAACAATAGTGCAATAAGTGTGAATTATTAAAATTATGATTTTTTTTCCTATTCTGCTCTCTCTGAAATTTTATTTTTCACCCTAAGTGTAACTAATTATGAATATATTCCTTTCTTTTGAATTCTGGCTTAGCTTAGCCTCTCCCACACCCGAAACAGATAAAAACCTGATTGCTAGGCTGGTCACGGTGGCTCATGCCTGTAATCCTAGCACTTTGGGAGGCCGAGGCCGGCGGGCCACTTGAGCCCGGGAGTTCAAGATCAGCCTGGCCATCACGGCGAAGCTCCATCTCTACAAAAAATACACAGATTAGCTGGGCAAAGTGGCACATGCGTGTAGTCCCAGCTACTCAGGAGTCTGTTGGGAGGATCACTTGAGCCCGGGAGGCAGAGGTTGCTGTGAGCCGAGGTCACACCACTGCACTCCAGCCTGGGTGACAGAGGGCGGAGACCCTGTCACAAAAACAACAAGAAAACATAACAAAAACCTGATTGCTGTCCATTACTCACCATCAGGTGCTATTTTTCAGCAACTGCTTTTTCTGTCTTTCCCTCAACCTATGTATACTTTTGTTTTTCTACTATCAAAAGATGTATCCATGAATGAGATAATCCCATTGAGGACTCCATTTCATACCTACTGTTCAATAGTAAAGCAGGCATTGTAGAAGTATACAGAAACAGCATTATTCCAATAGAGTGGACATAGATGGAAATTCTGTAAGAGAAACAAGATTTAGATGAGTCAAGCAGAATATTAAACTAGGTGATAAATTGTTTCATGTGTTCATTGTTAAATATGATTTATGTGATGTTAATATTCCCATTTAAGTAAATAGATGAGTTTATTTGGGGTTAGTAAGTAAATACAATAAGGTCAGGAACATAATTAGTATTATGAGTGGCATTTATTTTCATCTAATCTGGGGTTACAGATTATAATTCTTAACATTATCCAGCTGTGTGATGAAATGTGCCATTGCTCGCGGTAGACACCTGACAAAAAGTGTAGCTGGATAGGAAAACTCACATCAGTGCAACTAAAATCAGTCCACAACATTCTTCTTCATGCTTCTGTTTTTTAATCTTAACTTCTTGATGTAGAGCAGAGAACCATTGAGAAGTGGGAGTGATCCAACGTGATATGTTAGATATCCATAACACACCATGTGTCCCCTAAATAATGGCCTCCTGGAATGGGAGGCATAAGAAATATCTCATCTGGTCTCCCAGTGGTCAGTTACTCATAGAAAGTAGTGATGTTCAGACTTATTCAAAATGCATCTGTTGTGTCTATCAGTACAAAAAATAATAATAACAATAAAATAAGGAAGTCTCTGCTGGACAGAGATTTTTAAAAACTAAATTGCCGGCCAGGCCCAGTAGCTCACACCTGTAATCCCAGCACTTTGGGAGGCCAAGGTGGGCAGATCACGAGGTCAGGAGTTCCAGACCAGCCTGGCCAACATGAGGAAACCCCATCTCTACTAAAAATACAAAAATTAGTTGGGCGTGGTGGTGCGCGCCTGTAATCCCAGCTACTGCGGAGGCTGAGGCAGGAGGATGGCTTGAACCCAGGAGGCAGAGGTTGCAGTGAGCCGAAATCGTGCCACTGCACTCCAGCCTGGGTGGCAGAGCAACATTGTCTCAGCAAAACAAACAAACAAACAAAAAACAAAAAACTAAATTGCCTGAAACTGGACTGGAAAACCATGTCTGGAAATGCATTCAATCAACTGGAAATTGCTTTCTTCCCCTCGAGCAGAAAGTAGGAAAAGTACTTAACATTAAGTATTTATGAAGTTTGGGTTTATACCGACTAATGTTGAGCTCCAAACATGAAAGGACACATGCTATTACCTAATCTTCTGTGGCTAAACACAATTCCAGGAGGAATGCACTATATCATAGTGGAAAGAGCAAAGCTTGGGGTCAAACAAACCTGGGCTTGAAAGTCACATCTCTGATGATTACTAGTTGGCTAATCTTGATAGGTATGCTTCAGCTCTCTCAGCCTAAAATGTTGACCTTAGTTTAGCACTGTCATGAGGATTAAAAGCCTAGGTGTTTTTTAAGCACTCTTTGAATGTTAGATCCGTTCTCTTACATGGCATGCATAAAGTGTTAACATGAACTCACAGCCACTATTGATAGCTTTCCCCTCGCAACTTCCTTTGTGACAAAGATAGGGGCTGGGAATAAATATCCATCGTTTTACACAGAATGGGAATCTAAAGCAAAGAAACATTAGGTTTAATTCTTTCCTTATCTGATAATTCAGGATTCTTTATAAACTCTGTCTCTAAACTATTGTTGATCACAGGTGTGTAGTATCTTATTTTCATAAGCGTTTTCACAAAAACAATATCCTGGCCGAGTACAGTGGCTCACACTTATAATCCCAGCATTTTGGGAAGCTGAGGCAGGAGAATGCTTGATCCCAAAAAATCAAGATCAAAGATCAGCCTGGGCAACAAAGTGAGACCCTGTCTACACACACACACACACACACACACACACACACACACAGACACACACAAAGTATACCCAAGTACTACAAAAATGGGAGCACATAGCACTCTCTTAGGCTATACTGTTGACACAAAAGAAAAGCCACCAACTCAAAGGACACCGATCTTTTGGGCTGTGTTCTGATGTTTGCTTTCTTACCCTATGGGGTTCGCATGGACACTCTGAAAATTACACAATCATGAACTTGCACAAGTTCCATATTTCAACTAGAATTGGTGTGTCATTCCATCCATATACTTCCCATTGATCTCCCACCGTATTTGGTATTCTGGTAGTATTTCTACTAAGTCTAGTTATTCTTCGATCCCCTCTGCAATGCCTCCTCCGCAAATCCACGAGCACAAGCCAGAGCTGTGGTTTGGCTGAGGCATGTCATTTCCTCATTTTTGGTCTTACCGAAACATAATAAGTTATTTTTATGTCAGAAATGTCTATGGTGCCAAGGGCCCAGATTTCTCTATAAAAGTGTTGCGTTCTCTTAGTTGAAGTTCCATCCAGAAACCCAGGTGAATATTTTTTTACAAAACCACAGATGGGCAATGATGCCAACAGCTGCAATCGTACTAACAACATTGTATCAGAAAAAGCTTTACCAAAAAAAAACAGGTAAAACAACTTATTACAAGACAGCAAAATTACAGTAATTTAAAGATATCCTCTGTATCAGTTTCTTAGCAACTCTCCCATTAAAGTTTTAGTAGCTTTATAAGATAGCTCTTACATACCAGGGTCTTCTGGCTGCTGCTCCAAAGACATCTGTAGCCTGCACTGAGATAACTTGGATTTTTTCTGGCTATGGTCTGTACGCTCATGGGTAGTCGGTTTAATTTGAAGTGTTAGTTCCAGGCAGAGAGTTAGTTCCGGGCAGAGAGGTGGTTAAAGGTGTGGATTCCACATACAGACTGCTTGGATATGAATCCTAGCTTTGTCACTAACTAGCTTCATATGATTAAAGGATATTACATCATACATTTTAACAGGAATAAATAAAAATCTATTTGCTGTGCTTTAAAAAAAGAAGATAAACAAGTTTTCCCACCAAAAATGTTCCTTTCCTTGTAAGCTTTTTTTCCAAAAGTAATTAAAATCATACATGTATACCCCATTACGGATTTGCATATGACTATATCACTCAAAAGAGATAAACACCTGCCCTCCCCCAAAGTCATAACCATGTTTAGAAAAGGCTCAGAAAGTCCTGAAATGCATGGCTATGGAAGGGTATAACTAGCCAACAACGCATATATAATGATGTAATGGCTTATGCAGATGGATATAGCTAACCAGAATAGAGCTGATGCAACTGCAAACCAAGAGACTGCAAGGCACCCAGAGGACTCACCCTCCCCAATCAGAACATGGGGACAACCCACCAAGCCATGATGAATGTGGATTCCCGCCACTGCTTGAGGGGTCGTGACTACCACATACTGACCGTGAGGTGACTCCAACCAATGGCAAAGATTGGGGCAAAGACATCTGCCAGCAGAGACCATCAGAAATACCGGCTGAGAATGAGTGGCAGCCCAGGCAGTGAGAGGCATTAATCAATCCCCAAACATGTGGTATGTGCCTTCCACCCACTATCTCCTTTTACTTGCTTGCTGTTGTTACTTGGCTTGTTGAAAGAAGGAAATGAATGAAAGCTGTTTAAGTGGTGTATGTGTGTAACTTCTCTTGGTATTACCTATTCCTCCATATCCTGAACCTAGGTCTTTTGATGCTGAGTTGCTCAGAATAAAATACTGTACAATCCAGGATAAGTCATTTAACCTCTGGTATGGTTTGGCTGTGTCCCCACTCAAATCTCATCTTGAATTATAGTTCCCCAGTCCCCACATGTCATGGGAGGGACCTCGTAGAAGGTAATTTAGTCATGGGGATGGTTACCCTCATGCTGTTCTCATGATAATGAGTGTGTTCTCATGAGATCTGATGGTTTTATAAGGGGCGTTTCCCCATTTTGCTCTGCATTTCTCCTTGCTGCCACCATGTGAAGAAGGACAAGTTTGCTTCCCCTTCTGCCATCATTGTAGGTTTCCTGAGGCCTCCCCAGCCCTGTGGAACGGTGAGTCAATTAAACCTCTTTCCTTTATACATTACCCAGTCTCTGGTATGTCCGTGTAGCAGTGTGAGAACAAACTAACACAACCTCTTTGTAAACTCACCTGCAAAGTAGAGACACGAAGTAGAGACATTAATAGTTGTTCTGAGAAATTAGTAAGTTAATATATGCCAAGTGCAATAAACAGTTTCTGGCATGTGATAAATGGAATGTAAGTGTCAGCTTTTATTGTTATCAAGAACAGGGATGGGATATACTTTGTATAAAGGTCACCTAAGAGACACTAGTCTTGTCTGCCCAACAACAAGCAGGTCTCCTTTTACTCAATATTGTTGTTATTTGGCTTCCCATGCATGCTGCTGCTTTTGCTTTACAGTGTCTTAAAGGAAGGTCTAATAAGCTTGGAAATGAAAAGGGACTCTTATATTAAGGGAAATGCAAATAGTCCCTTCTGGCTGTGGTCAGGATTTAGGAGAGATAGAAACTCTACAAAGGAAGGCACCTCAGCCTGAGGTAGGCAGGTTTCTCTCAAACGTATTCCTCCCTGCAGTGCTGAGAAACCATCTCTGTTGTGTGGAAAACCACCACAGCTGCCAAGACCACCTCAAGAGAAACCAACACAGCCATAATTCCTGAAGTCAGTGTGGTCCAGGATGTTTGCAGAAGGAACATCCCACAGAAGATGAATTTACAACCTTGAATCACCACACATGAGAGAGGGCCAACATCATGAGAGAAAAAACAGAAAACCTAAAAAAATCAAAGACTACAGATAATACAGCAATCTACAATGTATTTTTATATCCACATTTAAGGTGGGCAGAATAATGGCACCTCAAAGATACTCAAGTCCAAATCTCTGGAAGCTGCAGATATGTTACTTTATGTGGCAAAGTGGAATGAACATCGAAGATGGAATTTAAGCTTGCTAATCAACAGACTTTAGAACAGGGAGACTTTCCTGGATTATGTGAGTGGGCCTAATGTAATCATCAGCATCCTTATAGGTACAAAAGGGAGACACAGAAGGAGGTTGAAAGTAATACCATGTGAAGACTCAACCAGTCAGTGCTGGCTTTGAAGGTGATGGAAGAATCCACAAGCCAAGGAATGTGAGCAGTCTCTGGAAGTTGCAAAAAAAAAGGAAACAGATTCTTCCCTAGAGCCCCCAGAAAATAACTCAATCCTGCTAACACCTTGATTTTAGCCCAATGGTACCAATGCCAGATTTATGACTGCAGAACTGTAAAATATATTTGTGTTAAGCTACTATGTTTGTGATAATTTCTTACAGCAGCAAAAGAAAACTAATACATGCCCTCTTTGGAAAATCAGGTGATATGAAGCCATCAGCCTATTTTTATACAGGACAATAGACTGAAGTGGCATAGTTTCTGCCACTTGGTATTACCAGAGGGCAATTATTCTCCATCGTTCCTTTTGTTCATGTACATCTTTCTGGCTTTACTCAGTTAAGAGGCTGGGTATACTAGTCCCCTATAGCTGCTATAACAAATGACCATAGACTTAGTGCCTTGAAACGGTACAATACAAATGTATTCTCCTACAGTTCTGGGGCAGAAGTTTGGAATCAGTTTCACTGGGCTAAAGTCAAGGCATCGGCAATGTTGGCATCTTATGAGGACTTTGGGGAGAATTTTCTTCTGAGAGCTTTGAGGGGAGAATCTCTTTCCTTGACTTTTTCAGCTTCTAGTGGCTGCCTGTAGTCTTTGGCTTGTGACCTTTTCCTACGTCCTAAAAGCACATCACTCGTCTCTGGTTCCATCCCATCATCTTCTGTTTGACTCTCCCTACTCCTACTGCACTCTTAAAAGGACCATTGTGGTCAGGCGTGGTGGGCCCACGCCTGTAATCCCAGCACTGTGAGAGGCCAAGGTGAGAGCATCACTTGAGCCCAGGAGTTTGAGACCAGCCTGGGCAACATGGCGAAATCCTGTGTCCTGAAAAATACAAAAATTAGCCAGGCATGGTGGTGCACCCCTGCAGTTCCAGCTACTTGGGAGGCTGACATGGGAGGATCACCTGAGCCTGGGGAAGTAGATGCTGCAGTGAGCCAAGATCACGCAGCTGGACTCCAGCCTGGGCGACAGAGTGAGACCCTGTCTCCAAAAATGACGGTGACATTGGACCCACCCAGATAATCCAGGATAATGTCCCATCTCAAAATCCTTAATCACATCTACAAAGTCCCTTTTGCCATATAAGGTAGCGTTTATGGGTTTCAGGGGTGAGGATGTGGACATATTCAAGGGCCCACTATTCAGACTACTACAATGAGATGCCATGGCATGCCTTATATGAAGAGGAGAGAGATGCCTGTTCTAGGGGGCAAATTTGGGTTGGTTTAGCACATGGAAAGACAAAGCAGATGATAAAGCACCATATCCAGTCAGAGAGCTGTAATAGGGTCAATGCTGTCCCTGTGGATAATTTAATCCACTAGGACTCTGACCACCTTTTTCTTCCACAAGACATCACACTGGTCCATTACATTGATGATGACATTATGCCGATTAGATCTAGTGAGCAAGAAGTAGCAACTATGCTAGAGTCATTGGTAAAACATTTACATAATAATAGAGGGTGAGAAGTGAGTCCAACAAAAATGTGGAGACTTCTACCCCAGTGAAGTTTCTAGGGGTCCAGGGTTGTGGAGCATGTCAAGATATCTCTTGTAACATGAAGGAAAAGTTGCATATGTCCCTTTCTTCAACTCAAAAAGAGTCGAACCCTTTTAGTGAAACTCTGAGGATTTTGGGGGCAACATATTCCTCAATAGAATGTGTGACTCCAGCCTATTTACTGAGTAACCCCCAAAAGCTGCTAGTTTTGGGTCCAGAGCAAGAGAAGGCTCTGCAACAGATGCAGGCTGTCATGCAAGGTGCTCTGCCACATGGGCTGTGTGATCCAGCAGATATAATGGCGCTTGAGGTGTCAGTGGCAGAGCGGGATGCTGTTTGCACCTTTGGCAGGCCCCTCTAGGTGAATCACAGTGCAGCTGCTTGGGATTTTGGAGCAAAGCCCTGCCATCCTCTGTGGATAACTACTCTCCTTTCGAGAAATTTGCTTGCTATTAGGCTTTCAGTACTAGAGACTGAACACCTACCCATGATCACCAAGTTACCATGAGACCTGCACTGCCCATCATGAGCTGAGTATTGTCTGACCGACCCGCCAAGCCATGAAGTTGTGCATCCACAGCAATACTCCATCATCAAATGGAAGTGACAGTTATGAGATTAGGCTCAACAGGCCCTGAGGGCACAAGTAAGTTAAATGAGGAAATGGCCCAAGTGCCCATAGCTCTCACTTTTCCTACATTATTTTCTCTCTCCCAGCCCAAATTTTTGGCATCATGGGGTGCTCCCTAAAATCAGTTGAGGAGGAGAACATTTGAGTCCGGTTTATAGATGTTTCTTCAGGATATGCAGGCACTATCTGAAAATGGACAGTTGCAGCACTGCAGCCCCTCTCTGGGACAGCCCTGAAGGCCATTAGTGAAGGGATATCCTCCCAGAGAGTTGAATTTCCGACAGTAAATCTGGTTGTTCATTTTGCTTGGAAGGAGAAATGGCCAAATGTGTAGTTACATACCAATTCATGAGCTGTGGCCAATGGTTTGTCTGAATAGTTAGAGCCTTAGAAGGAACTAGTTGAAAAATTAATGACAATGAAGGCTGGTATATTCTTTTTGTTTTGCTTTGTTTTGTTTTGTTTTGTTTTGTTTTGTTCTGAGATGGAGTCTCCCTCTGTCGCCCAGGTTGGAATGCAGTTGTGCAATCTCGGCTCACTGCCACCTCTGCCTCCCAAGTTCAAGTGATTCTCCCACCTCAGCCTCTGGAGTAGCTGGGACTACAGGCATGCTCCACCACGCCTGGCTAAATTTTGTATTTGTAATACGGGGTGGTTTCACCATGTTGGTCAGGCTGGTCTCAAACTCCTGACCTCAAACAATCTGCCTGCCTCAGCCTCCCACAGTACTGTGATTACAGGTTGGAACCACCATGCCCTGCCAGAACTCTGGCATATAGACAGTGATATGGTAAGGCTTTGTGTCCCCACCCAAATCTCATCTTGAATTATAATCCCCATGTGTCAAGGGAGAGACTAAATGGAGGTAATTGAGTCATGGGGATGGTTTCCCCCATGCTGTTCTCATTATAGTGAGTTCTCATGAGAGCTGCTGGTTTTATAAGGAGCTCTTTCCCTCTTCACTTGGCACTCCTCCTTCCTGCCACCTTGTGAAGAAGGTGCCTTGCTTCCTCTTCACCTTCTGCCATGATGGTAAATTTCCTAAAGTCGCCCAGCCATGCTGAACTGTGAATCAATTAAACCTCTTTCCTATGTAAATTACCCAGTCTCCAGCAGTTCTTTACAGCAGTGTGAAAACAAACTAATACAATAGGCTTCTCTGGATAGGCAAAAAAAACCTGAAGACATTCGTGCACCATGTGAATGCTCACCAAAAGATGGGCTCAGCAGAGGAGGATTTTAATAACCAAGTGGACAGGATGACTCATTCTGTGAATGCCAGCCAGCCTTTTCCCCCAGCTACTCCTGTTATTACCTAATGGACTCATGCACAAAATGGCCATAGTGGCAAGGACGAAGGTTATGTATGGACTTCCACTCACCAAACCGACTTGGCTATAATCACTGCTGAGTGCCCAATCTGCTAGCATCAGACATCAAAACTAAGTCCCCAGTATGGCACCACTTTCTGGGGTGATCAGCCAGTTACCTGGAAGCAGGCTGATTATACTGAACCATTTGCATCCTGTAATAGATGGTGTTTTATTCTTATTGCACTAGACACTTATTCTAGATATGTGTTTGCCTTTTCTGTATACAGTGCTTCTGCCAAAACTGCCATCTGTAGACTTATAGACTGCCTTAGCTACTGTTATGGTACAAGCATTGTAAGAAGTCTTGCTTCTGATTAAGTAACTCATTTTCACAGCAAATTAAGTATGGAAATGGGCCAATTGCCATGGAATTCACTGATCTTACCATGTCCCCATTATCCTGAAACAGGTGTCTTGATAGAACCGTGGAATGGCTTTTTGAAGAGATTCAGATCACTGAGTCTCTAACTGAGTCAGTGGTAACACTTTGCAGAGCAGAGGCAAGATTCTCCAAGAGGATGTATATGCTCTAATTCAGCATTTAGCATATGGTGTTTTTTCTCCCATAGCCAGGATTCACAGGTTCAGGAATCAAAGGGTGGAAGTGGGAGTGGCACCACTCACTATTAACCCTACTGATTCACTAACAAAATTTTTGCCTCCTGTCCCTGTGATCTTAGATTCTGCTGGTTTAAGAAGTTGTAGTTCCAAAGTAAGGAATGCTTCCACCAGGAGACACATTAATTATTCCACTGAGCTGGGAGTTAAGACTGCCACCCAGCCACTTTGAGCTCCTCATGCATCTGAATTAACAGGTAAACAAGGGAGTTAGTATACTTTCCGGGATCATTGCTCCTAATTACCAAGGAGAATTTGGGCTACTACTACAAAATGGAGGTAAGGAAGAGAAAATCTGGAATACAGGAGACCCCTGTAGATCCCTTAGGTGATTCTTTTAGTGTTATTCTGCCCTTTGATTAAAGTCAATGAAAAAAATAAAATAAAACTACAACAGCCCAATTCAGGTCTTTCAGAAGTGAAAATCTGGTCACCATACCAAGCAAAGAACTATGATCAGCTGAGGTGTCTGCTGTGGCCAAAGGAAATAGGGAATGGGGAATGAAAAGAAGTAGTTGTAAATACCAGCTCCAACTCTTGACCAGTCGCAGAAATTAGGACTGTAAATGTTATGAGTACTTCTTCCTACTTTGTTGTAATATATGTATATACTTCTTTGCTTTCTTCCTTCTCTTATCACCTTATCAGCTAACATAAGATGTATTCATAATAATGAACCTTATGTCATAGTATTTAAGTTGCAGGATGTCAAGGAGAAGAATGAACTGAGTGATCCAGGGATGTTGCATTCTCTTCTGCAGAAAAGGTTGCACATTTTTGGTTGTACATAGTATAATTGCATCATGTTGGGCAGAAATATAACTTTCTTATTGTCTTTATCTGGAGATTAAATATGGTTTAAGGAGATGTGTATGGGTGCCACGCTGATGGGGGTGGACTGTGGTGCTTGGTTTTATGTGTCATCTTGGCTAGGCTATAGCACTCAATTATTCAATCAAACAATAATTTAGTGTTGCTGTAAAGATATTTTGTAGCTATTTTAAACATCTAGAGTCAGCTAACTTTAAGGCAATTTTTGCCAATAATGTGGGTGGACCTCATCCAATCAGTAGAAGAGGCTTAAGGGTAAAACTGAGGTTTCCCTCAAGAAAAAGAAATGTTGACTGAAAACTGCATTATCAGCTCCTGCCCAAGAGTTTTCCACTGGTTGGCTGCAGCCTACCCATAGATTTCAGACTTGCCATTCTCCATGATCACATAAGCCAGCTCCCTGAAATAAGCATATGTTCTAAAATTGATGGTGGTGGCTACACAAGTCTGTGAATATACTCAAAATCATTGACTCGAACGCTTTAAGTCAATATGGTATATCCCGAAAAAGCTATTACAAAAAGACAAAGACATTTTTAAATGTTTGTTAATTTTTTGTGGTAAAATGTAAAGGTTATTTGTATCAGTTTAGTTCACATTAGAAGAGCACCATATAGTTTTGTAAATAAATAGTACCTATATACTAAGTTATTGTAATGCTTACACATCTAGCAAGTTCCTCAGAATGCTTGACAAAGAAGGATGAGGAAAAAATTAACTTAGAGGCTCCTTAAAAGTAGGAGTTATCTCCTTTTGTTTTTCACAGCATAAGCTCTCACAAGGAAAAAGATTATTAAATCATATTCCTTTATGGCAGAAAACCACAGAGAATTTACCCTGAAGAAATAATTTATGAGAATAAAAACCAGGTATTTTTATAGTAGAATTATTTTTAAGAGTGAAAAACTGGAAGCAATATAAAACATGGACAGAATGTGGTGGCTCACACTTGGCATCCCAGCACTTTGGAAGGCTGAGGGGGGAGGATCGCTTGAATCCAGGAGTTCAAGACCAGCCTGGGCAACACAGTGAGATCCCACTGTACAAAGCAAAATTTAAAAATTGGCTGTACATGGTGATACACACCTGTAGTTGCAGCTACTCAGGAGGCTGGGGTGGGAGGATTGCTTGAGCCCAGGAGTTTGAGGCTGCAGTGAGCTATGATCACACCACCGCACTCCTGCCTGGGTAGCAGAGTGAGACCCTGCCTGTAAATAAACAAATAAAAAGAAATCAAACATAAGCAATTAGAGATTGATTATTCAAATTAAGACATTAATTTGATAGAATCATGCAGTTCTATTAAAACAACAAATATGGAGATTATGTCAACACATGGAAAAACACTTACAAAAGCGGGCCGGGCACGGTGGCTTATGCCTGTAATCCCAGCACTTTGGGAGGCCAAGGTGGGCACATCACTTGAGGTCAGAAGTTCGAGACCAGCCTGGCCAACATGGAGAAACTCTGTCTCTATTAAAAATACAAAAACTAGCTGGGCATGGTGACACACGCCTGTAGTCCCAGCTACTTGGGAGGCTGAGGCAGGAGAACCATTTGAACCCAGGAGGTGGAGTTTGCAGTGAGCTGAGATTGTGCCATTGCACTCCAGCCTGGGTGACTGAGTGAGACTCTGTCTCAAAAAAAATAAAAATAAAAATAAAAGAACGTAAATCTAACATATTGTCCTTCCTCTTTCACCATGTGGTGACAAGGGATAGTAGAAAGAACAGGCTTTGCTGTCGTGTTTTTGTTTGCATCATGATTCTTCTAATCATGTACTGTGTAACTTTGGCAAATTATCTGAGGCTCAGTTTCCCCAACTGCCAATGTGTACAATAATTGCTAGGTTTCTGTTAAAGAATCAATAAATTAACGGATATAAAATGCAAAGCACAGAGATTGGTACATAATAAGCCTTCAATTAATGTTAGCTTCCTTTTTTATGCCTCCACTAATAATAAAAAAAAAAAATACACATTACGGCCGGGCGCGGTGGCTCATGCCTGTAACAATCCCAGCACTTTGGGAGGCCGAGGGGGGCAGATCATGAGGTCAGGAGATCGAGACCATCCAGGCTAATATGGTAAAACCCCGTCTCTACTAAAAATACAAAAAATTAGCCAGGCATGGGGGCGGGCGCCTGTAGTCCCAGCTACTCGGGAGGCTGAGGCAGGAGAATGGCGTGCACTTGAGAGGCGGAGCTTGCAGTGAGCCGAGATTGCGCCACTGCACTCCAGCCTGGGCAACAGAGTGAGACTCTGTCTCACAAAAAAAGAAAAAAATTACACATTACAAAATGACAACTATACTGTTAGTACAACTATCTAGAAGATTGTAGTTGATTGCCTGTGTAGTGATCCCCTGTATTCATGCCCTTGGTCTTAAAAAGAAAAAAAGGAAGAAACAACGATTGTAAAAAGGAAATTCAGCCATGCAGAAAAACCATATTAAATCTAAAGGCCCAAACCTCAATAAAACCTAATAGGGAGAACTGATATAGCAGAAGAGACAATGAACTGTGCTGCTATAGACTGGATTGTGTCTCCTAAAATTCCTGTGTTGAAGCCCTACCCCTCAATGTGATGGTATTTGGAGATGGGGCCTTTGGAAGGTAATTAGGTATAGATCAGGTCACAAAGGTGGGGCCTTCATTACAGGATTAGGGCCTGTCTTAGTCCATTTGCATTGCTATAAAGGAATACCTGGAGCTGGGGTATTTATGAAGAAAAGAGGTTTATTTGGCTCATGATTCTGCAGGCTGTACAAGAACCATGGCACCAGCATTTGTTTCTGGTCAGGGCTTCAGGCTGCTTCCATTTATGGTGGAAGGTGAAGGGGAGCTCGCATGTCAGAGACGATGTGGCCAGACTGGAAGCAAGAGAGAGGGAGAAGGTGCTGGGTTTTTTTAACAACCAGCTTTTAGGCTGGGCGTGGTGGCTCACTCCTGTAATCCTAGCATTTTGGGAGGCCAAGGCGGGCGGATCACCTGAGATCAGGAGTTCGAGACCAGTCTGGCCAACATGTTGAAACCCCGTCTCTACTAAAAATACAGAAATTAGCTGGTCATGGTGGCAAGCGCCTGTAATCCCAGCTACTTGGGAGGCTGAGGCAGGAGAATCGCTTGCACCAGGGAGGCGGAGGTTGCAGTGAGCTGAGATCATGCCACTGCACTCCAGCCTGGGTAACAACAGCGAAACTCATTCTTAAAACAAAAACAAAAACCCAGTTTTTGCGGGGGGACTAAAAGAGTGAGAACTCACTCATTACCACTAGGACAGCACAAAACCATTCACGAGAAATCTGCCCCCATGATGCACACCCCTCCTATTGGGCCCCACCTCCAATACTGAGTCTCAAATTTTAACATGAGGTTAGGAGGAGACACATATCTACACTATAGCAGTGCCCTTATAGGATGAGACACCAGAGAGTTTTCCTCTGTCTTTGCCATGTGAGCACCCAGCAGAAAGGCATCCTTTTGGAAGCCAGGAAGATCCCCTCATCAGAACCTAGCCATACTGGCATCCTTAGACTCCGAGTCTTCAGAATTGTGAAAAAATAAATTTGTTGTTTAAGCCTCCCAGTCTGGCATTTTGTGATGGCAGCTCAAGCAGACCAATCCATGTGCTAAGGGTAAATTGACACGGGATTTCCAGTCACATTTACGTTATTTATAGAGATGAGAATAGTGCAAGAGAAAATGATGTCCCTAACGGTCAGTAAGAGGAATTCCAACTGTAAACCATAAGATTGGTAATAGAAACAAAAGGTAAAAGATATATTGAAGTCATAATCTAGAAAATTAAAGAAATTGTCTTTGGTCCAAAAGATTATTTCAGCCAAGACTTATTCCTTAATCCATGGAATATGTCTCCAACTACGTACTCAACATCTCTACTTCAGTGTCCAGAAGCGTCTTACATTTAACTTACCTATAACCAAATTATTCTTTCTTTCTCTCAAAATCTGTTTTCATCTTAGTCTCCTCCATCTTAGTAAATGGAGCCATTCCTTCATCCATTTGGTAAGTCCAGGACCCTAAGTGTCTCCCTTAATGTCTCTGTTTTATTTATTAACATCTTCCATTCCACCACATCCACAGCTAAGCCACCAGAAAGTCCTAGAAACTCAATCCTGTAAATATAGTGTGAATCTTAGCCTGTTTTACCATTTCTTCCACCACCGATCTAGTTCAAGTTACCAACCTCATGTATGTGGACTAGTGAAATAATTTTCACCCTCATCTCTGTGCTTTCACTCTGCTATCCCCTCCTCCAGCCCAGTCCATTGCAATTTTTAGTAATAATGGAACGATTAATACATTTTAAATTATGAAATACAGCATACACAGAGAAATTGCACAAAACACCAGTGTACATTTTAACAGATTATTATTAAACAGCTAAGCATCATCTAAATAAAGCAAGCATTCTCAGCACCCCAGAATCCCTGCTGGGGCTTCTTTTTATTCTTCTTCTATGATAACCACTACCCTGACTTTTATATGATAATTATTTCCTTGTTTTTCTTTATATCTTTGTCACCTGAGTGTACCTGTGTAAGCATTTTAGTTTCTTTTGTGTTTCTGGATGAACTTCAAAACCTTATTTTTTTATAGTAATTCAAAAGATAAGCTTAATTTTTAAGTCTTTTTTTTTTTAGTATATTATATAAAAGAGTGGGTGCTATGGACTGAACGTCTCTCCTCAAAATTTATATGTGGAAATCCTAGGCCTGCTGGTAGATTTGCTTAAGCCCATGAGTTCAAGACCAACCTAGGCAGCATAGCGAAACCCCTTCCCTATAAAAAATAGAAAAATTAGCTGGGGCCTGGTGCGGTGGCTCACGCCTGTAATCCCAGCACTTTGGGAGGCCGAGGCGGGCGGATCACGAGGTCAGGAGATCGAGACCATTCTGGCTAACACAGTGAAACCCCGTCTCTACTAAAAACAGAAAAAAATTAGCCGGGCATGGTGGCAGGCGCCTGTAGTCCCAGCTACTTGGGAGGCTGAGGCAGAAGAATGGCATGAACCCGGGAGGCAGAGTTTGCAGTGAGCTGAGATCGCACCACTGCACTCCAGCCTGGGTGACAGAGCGAGATTCTATCTCAAAAAAAAAAGAAAAAGTGAAAGAAAAAAGAAAAATTAGCTCAGTGCAGAGATGCGTGCCTGTCGTCCCAGCTACTCAGGAGGCGCATGTGGGAGGATAGCTTGAGCCCGGGAGGCAGGGGTTAGAGTAGGCTGAGATCACACCACTGCACTCCAGTCTGGGTGACAGAGTGAGACACTATCTAAAAAAAAAAAAGAAAAGAAAAATTCTAATCCCAATGTGATGATATTTAAAGATGAGGTCTTTGGCGGAGGGTAATTAGGTCAAAAGAATGGAGCCCTTATGTTGAAATTAATGTCCTTAGAAGAAGAAAAATGAGAGCTCTCCCTCCTTTCTTCCTTCTCCCTCTCTATCCTCCACCTCACAGCCCTTGCCAGTGTGAGTATACAACAAGAAAGCCAGGAAGCAGATTCTTACCAGACACTGAATCTGCCAGTGCCTTGATCTTGGACCTCGCAGCTTCCAGACGGTGAAAAAATAAATGTTTGTTATTGCAGCCACCCAGTCTATATTTTTGTTGTAGCAGCCCAAACTGACTTAGACAGTGGGAGAGGGAGGGAGGGTGGCAAGTGATACAAATGAGCATTAAACTTGCAGTTGAAGAGTCTGTCTTCTTAGATTTTAATAGTCTGTTTCTGGTATCTTGTTTCTATTCAGGTAAATGCTAAGAGCAACAGGATGTTAACATGTGACTTTCAGTCTTGGTTTTGACTGAGTAAGCAAGACAATAGATAACAAGTGTGCCACACAAATCAAATTACTATACCATCCATCCACAACTTGCAAAGGAAGGGACTATAAAAAATTAGCCGGGCCTGGTGGCTCACGTCTGTAGTTCCAGCTACTTGGAAGGCTGAGGTTGGAGGATCACTTGAGCCCAGGAGGCCAAGGATGCAGTGAGCTATGATAGCACCACTGCACTCATGAGAGTGGGGAATAGTGGTCCCCACTTCTCTCTTCAAATAGGCCATTCAGAGGGCCCTACGTGTGAACCCTGGAGTTTGCTGCAAACGAGTGGACTGATTTCTGACATGCACCTGAGACATTTAGGGTGAGAGGGTTTGATTGTCCACTTGAGGTAGCAGAACAGAAAAATACACACTGGGCTGCACTGGGATGGGGAGCTGGATGTGGGTAAGGTTGTGCAAATAGTTTTCATGAGGCAGAAGCTGGCCTGAGGGATGAAGAGAGTTAATCTGGAGCTATTTTGCAATCTGCTCAAAAGCATTGCCTCAGACGGTGGACCAACAGATTACTAGAGACTGTGGGAGACCATGCAAGCAGGCAGTCGAAGAAAATGACAGGGAATGGAGTTCAGTATAGTAAGTTGGGTCTCTGAAGAGCCCACAAGGCACCCCCAAAATGAAGTCGATTTCGATCATCCATCCTATATAGAGTTTTAAAACATCTATTGTTCTCAGAGGGCACCAAAAAGTCATATTTTTCTCTCCTTCACAACTCCTCCCTTCCCTGCATTAATTTTGGGGACATCAGAATCTATGACTATGGTATTAGTCTAGGTTCTCTAGAGTTAACAGATCCGGTAGGAGATAGATAGATAGATACATACATACATACACACATACATGGACAGATGGATAGATACATGGTTGGATGAATAGATGCATGGATGAATAAATGGATGGGTAGATGGATAGATACATAGATGGATGAATGGATAGATGGATAGATATGTGGATGGATAGATAGATATAGATAGATAGATACACAGATACATTCATCCATCCATACATAGATGAGTAGATGAAGAGATACAGGGATGGATGGATGGATAGATAGATAGATAGATAGATAGATAGATAGATAGATAGATATAGATAGATAGATACATGGATGGATGGATAGATACATAGATAGATACATAGATACACACATAGATGAATGGATAGATGGATAGATAGATAGATAGATAGATAGATAGATAGATAGATAGGGATTCATTGTAGGAATTGGCTTACTTGGTTATGGAGACCAGTAAGCTCCTAGATCTACCATCTGCATGCTGGAGTACAAGGAAAGCTGGTAGTGTAATTCAGTCCAAGTCCAAAGGCCTGAGAATTGGGGAGGGGTGGGGGGATGTGGAGAGGGTTGGCAATGGTGTTCCCAGTCTGAGACTGAAAGTCTGAGAACCAGGAGTGCCAATGGCTTCGGGCAGAAGATGGATGTCCCAACACAAGCAGAGAGAGTGAATTTGCCCTTCCTCCATCTTTTTGTTCTATTCCAGCCCTCAACTGATTGCATGATGCCTGCCTGCACTGGTGAGGGTGATCTTTACTGAGTCCATGGATTTAAATGCTAATCTCTTCTGCAAAAACTCTCACAGACACATCCAGAAATAATCTTGTATCAGCTATCTGGGGCTCCCTTAGTCCAGTCAAGCTGACATATAAAATTAATCCTCACACTCACCAGGCTAGGTGAGGAAGAGGAGGAATTCAGGGCAGGAATTAATGACCATGTGTTCCTTCTTCTACTACCAGTTTCTAAAGCAGGCTCAAGCTGGTGAGGGGGCAGTTTTAACTTTCCAACAAGTTCCATTTCTCTACGATTTTATTATCATGTTCATGTATACTATAAAACAAGACTATTCTTAAAAAATTGTACTCCAAAATATAACATTGTTTATTTTATTTTTTAGAGACATGGTATCACCATGGAGAGCAGTGGCATAATCATTGCTCACTGTGCAGCCTTGAACTCTTAGGCTCAAGTGATCCTCCTGCCTCAGTCTCCCAAGTCGCTCAGGTGCACGCCACCATTTTTTTTTCTTTTTCTTTTTTTCTTTTCTTTCTTTCTTTTCTTTTCTTTTCTTTTTTTTTTTTTTTTTTTTGAAGATATCAGGGCTTACTGTATTTCAAGGCTGGTCTCAAACTCCTGACCTCAAGTGATCCTTCTGCCTCGTCTTCCTAAAGTGCTGGGATTACAGGTGTGAGTTACTGCACCCGACCTGTTTATCTTTTTAATAAATAAGAAAAGGTCCTCAAATATTATTTCTATTATATATTTGAATCCCTACAATTGGGGAAGGGGTATTTAATCTTATCATCCTTTTATTCCTGAGATGGTAGGAGCTGGATCTTTTACACAATGGATTTCTCTTTTGCCACAACCTCCACCACCTTGCTTATACTCTAGGCTCTTTCACTTTTTCTAGGTAAGCGTGGTACTGAATAATGTTCCAGTATATGTCACTACTCATTATTTCCAGAGGCTGACTTCTCTAATCCCATGTTTCCCACTGTACCTCCCTAAAACTCAAACTTTACATGCTATATATGCAAAGATAACTTTGAGTAGGAATAATTACAGGTACCACAAAGGAGTGGTTGGCTATTGCGGCATACAGACAGGAAAGAATTGGTTCCATCTCCACTTTCCTGCTGTGCTCTCCATCCCTCAGAGTTCCTGCATCTGGCTCAGTGCTCAGGAAGAAAACATGTACACGTGCGCCCTGGCGCGGTGGCTCACACCTGTAATCCCAGCACTTTGGGAGGCCGAGGCAGGCGGGTCACAAGGTCAGGAGATCAAGACCATCCTGGCTAACACGGTGAAACCTCGTCTCTACTAAAAATACAAAAAATTAGCTGGGTGTGGGTGGCAGGCACCTGTAGTCCCAGCTACTTGGGAGGCTGAGGCAGGAGAATGGTGTGAACCCAGGAGACAGAGTTTGCATTAAGCTGAGATTACACCACTGCACTCCAGCCTGGGCAACAGAGCGAGCCTCCACCTCAAAAAAAAAAAAAAAAAAAAAAAAAAAACAAGGAAAAGAAAAGAAAATAAGTACATGTGCAACCTAATTTCGTGTGAGACCAGCGTGGCTCTGTCTTCTGGTATACCGGAACTTATCAGACTGGCCTAAACTGCGGCATTATGAAAAATGGGTTCTCTTTCTTTTTTTGAGATGGAGTCGCGCTCTGTCACCCAGGCTGGAGTGTGGTGATGTGATCTCAGCTCACTGCAAGCTCTGCCTCCCGGGTTCACACCATTCTCCTGCCTCAGCCTCCCCATTAGGTGGGACTACAGGCGTCCACCACCATGCCTGGCTATTTTGTATTTTTAGTAGAGACGGAGTCTCACTGTGTTAGCCAGGATGGTCTTGATCTCCTGACCTCGTGATCCGCCCACCTCAGCCTTCCAAAGTGCTGGGACTACAGGTGTGAGCCACCGCGCCCGGCCAAAATGGGTTCTCTTTCTAGCGGCAGAATTTGATCCCTTTCTTCAAAGTGTTTTGCCAAAATATATGCTAAGTTAAAGTACATGTGATCACAATTGTAGAGAGTTGCTACAATGGAACTTTTTTCCTCTGGCAAGAGATGCTATCCTTTCAAAAATTCAGAGTTCAATAAGGGACCATAAAGATAGTTTTTTTTTTTGAGACGGAGTCATGCTCTGTTGCCCAGGCTGGAGTGCAGTGGCACGATCTCAGCTCACTGCAGTCTCTGCCTTCTGGGTTCAAGCAATTATCCTGCCTCAGCTTCCCAAGTAGCTGGGATTACAGGCACCAGCCACCATGCCCGGCTAATTTTTGTATTTTTAGTAGAGGTGGGGTTTCACCATGTTGGCCAGGCTGGTCTCGAACTCCTGACCTCATGATCCACCTGCCTCAGCCTCCCAAGGTGCTGGGATTATAGGCGTGAGCCACTGTGCCCAGCCAAAGATAATTTTTTACACTCCTTGCACCTGTAGGCACTATTCTATCTCTACCTCTGTATGTAAGACCTCAAGATGACTTAGCCTCCTCATTTGGGTGCTGGGGCTTGTAATCAGTCTTTGGTAGAGGTCATGTAACGCTGAACCCAACACAAGCAGAGCTTGATGTCCATCTGAAAAGTAGAAGAGGAGCTACCTGTCAGTTGGTGGCTGACTTCTTTACTGATTTGTGGCCAGGCCACACAGGTTATTACATATTTTGAATATAACCCCTTGCTATGGGTCCTATGTCGAGGTGTGCAAATACACACCAAGTCTACTATACTGAAGGCTTCATGGAATCACATCTTCAGCAACAGTAGTTCTGTTATTTTGTCCAACACTGAAAACATCAGAGACATCTTATAAAAACTAATCAGCCAGTAAGATGCAGTGTGTATTCATGAAGTACTGTCATTGATTACCCAGACCTCATTCTAAATGGTGAATGGTATTCATGGCATTGTAAGTACTGGTGGAGCTGCTGTCTGCTTGCCCAAGCCCGTGTGCTACTGGAAGCAGGCAGAATGCAGCACAGCTCATTGCATTCTGTAAGCAGAGTGCTCAAAATCATACCATAAACTCCCTTGAGAGAGCTCCAAACCAACCCAAGGACACTGAAGATGAAGGTCTAATGAATACTCCTGATTAGTATCTGTATATAGGGTCATCTCAGTTCCTAACTTGAACTGAATATTTGAACATCAGCTGGCAGCTAGAGAGTGCCATTTGGATTTGTATCTCAAGTGTACTTAGTTCATGAAGGGATCTGTTCCATTATCACAGAGTGTTGTATTGGATTCCCTTTCACTTTTTTTTTTTTTTTCAGAAAAAAACGGAAAGAAAATGGATAAAAGGTGACTAATGTGGGTAATTATCTTTACAATTCTTGCCAATGCAGTACTCTCAAATCCTTTTTATCGTCTTTCTTTTGGCCCTCTGAGAAACAAATCTTGGGAAATTTTAACTCATTGAAAATCTATAGACTTCAGCCAACACTTTCTAAAGAGCAAGAGCATCATTATGGCTTTTTTCAAGCACAAAAAGAGGTGCTTAACTTTAATTACACTAAGATTTTATAGATTTGGCTGGCTTAATATTGTAAGCCTTGATTAACACTGGAGAGCTTATAATCATCACTATTCAGGCTTCAAGAGTTAGAGGAGACCTGAAGAAAACACCTACCAAGGGGGACCATTATTAGAGGAAGGGGGAGCTCTGGAGTGACAGAGACACAGATTAAGATAGGAGCCTAGTGGTTCTTGACAGATTTTGAGAATAGTCAGGTGCTTACTGTTCATGTGAATTCAAAGCAGATATAAATAATCAGAAAGTAAGAGTTTACTAAAAGAACACCTTTCAGAGGTACACTGCAATAATATAATAAGAACGATATTGGTTGGGCACGGTGGCTTATGCCTGTAATCCCAGCACTTTGGAAGCCCAAGGTGGGCGGATCACAAGGTCAGCAGATCGAGACCATCCTGGCTAAAACGGTGAAACCTTGTCTCTACTAAAAATACAAAAAAAAAAAAAAAAAATAGCCGGGCGTGGTGGCAGGAGCCTGTAGTCCCAGCTACTCAGGAGGCTGAGGCGGGAGAATGGTGTGAACCCAGGAGGTGGAGCTTGCAGTGAGCAGAGATCACACCACTGCACTCCAGCCTGGTGACAGAGCAAGACTCTATCTAAAACAAAAAGAATGATATTAATAGCATCAATTTATCAAGAACACACTACAATGCTTCTCAAAGTGCCCCGCACAAAGGTAGCTTATGATTTCCCCATAAATCTCCTTTACAGCCCACCGTCTTCAGTTTGTCCAACTTGAAAGTCTGGATTCTTCCTACTTATTTCCTATTTTACTTTCCTAAGGACATTTGGCTTCTAGATTGCCAGGGCTATTCAGATATTACTGAATCAGCTTCAAAGACTCTATTCCTACTATGATTATTTATGCTTAAGTAACATGGGTGATATGGTTTGCTGTGTCCCTACCCAAATCTCACATTGTAATAATTGTAATAATCCCCACGTCAAGGGTTGGGGCCAGGTGGAGCTAATTGAATCCTGGGGGGCGGTCTCCCCCATACTGTTCTCATGGTAGTGAATAAGTCTCATGAGATCTGTTGGTTTTACAAATAAGAATTCCCCTACACATGCTGTCTTACTTGCCACCATGTAAGACGTGACTTTGCTCCTCACTTGCCTTCCACCATGATTGTGAGGCCTCCCCAGCTATCTGGAACTCTCAGTCACCTAAACCCCTTTCCTTGATGAATTCACCAGTCTCAAATATGTCTTTATCAGCAGCGTGAAAAGAGACTAATACAAAGGGAAACAGATAAATATGTGTTAGTGCCCTGGGAACACACATCTCACCAAAGCTGGACCTGGAAGGATGCTGATACTGAACTGAAGGTTTAGGAAACTCCTGTTTCCATGTCATCATAGAGCTTCAGAACTCCTGACCTGCAGTAGTCATTTTATACATGTGATTTTTAGAAAAGAATAATTATCTTAAATGACACTTGTGCTGGACATGGTGGCTCACGCCTGTAATCCCAGCACTTTCGGAGCGCCGAGGTGGGTGGATCACGAGGTCAGGAATTTAAGACCAGCCTGACCAATATGGTGAAACCCCGTCTCTACTAAAAATACAAAAATTAGCTGGGTGTGGTGGCACGTGCCTGTAATCCCAGCTACTCAGGAGGCTGAGGCAGGAGAATCACTTCAACCTGGGAGGTGGAGGTTGCAGCGAGCCAAGATCGTGCCATTGCACCCCAGCCTGGCCAACAGAGTGAGACTCTATCTCCAAAAAAAAAAAAAAAAAAAAAAAGACACTTGCTTACTAGGCTGAGTTAGAAGAGTTATTATAGGCCATGTGAATATGTAATTACCATGATTTATTTGTCAAGTACTGAACAGAGGTGAATTTCCTACATTTCTATTGAAATTGAGAAGTTAGTTGGTATGACTATTAAACAAAACCCAGAGAGCATTATATACGAAATATTTCCTTATAATTGTAATACTGATTTCAAAACCTATTAGGCTTGAAATTTTATTCAATAGTTCCCAAACATTTTTCCCTTCAGTTAATGGATCTCTGCACTTATCTTTATCACTAAAAATATTCTAGGGTATATTTAAAAGGTTTACAAAAGTTCTTGCTGGACATACAAAATTAAGTTCGTTTTTGTGAAAATCTGCTGAAAAGTCCCTTGAAATTAATTGAAAAGTATAATTTGCCTTATGATTATTAATTAGTCTTCAGGTGACCCTTCATGTTCCCAAAGTACTATATAATCAGTAGCTCCTCTGAGCTACTCTTATGTTATTCATTATAATATGCTTTTGATACAATGTGTGATTTACTCATGTTACACCTTTCAATATGTTTCAGTGGATGAAGGGAATAAGATTAGCCCTTGTAATATCGTGTGTTGGGGTCCCCAGGACTACCCCCAGGTTTGATGAATCACTAGTGGGGCTTGCAGGACTCCATATCTAGTCATACAACTGTGATTTACTACAGCAAAGGGATACAAACCAAATCAGCAAAGAGAAAAGACACATGGGATGAAGTCCAGCGGAAACCACGTACAAGCTTCCAAGATTCCAAGATCAGTTGACGGCCCAACTAGAACAAAAGACTGACCTTCCCTAGGCTGGGCGTGGTGGCTTTTGTCTATAATCCCAGCACTTTGGGAGGCCGAGGCGGGTGGATCACGAGGTCAGGAGATCGAGACCATCTTGGCTCACACGGTGAAACCCTGCGTCTACTAAAAATACAAAAAAATTAGCCAGACTTGGTGGCGGGCACCCGTAGTCCCAGCTACTCGGGAGGCTGAGGCAGGAGAATGGCGTGAACCCGCTTGCAGTGAGCCGAGATCGTGTCTAGCCAGGGCAACAGAGCGAAACTCTGTCTCAAAAGAAAAAAAAGACTGACCTTCCTTGAGCAAGAAGGAATTTGGCCAGCAGACAGCCTATGGACTTGAACTGCAGCATTGGCTCTGCCTGGGTCTCCAACCTGGTGGCCTACCTGTAGGTTTTGAACTTGCCAGCTCTATAATCACATGAGCTATTTCCTTAAAATACACCCCTCCCACCCCGTGATTCTGCTTCTCTGGAGGACCCTGAAACATAAACCATATTATTTGTACAAACAATCTAGACACAGTAAGTCACTTTAACCAGTTAAGAGTGGGAATGTAATTGCCCAATGGGTTCATTTTGCCCACTGCCCAGACAGAGCTAATTTATCAAGACAGGGGAATTGCAGTAAAGAAAGAGTTTAATTCATGCAGAGCCAGCTGAGTGAGAGACTGGAGTTTTATTATTACTCAAATCAGCCTCCTGGAATATTCAGAGGATAGGTTTTCTCAAGGATTGTTTGGCAAGCAAGGGGATGGGTGCAGCTGCTTGGTGGGATACAATCACAGCCGTGTGGAAAAGGGTGCTTTGCACACTAAGTCTGCTTCTGGATGGGGCCCACAGGACTGATTGGTGGTCACAGTAGAGTCATCCGTTGTCAGAAATGCACAAATCTGAAAGCCCATATCAAAAGGCCAATCTCAGGTTCTACAATTGTGATATTATCTGCAGGAGTAATTGGGGAAGTTGCAAATCTTGTGACCCCTGGAATAAAGGGTGACCATTGCTGTATGTCTACACCTTAGCAGAATTCAGGCTCCTCTCATCCTCCTAACCTGGTGGTCTTTCATTAGCTTTACAAAGGTGGTTTCGTTTTGGGGAGGGGCTATGATCATTTAAACGGTAAACTAAATTTCTCCCAAAGTTAGTTTGGCCCAAGTCCAGAAATGGCTAAGGGCAGTTTGGAGGTTAAAGGCAAGATAGGGTTTGGTTAGATCAGATCTCTTTCACAGTCATAGTTTTCTTACTGTTATAATTTTTCAATGGCGGTTTCAGGAACACTCCTGAAATCTAAATTCCCAGATGTCTGTCAAGGGCCACGCTTGCAAGCAAGTTTTTCCCAGGACAACAGTATAGGTCTGCTGCATTAACTCCTTGCTCTGTATATTCCTGTCAATGAAGAGCCAAACTCTGGAAAATATTTTGAGAGATTTGTTCTGAGCCAAATATGAGTGCCCACGGCCCGTGACCCAGCCCTTAGGAGATCCTGAGAACATGTGCCCAAGGTGGTCGGGGCGCAGCTTGGTTTTATATGTTTTAAAGAGGTATGAGACATCCATCAAATACAGGTAAGAAATACATTGGTTTGTGGTTTGGTCCAGAAAGGCAGGACAACTCAAAGCAGGGGTGGGGGGTGGTGGGGCTTTCAGGCTATCGGTGAATTTAAACATTTTCTGGTGGACAATTGGTTGACTTTGTCTAAAGACCTGGGATTGATAGAAAGGGGATGCTCTGTTTAAGATAAAGATTGTGGAGACCAAAGTTCTTTTGAAGTCTTACAGTGGCTGCCCTCAGAGACAATATACGACAAATGTTTCCTATTCCGATCTTAGTTATCTCTTTAGGGTTGGGAGGGTCTGGAAGAAAAAGATCTAGCTATGTTAATGGATTCTTGGCCGGGTACCGTGGCTCACGCCTGTAATCCCAGCACTTTGGGAGGCCAAGGCGGGTGGATCATGAGGTCAAGAGATCGAGACCATCCTGGCCAACATGGTGAAACCCCGTCTCTACAAAAATTCAAAAATTAGCTGGGCATGGTGGTGCATGCCCGTCGTCCCAGCTACTTGGGAGGCTGAGGCAGGAGAATTGCTTGAACCCAGGAGGTGGAGGTTGCAGTGAGCCAAGATCCCGCCACTGCATTCCAGCTTGGCGACAGAGCGAGACTCTGTCTCAAAATAAAATAAAATAAAATAATAAATAAATAAATTCTTTATGGATGCAAATTCTGTCATCCACCACCCCCCTCCCCCAACCTCCTCGCAAAGAACAGCTTTGCAGGGACATTTCAAACTATGGCAATGAAACATGTTTTGGGGTAAATTTTAATTTTCTTCCTTGTCTCATAACATTATGCCAGAGTCAGGTTGGAAAGTAAGTCATGATATATAGGGTTAAAGAAAACCCATCTGATGAGAATTTATGATTTGTAGGGCGTGACTCCCCAGACCCCTTAGATGGGAATTTGGGCAAGATAAAAAAATCAGAGTTTAGTCCTCACTCCCATCTCATATGCTTTATATAAACCATAGAAAGAGGGAAAGAAAAGGAGGGAGGAGATTTTCTTATCTCTTTGCTGGATTCTTGTGCATGCATGCCTTGTCTATAAACCAGAGTGAATTTCTTGTGTCCAGAGGGCTGGAGGAGCATTATTTTTACATATAAAACTATTGCCCATAAACTGAGTTCTTTTCCCATTTTGTATTGGTGGCAAAGGAAGAACTTCAAAGCAGAAAAGGCAATCAGGTTTTATTTACTGTCAGGGAACAAAG
This sequence comes from Homo sapiens, assembly GCF_000001405.40. Lineage (NCBI taxonomy): Eukaryota > Metazoa > Chordata > Mammalia > Primates > Hominidae > Homo > Homo sapiens. The sequence continues at coordinate 3,823,208 of NW_018654717.1, forward strand.
GAGGGAGGCTCTGGCTCTCAATGCTCCTTTTTGCTGAACTATGGAAGACATGGGTTTTTTTTTAAGGACTAGGAGCAGGGTGAGAGAGGAATGTTTGCATGTGCCAGGCAGGACTGCAGACATATAGGCTGGATTCAAACATATGTCTTCATACAACACATATACACAAAAGAGTGGAGATTTTCTTTTGGGGGAGAGAATTTTAGCACTGAAGGCAACTTGGGGAACCTTTTCCTGTTGCTCTGGTTTGCGGGGTCTTATCTCCCTCTGGTATCTGATCGGGGTCAAGAAGTTCTGGTGCCATGCCGGGGCACCTAGTTTCTTTAAGTAATTATGCCTACAAATAAAGTGACTAAAGAAAAACAGTAAGAAAAATAACTTTTCCAGTTAATTCATCAGGGCTCCCCTGCTAACAAAATCACAAACAAGCTGAAGCTATTCCTTATACTGTTTTCCTTGTTACCACTAGTACTTCCAGTCTATCGTTTGCTTTTTTGTGTTTTTGGGTTTTTTTGAGACAGGGTCTGGTTCTGTCACCCAGACTGGAGTGCAGTAGCAGCATCATAACTCACTGTAGCCTCAAATTTTTGGACTCCAGCGATCCTCCCACCTCAGCCTCCCAAGTAGCTGGGATTACAGATGTGTGCCACCACGCCTGGCTATTTGTTTTAATTGTTTGTTGAGAGAAGGTCTTGCTGCATTGCCCAAGCTGGTCTTAAACTCATGGCCTCAAGTGTTCCTCCTGCCTCAGCCTCCCAAAGTGTTGGGATCACAGGCGTGAGCCACTATGCCCAGCCTCTAGTCCACCTTAACATCAGACTACATTACTCAAGTAAAGAAGTTAGTGTCAAAAACTATTGATCCAACATTGGAGTCCTTAGATCTGTACTGCTATGCAGTTTCTGTCCTGTGATATTTTATTAGACAGCATAACTTTGAATTTCACCAGAAATTCCATGCATGAATGTGTCCTGAGATACGAAGCATGACAAGAACTGGCACCCAAGTACTTGTCAGGATGAAGATTCTTTGACAGCAGTCCCTCCAGGGCTTGTTCCTCTTCTGCAAGTCATCAGCAAGGAAGATGCTCCTGGGATGGAAAGACGGAGTTTCCAGGAATTGCCAGTGTTTGCAGAATCTGTACTTGTTTATTCCACAGGTCTAGATAAAGGGGCAGGCTTGGATGGGCTTGGGGAAAACACATGACCTTCATTTCTTTTCTCATTATTTTGACAGTGTCTAACCTAGCCTCCCTGCATCTTCCCTTCTGCCTTTTCAGTTTATTTCACATATCACTGTAAGAATTTTTCCATAAACCTGGGTCTAGTCATATTGCCTTACTTCATCCCCACCAGCTCTCTGTGGTCTCCTGAACTCATTCTCAAGGCCTTGGCGCTGTATTGAAAGAACTTCACAGTGTGGGCTCCATTTTTCCTCCCAGCCACATTTCTAGCCACCTCCCAATCAAGGGAAAGTCCGTCATTCCTTTTTTGTCCCAAATCTAAGAATCTATCAGATTCTAAAGTTATATGGGCTTTATAAATGCATATCCGGATGTAACACACTCTTTTCAAGTAAATTTTTATTGAAATACACACACAAAAAAGCACACAAACCATAGATACATAGCTGAATTTTCGAAATGAACATACCTGGGTAAATCATACCCTGATTAAGAATGAACAATTACCGCCTGTAATCCCAGCACTTTGGAAGGCCGAGTCGGGTGGATCACAAGGTTAGGAGATCGAGACCATCCTGGCTAACACGGTGAAACCGCATCTCTACTAAAAATACAAAAAAAATTAGCCAGGCGTGGTGGCGGGCCCCTGTAGTCCCAGCTACTTGGAAGGCTGAGGCAGGAGAATGGCGTGAATCCGGGAGGCGGAGCTTGCAGTGAGCCGAGATCGCGCCACCGCACTCCAGCCTGGGCGACAGAGCAAGACTCCATCTCAAAAAAAAAAAAAAAAAAAAGAATGAACAATTTCCAACATCCCATAAATATCTTCATACTCCTTTCCACCTATTCCTTGCTCCCCTGACTTCCACCACTAATGATGTGTTTTCCTGTTTTTGAACTTTACATAAATTAAATCAGCTGAATGCAGTGGCCCCTGCCTATAGTCCCAGCTACTCCTGGAGGCTGAGGCAGGAGGATCACTTGAGCGGAGGAGTTCAAGATCAACCTGGGCCACATAGTGAGACCCTATCTCTAAATGAATAAATGAATAGATGGATGGATGGAATCCGTCAGACAGCACATACTCTTGCATCTGGCCTCTTTTGCTAAACATAATGTTTGTGATGTTTACCTGTGTTAGTGTGTGTAACAACAGCTGGTTTATTCTTATTGCTGTATTGTATTCCTTTTTTTATCTGTTTTATTTTGTTGGGCTTTGAATTGTTTCCGTGGTTTTGCATAATGCTGCTATAAATATTCTCCTATGTGTTTTGGTAAATGAATGTATGCATTACTGTTGGATATATACTGAGGAGTAAAACTGCTGGGTCACAGCCTGTGCATCTTTTTCACTTTGGCAGATGCTGCAGAACAGTTTCTAAGGGGTTATGCCCATTACATTCCCAGCAGCAAGTAATAACTATTCCACTTCCTTCACATCCTCACCAACACTTGGCCGGCTGCGGTGGCTCATGCCTGCAATCCCAGCACTTTGGGAGGCTGATGGGGGTGGATCACCTGACATTAGGGGTTCAAGACCAGCCTGACCAACATGGCAAAATCCCATCGCTACTGAAAAATACAAAAAAATTAGCTGGGCGTGGTGGAGCACTCCTGTAATCCCAGCTACTTCGAAGGCTGAGGCAGGAGAATCACTTGAACCCGGAGGGCAGAGGTTGCAGTGAGCCAAGATCGCGCCACTGCACTCCAGCCACCTGCGTGATGATGAGACTGTCTCAAAACAAAACAAAACAATCCTCACCAACACTTGGTACTGTAGGACTATTTCATATTAGCCATTTTGGTGGATGTGGAGTGACAGTTCAATATGGTTTTAATTTCTGTTCCTTGGTGACTATTGATTTAGAGCACCTTTTTAATGTATTTATTGTTCATTTTGATTTTTTTTCTTTTGTGAAGGGCTTATTCAAGTCCTTAGCCAATTTTACCCCCAGGAGTTATGTACATGTCCTATATATAAGACATTTTATATATACACATACAGACACGCGCACGTGTATATTTCTTCCATCCTGTGTCTTGCCTTTTCTCTCTCAATGTTTTTTGATGGGCACAAGTTCTTAATTTTTTTTTTTTTTTTTTTTTGAGACGGAGTCTCCCTCTGTCGCCCAGGCTGGAGTGCAGTGGTGCGATCTCGGCTCACTGCAAGCTCTGCCTCCAGGTTCACGCCATTCTCCTGCCTCAGCCTCCCGAGTAGCTGAGACCACAGGCGCCCGCCACCATGCCCGGCTAATTTTTTGTATTTTTAGTAGAGACGGGGTTTCACTGTGTTAGCCAGGATGGTCTCGATCTCCTGACCTTGTGATCCGCCTGGTTCAGCCTCCCAAAGTGCTGGGATTACAGGCGTGAGCCACCGCACCCGGCCTAATATTAATGAAATTCAGTATGTCTAGTTTTTCTGAAGCCTTTTGTGTCCTGTTGAGAAAAGTCCTTGCCCCACGATTAGGAAAATATTCTCCCATCTTAGAAAAATTAGTTTTACCTTTTACATTTAGTCTGAAGTCATATAGAACTAACATTTTTACATGATGTGACGTAGAAATCATAATATGGTTCTCCCATATGAATATCCAATTGTCCCAATTAATTTTAAAAATCCATTATTTCCCCCATTCACTGCAGTTATACTGTTGTCATAAATCAAGTAACTCCATTTGTTGTGGGTCTATTTCTGGATTCTGTATTTTGTACCATCAATCTATTCATCCTTGTGCCAATGCCACAATATCTTAATTATTATAGTTTTATAGCAAGTCTTGATATTGAGTAGTGTAAGTCCTCCAGCTTTGTTCTTCAAGGTTAGCTTGACTATTCCATATTCTTTGCATTTAATATAAACTTTAGAATCTGTTTGTCAAATTTTCACAAAAATAAACTGTCTGAGATTTTGATTGGCATTTCATTTAAACTACACATCTATTTGTAGGAGAATTTACATTTTTATAATGTCAAATTTTTGGAATTGGTACACGTAGTTTATCTTTTTTTTTTTTTTTTTTTTAGACAGAGTCTTGCTCTGTCGCCCAGGCTGGAGGGCAGTGGTGCGTGGTCTCTGCTCACTGCAAGCTCCGCCTCCCAGGTTCACGCCATTCTCCTGCCTCAGCCTCCTGAGTAGCTGGGACCACAGGCGCCCACCACCATGCCCGGCTAATTTTTTGTATCTTTAGTAGAGATGGGGTTTCACCGTGTTAGCCAAGATGGTCTCGATCTCCTGATCTCGTGATCCATCCACCTCGGCCTCCCAAAGTGCTGGGATTACAGGTGTGAGCCACTGCACCCGGCCTATTCTTTTATTTAGACCTTTTTAATTTTTGTAAACATGCTTCATTGTTTTATTGGCCTTGGATAACATATTGTTTAGGATTTTAGCATCTGTGCTCCTGAGAGATATTGTACTAAAATTTGCCTTTATTGTAATATCATTTCTGGGTTTGGGTTGTAAGGCTATGCTGGCCTCATAAAACAAGCTGGGAAGCATTTCTGCTTTTATATCCTATGAAGAGTTTCTTAAGAGTGTAGTTTCAATGAATTCACTGGTGTGAAGCCATCTAGCTCTGATAGTTTCTTTCTGAGAGAATTTTAAATTACACATTCCATTTATTTAACATATATATGATTGAAAATTTTTAACTTGTTTTTCTGCCAGTTTATCAAATTGTAGTTTTCTTTCTTTCTTTTTTTTTTTTTTTTTTAGGTGGAGTCTTGCTCTGTTGCCTAGGCAGGAGTGCAGTGGCATGATCTTGGCTCGCTGCAACCTCTGTCTCCCGGGTTTAAGTGATTCTCCTGCCTCAGCATCCAGAGTAGCTGGGATTACAGATGCCCACTATCATGCCCGGCTAATTTTTGTATTTTTAGTAGAGACGGGGTTTCACCATGTTGATCAGGCTGGTCTTGAACTCCTGACCTCAGGTGATCCGCCCCTGCTCGGCCTCCCAAAGTGCTGAGATTACAGGCGTGAGCCACTGTGCCTGACTCTGAATTGTATTTTTCTGTGAATGTGTACATTTTGTCTAAGTTGTCAAATTTGTTGACCTAAAGTTATTCATAACCTCTTCCTAACAGCTTTTTAATATCTATCTAATGTACAGTCATGTCTCTTTTCCAGTATTTGCAATTTCGGTCTTCTCTGTCTTTTTCTTACCTGTTGTGCTAAAATCACTCCGGAATGTCTTTTCAAATAATCTTTGACTTTGTCGATTTTCTTTATTGTATATTTTCTATTAACCTTTCCTGTTTATATTTTATTTTCTTCTGTTATTCGAATTTAATTTGTTGTGGTTTTAAAAACTGCTTGACATGGATACCAGTAAGACCTGCATTGAAAATACTCTCTTTATAGTGGTGATAGGTTGTATCATTCCATTCACCTTTTTTTTCCCATTGTTCTTTGTGTGACTAAAAGCAAGTATTTTCAAATGAGGTCCCCTTAATAAACTAGGGATATAGACTGCTAATACGAAAATCTCATTTTTTTAGGGGGCAGCCCCTATAGTGTAGAGCTGTGGCCATAATTGTAATTGAGCATGTAACAATTCAAAACATCGCCCAAGGGTCTGATTGCTGAGGACCAACTTTCACACACACGAGTTATTATATGGTAGGAAGTGACTTAGCACCAAGGACAACTTGAGCACCGTGCTATTGGCCTTGGACAATGCCACTTTTTGTGTCCTTTTGAGATTAATCTATTAGGAGTACTGTGTTAGTTTCCCAGGGCTGCTATAACAAAGTACCATAAACTAGGTGGCTTAGAAAAACAGAAATGTGGCTTGGTGTGGTGGCTCACACCTGTAATCCCAGCACTTTGGGAGGCTGAGGAGGGGGATCACTTGAGGTCAGGAGATTGTGACCAGCCTGGCCAACATGGCAAAACCCCATTTCTACTAAAAATACAAAAATTAGCTGGGTGTGGTGGCACGCAACTGTAATCCCAGCTACTTGGGAGGCTGAGGCAGGAGAATTGCTTGAACCCACAAGGTGGAGGTTGCAGTGAGCTGAGATCGCGTCATTGCACTCCAGCCTTGGCCACAGAGTGATACTCTGTCCCCCTCCTCCAACCCCCCCCAAAAAAAAGGAAAAACAGAAATGTATTGCATCACAGTTCTGGAGGCTAGAAGTCCGAAGTTAAGGCAGCAGCAGAGCTATCCTCTCCCTGAATCCTATAAGGGAATGTTCCTTCCTTCCCTTTTCGTAGCTTCTGATAGTTGGCTGTCCATATGTGGAGACCCCTGGCTAGAACATGCATCACCTGAATCTTCTGTCTTCATACCTCCATGTTTCTTCTTTGCATGTCTGTCTCGGTGTTCAAATTTCCTCCTTTTTTTTTTTTTTTTTTTTGGTTGAGACAGAGTCTTGCTTGGTCATCCAGGCTGGAGTGCAGTGGAGAGATCTTGGCTCACTACAGCCTCTGCCTCCTGAGTTCAAGTGATTCTCTCACCTCAGCCTCCAGAATAGCTGGGATTACAGGTACATGACACCACACTCAGCTATTTTCTTTTTGTTTTTGTATTTTTAGTAGAGACAGGGCTGCACTATGTTGGCCAGGCTGGTCTCGAACTCCTGGCCTCCAGTTATTAACCTGCCTCGGCCTCCCAAAGTGCTGAAATGACAGGCGTGACCCACTGCGCCTGGCCAAATTTCCACTTTTTATAAGGACATTAGCATATTGGATTAGGGCCTACCCTAATGATCTCATTTTAACTTGATTACAACAGCAAATACCCTATTTCCAAATTAGGTCACATTCTGAGGTACTGGGGGTTAAGATTCCAACACATCTCTTTGGGGGGATACAATTCAACTTCTTCTTCTTTTTTTTTTTTTGAGGCCGAGTCTTGCTCTGTCACCCAGGCTGGAATGCAGTGGTGTGATCTTGGCTCACTGTAACCTCTGCCTCCCGGGTTCACTCCATTCCCCTGCCTCAGCCTCCTGAGTAGCTGGGACTACAGGTGCCCACCACCACACACGGCTATTTTTTTTTTGTATTTTTAGTAGAGACAGGGTTCCACCATGTTAGCCAGGGTGGTCTCGATCTCCTGACCTCGTGATTACCCGCCTCGACCTCCTAAAGTGCTGGGATTACAGGTGTGAGCCACCGCGCCCGGCCTGCAATTAAACTTATAACAAGGACAATTTCAACGCCTGTTAAGAAGGCTCCACCGGACCGGGCATGTCAATTCATGCCTGTAATCTCAGCACTTTGGGAGGCCAAGGCAGGCGGATCATTTGAGGTCAGGAGTTTGAGACCAGCCTGGCCAACATGGTGAAACCCCATCTCTACTAAAAATACAAAAATTAGCCGGCTGTGGTGGCACATGCCCGTAGTCCCAGATACTCAGGAGGCTGAGGCAGGAGAATCGCTCCAACCCGGGAGATGCAGTTTGCAGTGATCCTAGATTGCACCACTGCACTCCAGCGTGGGTGACAGAGCAAGACCCCATCTCAAAAAAAGGAAAGGAAGGGAAGGGAAGGGGAGAGGAGGGGAGGGGAGGGGAGGCACACGTTTTAGAAAATGGTCAGACGCTAATGCATGTGCTTCTAGAATACACTGAGGCTTCTCTCTGGTACCTCTTATGTTTTAGAGATTTAGTACCTACTCTGCCTCTGTAATGCTCTCGGTTGTCTGCAATGTTTCTTTCTGAATCGCACTTTAGCATTCTCACCCTCTAGGCAGCATCAGTAGATTTTTAAGACCAGAAAGCAGAGGGGCAAATGAACTACTAAGTATAGCTACATTCCTGGGTCAATTAAATCCAAATTGACATCCCTAGTGCATCTGTAATGTACTAACGATGATGGTCTACCTCATAGGGATGTTGTGAGGAATAACAAATTAATGATTGTAAAGCACTCTGAAAATAGAAAAGCCTGAATAAAACCTTGTAATTATTAACGGTCATCATTTGCAACTGACCTAGAAATTACTGTTAAGTTATACCACACATCTTGTAATCCATTATTTTCTTGTAATTTTGGACTTCCAGCTCCAAGCTCTGTAGAGAGAGATTTTATGCTGCTACACTGCAGCTCCCAAAAGCCTGCTCAAGAGAAATGTGAAAGCAACACTATCCTGTGTCTCTCACCTGTAAAATTTTCTTTTTCTTCCGTATAGTTGCGATTGGAGATAATTCTTTTATTTATTTATTTTTGACACAGGGTCTTGCTCTGTTGCCCAGGCTGGAGTGCAATGGCCGAATCATAGCTCACTGCAGCCTCGAATTCCTGAGCTCAAGCAATCCTCCCGCCTCAGCCTTCCAAGTGGCTGGGCCTTCACGCGCACACTACCTTGCCCAGCTAATTTTTTTATGTTTAATTTTTTTGTAGAGGTAGGGGTCTTGCCATGGTGCCCAGTTCCTGATATTCATTCATCCAACTGTTATTTAGTGAGCATGCCAGGCACAGGCCTGGGTTCTGGTGACACAAAGATGAAAAAGAAAAGTAGATGTAGTACCTATTCTCTTGGAGTTAATAGTCTGATCACAGTCGGGCACGGTGGCTCTTACCTGTAATACCAAGCACTTTGGGAGGCTAAGTCAGGTGGATCACCAGAGGTCGGGAGTTTGTGACCAGCCTGGCCAACATGGTGAAATCCTGTCTCTACTAAAAATACAAAAATTAGCCGGGTGTGGTGGTGGGCGCCTGTAATCCCAGCTACTCTGGAGGCTGAGGCAGGAGAACGGCTTGAACCCGGGAGGTGCAGGTTGCAGTGAGCCGAGATCATGCCACGTCACTCCAGCCCGGGCAACAGAGGGAGACTCTGTCTCAAAAAAAAAACCAAAAAGAAACTAATCAGACATAAAGATAAAATAATCAGGTGATTGTAAAAATAATGTACTAAATATGCTGAGATAGGAAATGCAGAAGAAACGAGGAAGGGACAAACAACCCCACCCTGGGATCAGGAGTGTGTGCCAGGGACTGGGTTGACTGGGAGCTGAGGTGAAACACCAGGCCTCACCCTTCAAGGGCATTCTGCTCCCGTCCATCACACTGTCCTAAAGAACTGTGCTCAGAGAAAAACTACTCCCCCATCTTATTTTGCCAGGCGATGGCTTGCCTAAGGTGTTTTTGCTTTCTCTCCTTAAAAAACTGAAAGGGGCCGGGCACAGTGGCTCATGCCTGTAATGCCAGCATGTTGGGAGGACGAGGTGGGAGGATCACTGAGGTCTGGAGTTCCAGACCAGCCTGACCAACGTGGAGAAACCCCATCTCTACTAAAAATACAAAATTAGCCAGGCGCATTAGCCTGTAATCCCAGCTACTTGGGAAGGCTGAGGCAGGAGAATTGCTTGAACCTGGGAGGCAGAGGTTGCGGTGAGCCGAGATCACACCATTGCACTTCAGCCTGGGCAACAAGAGTGAAACTCCATCTCAAAAAACAAAAACAAAAACAAAAACCAACTGAAAGGGAGAGGTACGTCTTTTACCAGACCAAAAAGAACTTGCCATATCTGCTCGGCTATCCAGGGGTTAGGATTAATAAACTGGTAACCAGCCACTAGGAAGATGTGCAATAAGCTGTTGGGTTTCTGGTTTTGCCAGACCTTGGCATTCTCTATGAAGAGTATAGAAGCCCTCCTGCAGGTGCCACTTGATTTTATGATGAATAATGACCCTAATTAGGGGAATATCCTAGTCAGGATTTTGGATTATTCGTCCTGCTGACCTCAATGCCTCTGCATCCCAGGACCCCGGTCTCTCCATCTTCCCGTGTCTGGGTGGTTAAGGTCCTGATTACTTCTCCAGTTCCACGGAGGCAGGAGGTATTCCTTGTTTCTCCTGTGCTTCCAAGAACTGGATTTTTCATCGTGCATCTCAGCCTTTCTTTATGACGGAAGAGTCCGTCATCCAGATCTGCTGGTGAATGGGTCCCTAGTCATAAGCCCTTTTCTGACAACTTCCATTCCACAGCTGGGCGCTCGGCTGTGGCTTTTTCTGTCTCTTCCTGACACATAATTCTGGATTCTAGACATGTTTCAGATGTGTAAATCTGGCCCATTTTCTCCTTCCTTTCCTTCCTGTCTTCAACAAATATTTATGAAGCCCCTCTGATCTCAGCGCTGTGCTTGGCTGTGGCAACACAAAGGTTTAAACTAGCAGTCAGACTTCCCTACACAGCTTTCTCCAGAATCACCAAATATTGGTCGGATCCTTGGAAGGACCCATGCAGCTTCTCAGCGTCCTAGGGTGAAATGCATTTAAAATAAGGTCGAATAAGGCCAGAATTTAAAGTTATCGCTTCAAAAAGTGACTGCTTCCTGGCCACTGACCACAGCAGCTGCCCGCTGGCTCCAACCAGCTTGAGTCTGTCTGTTCTGAATTTTGACTAATTCAGCTTCCTCTCAGCTTCACTCAGCCCTTGTCTCTATGCTATGAGCACAGCCTGACTCAGTGAATGGCTATTCTTTCTGTTCAGCACATCCTGTAATTGTTTCTGGACTCCGTAATAGGCTTTGGTTGTAACCATGAATATTTTTCCAAGGTTTAGTTTGCACAAGGTCCCAGAGGGAAGTAATTTATTCTGTAATTTCTTGGATTTGACCTGTTGGGTCAAAGCTTGAAGAGCTTAATCACATATGTGGATCCCTGCACCCATACATAAATATAGTTCTTACTGCCTGGACCCCAAAGCAGCTTTACCACCTAGACCCATCCGTGTGCTCCCACCAGAGCAAGGTTTTAGCAGAGAGGAGAGGACACAGGGATCACTCCCCTAAGCGTTGCATGAAATCATGGAAAGGATGTGTTCTGAGCTATTGAGCTATCACTGTGAAACCTGGCTCCACTGGTTACCAGGTGAACTTCAAATTCTACTCTGTTAATTGAGTGAGATATAATCCATTTCAGTAGTTTGTTGTAAATATTAAAAAATATAGTAAGCAGGCCAGGTGCGGTGGCTCATGCCTGTAATCCCAGCACTTTGGGAGGCCAAGGCGGGCGGATCACCTGAGGTCAGGAGTTCGAGACCAGCCTGGCCAACGTGGTGAAACCCCGTCTCTACTAAAAATACAACAATTAGCCGGCTGTGGTGGCACATGCCTGTAGTCCCAGATACTCAGAATAATGGCACATCATAAGGCTCTGTAAATATCTGTTAATCCCAAGCAAAGAACAGAAGGCTCTGTCTCCGTACATGTGTAATTCAGAAATCAACTTCTAGTGCCCAGTTTCTTTTTTCTTTTCCTTTTTTTTTGGAGACGGAGTCTCACTCAGTAGCCAGGCTGGAGTGCAGTGGCATGATCTCGACTCACTGCAACCTCTACCTCCTGAGTTCAAGCAATTCTCCTGCCTCATCCTCCCATGTAGCTGTGACTACAGGCACCCCGCCACCACACCAGGCTAATTTTTGTATTTTTAGTAGAGATGGCATTTCATCATGTTGGCCACGATGGTCTCGATCTCTTGATCTCGTGATCTACCCACCTCGACCTCCCAAAGTGCTGGGATTACAGACGTGAGCCACTGCGCCTGGCCTCACTGCCTAATTTCTAACAGGACTTGAAGAGAATCAGGGTTTTTACTTTTTATTTTTATTTTTTAAAAAGCGACTGCTAAGGGAAGCTTGTAAGGCCATACTTCAGTACAATTATGAGGCTAGATTCCAGAGCTGCTAACCTGGCAGTCCTGTGACCTCCCCAAGGACAGATTAATTTAAAGTAGGTGAAGAAGAACAACAATTATTATCTTTTGTAGGACCGAGGAGTGCTTGTTAGGAACAAAATGTACAATCAAATGCTAATAATGGTTCTGCAGTCTGAGCATTTCTGAATAATTTAGGTACACAAATTGCTTTTGGTTGATGTAACTCTGTTTCTTGTGATATTTGCTCCTCTGGGGAAGTGTAAAAGAAAAATGAAACTCTTTCTTAGGTCTGCTATTCAGGGAAAAATGGCATTGCTCTCATAGAATGAGAAATAAGGTAGGAAAAGGGGATGACCCTATCACAATTATTTATATCTATTTTTCCATTTGTATTAGAGATAGCGTTGCTATTAATCAAGGACATTACAATGGCTAGTTTCAAAATATAAATCTTCAGGTGATGTAGCAGAGATATGGTGAGTTCCTTATGAATTGTCACCAAAGGAAGATATAGCCCTAATTGCTCAATTGTTCTAAACAGAGCCAAGATTCTGTGCTTCTTTTATGTACCTAGAGGTTAAGTAGTATGATATTTCTTAGAAATGCAGGTAACAAAATATTGTAATCAAACAACAGTAATACTCTGAATTTGTGAAATATCTTTTTTTTTGAGACGGAATCTCACACTGTTGCCCGGGCTGGAGTGCAGTGGTGAGATCTTGGCTCACTGCAAGCTCCGCCGCCTGGATTCAAGTGATTCTCCTGCCTCAGCCTTCTGAGTAGCTGAGATTACAGGTGCCTGCCACCAGTCCCGGCTAATTTTTTGTATTTTTAGTAGAGACAGGGCTTCACTATGTTGGCGAGGCTGGTCTCAAACTTCTGACCTCGTGATCCACCCGCCTTGGCCTCCCAAAGTGCTGGGATTACAGGCATGAGCTACTGCACCCGGCCAACACCTTTCTTTTAAATAGTTTAAGAGGCTTTCATGTATTTTTTTCCCCTTAAGAAAAATGGAAGCTGGCCACGGTGGCTCACATCTGTAATCCCAACACTTTGGGAGGCCAAGGCAGGTGGATCACCTGAGGTCAGGAGTTCGAGACCAGCCTGGCCAACTTGGCAAAACCCGGTCTCTACTCAAAAACCAAAAATAAGCCAGGCATGGTGGCAGGCGCCAGTAGTCTCAGCTACTTGGGAGGCTGAGGCAGGAGAATCACTTGAACCCGGGAGGCAGATGTTGCAGTGAGCCGAGATCATGCTACTGTACTCCAGCCTGGGCAACAGAGTGAGACTCTGTTTAAAAAAAAAAGAAAGAAAGAGAAAGAAAGAAAACTGGAAACCGGGCACGGTGGCTCACTCCTGTAATCCCAGCACTTTGGGAGGCTGAGGCAGGAGGATCACTTGAGCCTAAGAGCTCGAGACTAGCCTGGGCAACATAGTGAGACCTTGTCTCTACAAAAAGTTAAAAAAAAAAAGATATTTAGCCAGGCATGGTGGCATACGACTGTAGCCCCAACTACTCATGGAGCTGAGGTGGGAAGACCATCTAAGCCTGAGGAGGCTGAGGCTGCAGTGAACCGTGACTGCACTCCTGCACTCTAGCCTGGGCAACAGAGTGAGACTTTGTGTCACACACACACACACACAAAAAGTTAACTAGAAATATTTTCCCTATATGCCTCTATGTTAGGATAAAAATTGAGTGGGCTTTATTGATCCCTGAATTATGGGATTATACACTCTAAGGTATACATGTCCTGCTCCCGTTAGCAATAGCCCTGTTGAATGATTAACTATGGAACTGGAATCTGAAATAGATGGGTTTTAGTAAATTCCTGGCCATTGTGTTGCTTCAGGTGGATCTAGGCAAGTTCTTTAATCTCTGTACGCTTTCATTTATCTCTCTAGGAAATGGGGATAAACATAGAAAAGCCATTTAATTGCTTGGCTAGCACTGTTATCTGTGCCATGTAGCATCCAGTGACCCAGGAGTACCACATGAGCCTCCTCTGTGGTTGGGAGGGGAGTTGATGATGAGAGAATGCAAAAGCTGCTGGTGGATACCCTCAGTGAGAATCTGCTATCCTTCCCTTCCCTACCTGTGCATAGGACGCCCAGCCTTCTCTACCTGCCTCTGGCCTGAGATAGGAGTAGAGATCTGGCCTTCTCAGTGGCTTTGGTGGAAACAGCCACCGCAGCAGCCTCCTTGTAAATGCACATGCCCGTTGATTCCTGTGTCCTATGCAGGTGCCCACATGATTCACTGGGATGGTCGCTTTGCTTTAACATCTTTCACACACCAAAATTTGTGGCCATTTCTGAGAGGATTGCAAATTCAGAGCCACGGCCAATCACTCATGAGACTGTGATGGATCTGTTTTTCCGCCAAGTACCTCTTTTCTTCATTCTCTTGTCTCATTCTTTATTCCTTTGAAAGTAAGGCTTCAAAAAAATGCTCGTCTCCAAAGGAAATCAACGAGCAGAACCAATAAGTTCACAATTTTACACCCAAAATGTTATTCAGCTGTGTACGTTTTTGAAAGCCAGGGCTTTATATTTGTTTATGGTGGGAAAAAAAAATCAGACACACCGAATAAAATGTCCACTATTTCGGCCAGGCACGGTGGCTCATGCCTGTAACCCCGGCATTTTGGGAGGCCGAGGCGGGCAGATCACGAGGTCAGGAGATCCAGACCATCCTAGCTAACATGGTGAAACCCTCTCTCTACTAAAAATACAAAAAAATTAGCTGGGAGTGGTGTCAGGTGCCTCTAGTCCCAGCTACTCAGGAGCCTGAGGCAGGAGAATGGCGTGAACTCGGAAGGCAGAGCTTGCAGTGAGCGGAGATCACGCCACTGCACTCCAGCCTGGGCAACAGCGTGAGACTCCATCTCAAAAAACAAACAACCAAAAAAAAAAAAAACTCCCCTATTTCAACTCCTTTTACCTTTTAGAATAACAAAACAGTTAAAAGATTTTAAGATAAAACAAAATTTCCAATGCTGCCAAGAATGAATACCACCAACTCACATCTGAAATACTGTGAGTTTTCTTCTCTAGGAATACCCGTTTTTCTGTTCACACTCACTTTTTAGGCTCTGACTTTTATGGTATTGCACCACGGCATGGCAGGTCTAATCATTATCACTAAACTGTATTCCTAAACAAATTCAGCAAATTGAACGCACTCAACCAAGGTGGATTTGCAGATGAACGGCCTACTTTTATCTCTCTAAGGATCTGAAGTTAGCGTACTTGCCTTTGGGTTTCTGCCAGCCTTTTATTTGAAAAATTCAAACAGAGATCTCCTCAGTTGACAGTGTATATATTAGGGAGGCTTCTAAACACATCTAAAAAGACAAAGCTGCCAAGAGATAGTAAACAGCATTCAATAAATAGAACCTGCTTGGGTGAATGCCTTCTGGTGTTGTATGTTTTGACGCAGTACTTGGAAGTTTTCCTAGTTGGTTAATAATTGATGAGCTATCTCAACATATTGAGTCACAAACACACAATTTTAAGTGGAAAATTTTCTATTGTCCTTATTCACCTGTCATTAGCCTTGAGTCATAGTATTCTAATGGTGTCCTTCAAAAGTAATCCCAGAGCCTAGGAAGGTATTAAAAGATGGTTTTAGGTGAAGCACCGTGGCTCACACCTGCAATCCCAGCACTTTGGGAGGCTGAGGTGGATGGATCACCTGAGGTAGGGACTTCGAGACCAGCCTGGCCAATACGGTGAAACCCTGTCTATACTAAATATACAAAAAATTAGCTGGGCGTGGTGACCTGTAATCCCTGCTACCTGGGAGACGGAGGCAGGAGAATCGCTTGAACCCGGACAGCAGAAGTTGCAGTGAGCCGAGATGGCGCCACTACACTCCAGCCTGGGCATGACAGAGCTAGATTCTGTCTCTAAAAAAAGAGATCGTTTTAGTATCCTGATGGATTCCACACACTCTTCAAGGAACTCCCTAGGGTTAACAATATCAGATATTTTGAAATTACTTAAAAAAGAGTGAATGGGAATATTTCTAGAAAAACAATTACTTATAAAGTCTCTTATGGGACAAACAAGCAAGAAGATGACTTGGCTTTTATTTTCTTACCATATGTGGGGCTTTTCCTAGTGTTATTCTGGACTGTTCAGCCCAGATTTCTCCCTGTTCTGGGATGGGGCTGGCCATGGCTGGGGAAACAACAGATCCTCCTTTTGTTCCCCGTGGCAGGGCTTTAGCTTCATCAACTGACAAACTTCAGGGGAACCCATTAAACATGCAAGGGGAAAGCCTCATGCAGAGCCACGAAGAGAAAATCAGGAGAGGCAGGTTTTAATTAATCAAAAAAGTAATTAGAGTAGGGTTCAAGTTGGCTTGTGAGGTACATAACATAAAGCAATGTAGAAAACATGTAAGAAGAAGAAGAATGGTGGGTAAAGTAGAAGAGAAGTGAAGGAAAGGGTTAAGATAAAACCAGACATAAAGTTGATGTGAAAACACAGCTACAAAACCCAGGACACCCAAAGAGGGCAGAGTGATCAGTTACACTGAAGACCAGAACAAGTGGGACATGTGGCTATCACCCATCTTCTGACCAGAAAGAAATTCCTCTTCCTTTTTTTTTTTTTTTTTTTTGAGCTGGAGTCTCGCTCTGTCACCCAGGCTAGAGTGCAGTGGTGCGATCTCGGCTCACTACAACCTCCGCCTCCTGGATTCAAGTGATTCTCCTGCCTCAGCCTCCTGAGTAACTGGGACTACAGGTGTGCACCACCACGCCCAGCTAATTTTTATATTTTTAGTAGAGACGGGGTTTCACCATGTTGGCCAGGATAGTCTTGATCTTGTGACCTTGTGATCCAGCCGCCTCAGCCTCCCAAAGAGCTGGGATTACAGGCGTGAGCCACCGCGCCCGGCCCCTCTTCCATTTTTTTATCTGGAACATCTGCAACAGCATATCTACATCTAAGACAGTGACCCGATTTTCTGTGGTTATTCCAGATGATTCTTTCAGCTTAGGCAGAAGAGAGATCACATCTCTAGAGTCAAATAGGTATGAAGAAGGCTTCTTTCTGAGACTCATGACAATCTAGCTTCTTATTCTTCTCTCCTGCTTATCTCTTTAACTCCCTACGTAGGAAGGAGGACCAGGAAAAGGAAATACATACTTATTTTTTTCTCACTGTAGATTAAGTGCTGGGCTGGGTTTTCATGTGTTATTTCACTTATTACTCATAAACCTATGAGGGAGGTGCTATTTTTCCCATTTTATAGATGAGGAATGAGTCCTCAAGAGGTTGATCTATTTCCCCAGTACTGGTATGTGTCAGAGGCTGGGTTTGGACTGGCAACTGACTTAGACAGTAAATCAAATATAGCTATAATTTATGTTTAAATGAATCAACCAGCAAGATCCTTCTAAGTGCCCAGCCCTGGAGATGTTCTGTAACTCCCCCAAGCTCCCCTATGTCCTAACTCTCAGCGTGGAGAAAAAGGGTATGGAAAAATATCTGTGGATAAAAGCAGAGTAAAAAAGACTGATTTTTGTTTTTTTACATTCCAGTGATGTTTCATTTTTCTATCTTATTTTTTTTCCCCTGATCATTGTCTCTTAAGCAATATATATTGGTTAGGATATTAAAAATAAGCAGAAAGCCATTTTATTCTCCCAGCTGCTCTTTATCTAAGCAAGGCATAGCTAGCTAGAGGCAATTTCAATCCATTTTGGGAAAAAAGACTGCCCACCTTGGCATGTTTTTATCCGTAATACCATCAGGCTTTAGATGAATCCAGGACAAAGCATCTTCATTGCATTATATGCAAGGGAAACAGAGTCAAAGTCATCTTAACTTTGTAATGAATAGCATTTTGTCAGAGTGAATATTTGGCTCGTGGGAGGTTAAAGGAGAAACAGGACTAAAATGCTTTAATAGGCAGAGGCTAGCACAGTGAAATGAATGTATTGCTTTTAGGAGAGTCCCCAGTGGACTGCACATAATGAAACTTGCTATCTGATGAGGCTGCCTGGGTGAGGAGACAGGCTGGCAGCTGGGAGCAGCAAACTGAATACAGGGCTGTCAGGAAACCTAAGGTGACCCTCACACCTGCAGCAGAGGTGGCAGGTTTCTCCCCTGCCTGGGTGAACAGATACACAGAATAAATGTGCGAAAGTTCCTGGGGGGTGAAGAAGGGTCACAGGCCTATCAGCAGTGCTGCTTGAGACCATCTATTTTCAGACATGAAAACAGACCATGCAGATATGACACAGACAGGACATGAATGCGAAAGCAGCAGCCTGGCTGTACTTGGATGAACTAGAAAATGAATCACACCAGTTTGCTTCCTGAAGGGAGTGTTTTTTAACAGAGCTAGATGCCCAGGTGAGATATCTGGATGCTAAATAACAAAGTAAATTAATTTGGCACGTCTGACCTCCACCCACAAGGCTACTTATTGGGTGGAAGAAAATTTACAGAGAGAGAGGAGGACAAACAACTCTTTGGAAGACGTGTGGAAGAGACTACTGCTTTTTTTTTTTTTTTTTTGCAGAAGAATATAATTGTTTTGGGAGGGGCTTTTAGTTTTGCCAATGAATTAAAGGGTAAAACATTCCCACAGCCACCAAGATGGAGAGGAACCCAAGAGAAGCACATATAGGAGAGAAATAGAAACATCTATGTAGACAGAACACCAATGAATATCAACTGAGGGGGAGACTGTCCTCTCATCCCTAAGAGGCATATCTTGAAGCTTCCATTTCATTATTCACCCTATTTATGTATCGGTAATATTAAATCATTTCATTAGCTTATCTTATGTTCCACTGGATTGGACGCTGCCCAACAATAGAGACAATTACTGGAGGAAGTAGAAATGGTGCAACCACTTTGGAAAAGAGTTTGGCATTTTCTCCTAATATTGAACGTTGATATAACCTAATACCTAGCGATTCCACTCCTAGATATAGATCAAAGGTAAATTCTTGCCCATATACTTAGAATATAGGTAAGAGAACATCCATAATACTAAAACCTGGATACAAATGCCTGTCACTGAGGATGATAAATAAATGGTGAATTGACCTAATTGAATATTATATAGTAGACAAATGAACCACAGCAATTTTGCAACGGTATGGATAAATTTCTTCAACATACTATTAAGTGAAAAAAATACACATCAAAATAAAATATCTTTTTTTTTTTTTTTTTTTTTTTTTCTGAGACAGGGTCTTACTCTTTTACCCAGATTGGAGTGCAGAGGCACAATCTCAGCTTACTGCAGCCTTGACCTGTGGGGCTCAAGTAATCCTTCCACCTAAGCCCCTGAGTAGCTGGGACTATAGGCGTGCACCACTACGCCTGTCTAATCTTCGTATTTTTTTGTAGAGAGAGGGTTTCGCCATGTTGCCTAGGCTGGTCTAGAACTCCTGAGCTAAAGCAACCCGCCCACCTCAGCCTCCCAAAGTGTTGGTATTACAGACGTGAGCCACTGCACCAGGCTAAATATACATTTTTATAAAGTTAAAAACAACGAAGAATACACAATTTTAAAGGACTACATACATATGGAAAGAACATCTATATTCCTACACACACTTATATATAAAAGCATGGGAATAATGACCAGAGATGTCAGGATGAGGGAGGAAAATCCGAAGAGACCACGTGGTTGGATGTAGGCTGCCAAGGTGGTGGCTTTTGTTTTAGCTGTGGGTTTGCAGGTGATTAATATAAATGACCAAATAATAAATAAAAAGAAGTGATCCGTGCATGGGCCGTTGATGAAAGGGTATCGGAGGATTATTACGATAAGAGAGACACAAAATATAGGACATGAATCAGTACTCTCATAGGTCAGAATCTCTTAAAGTTGATGTATATCTAAGTGTTGTATTTTCGTTGATGATGCAAGCCAGCTTAATGTATTCCCTCCAGGCCACTTAAACCAGGATGACTGCAGTTCAAAGGAGCAATTTAGAAGCATATTTAATGTTGGCCTTGATTTAAAAGAATAACCTAACCAGAATTATTAAATATATGGTGCCACTACACATTAATTCTGGTAGTTACTCTTATCCTCAGGGCTTTGCAGGAGGTCATTGCAGACACAAGAGTGGATGATAAAATGGCAGTGAGGAAGAAAAATAGGACAAAAGATATCTCCTTTCTTTCCACTGGTGGAAACTTACGCTGCATTCTCAGGTTCATGTGAGATTCTCTCTAGCGAGTTCCCTAGCTATGCCAAAGAACTTTTCTCCAGGGGTCTTTGAAGCTCAGAGCTTCAGCTAACACAAGGGAGGGGAGGAGTGTGAAGTGGCTGGATTAGCAAGGTCCTGTGGAGGCAGATGGTGGCCTCTGATGCCTTCTCTAGTGAGAAGAATCTCTTACTTTACAAATAAGCAAGGAAAAACTGGAATCACTCAGGATCTCATGATAGAAGGAGGCTTTTTCTTTCCTTTTGAGAATGATGCCTTAAGTCAACTGACCATCCAGAGATTTCCTACCTCTGCTTACTGGGATCACAATTCCCAAATCCAGGACAGGAAAGACAAATGAGACTGTGAAATAGTTGTTAGGAGATTTAATTTGAAAGTCCATCCCTTGTGCTAAGGCTGAGGAACGAGCATGCAGGCCAAGTGAGGAGAGCAGGAGCACAGCCTGAATGTGCATTCTTCTCTGTCCTGCTAGGAACAACTTCTGAAAATAAAGTTCCACTCTTTTTCTTTCTCTCTCTGTTTTTTTCGAGACAGATTCTCATTCTGTCATCCAGGCTAGAGTGCAGTGGCACAACCATGGCTCACTACAGTCTCTGTCTCCCAGGCTCAAGTGATCCTCCTGCCTCAGCCTCCTGAGTACCTGGAACTACAGGCACACACCACCATACCTGGCTAATTTTGTTTATTTTTTTGTAGAGACAGGTTCTCACTGTGTTGCCCAGGCTGGTCTTGAACTCCTGGGCTCAATGATCCACCTGCCTTGGACTCCCAAAGTGCTGGGATTACAGACATGAGCCACCATGCCCGGCAGTTGTTCCTGTTTCTCAGAATGTCTTTTGCCCTCCTAAACCTGGGAAATATTGCCTATATTTCAAGACCACTTTTATTTTGTTTTTATTTTCTAGTTTTGTAGATGTACGAAGTACAAGTACAGTTTTGTTACACGGATGTATGGTGTAGTGGTGAAGTCTGGGCTTTTTGTGTAACCATGACGGAAATGTACACTGTACCCATTAGGTAATTTCTCATCCATCACCTCCCTCCCACATTCCCACCCTTCCATGTCTATAATGTCTATTAGTTCACTCTTTATGCCAAGACCACTTTAAAAGTCACCTCCATGGCTGGGCATGGTGGCTCACGCCTATAATCCCAGCACTTTGGGAGGCTGAGGCAGGTGGATCATGAGGTCAGGAGTTTGAGACCAGCCTGACCAACATGGTGAAACCCTATCTCTACTAAAAATACAAAAATTAGCCTGCCATAGTGGTGCATGCCTGTAATCCCAGCTACTCAGGAGGCTGAGGCAGGAGAATTGCTTGAACCTAGGAGGCGGAGATTGCAGTGAGCCAAGATCACGCCAGTGCACTCCAGCCTAGGTGACAGAGTGAGACTCTTGTCTCCAAAAAAAAGAAAAAAGAAAAAGAAAATCACCTCCAGTGTGGAGTCTTCCCAGGCTACCCCCAACTGAATTGTTTGCTCCCCTTGTGCTCTCATGGCAGTTGATTTCTTCCTCTACTTTAGCACTTAATGATCTGTCTTCAAGAGTGTTTCCCCACTAGGCTGTGAGCTCCCTGGACCATAGGCAGTGTCTCAGTCCTCAGTATATTTTAGCTGCCCAGCCCAGAGGACACACAATAGAGTATTGTTACTGAAACACTAGGGGTTCGGTCTAGGTCCTGCTGCTCACTACATACAAAGCCAATCACTGAGACAACGAGTATTGCCAATACAGAAACGTTTAATTAGGTGTTGCAGCCAACAAGAAGGGATAGCACTCTCAAATCCATCTCCCCGACTGACTAAAATTAGGGGTTCATATGGCAGGGAAGAAATGTAACTATGTGTGGAGAAACAGGAACTTGGGAGGGTTAAGGAAACAATCATGATGAATGAGGGGCCTGGTGTCTTATTTTCTGAATGCAATGATCTGGTGAGTTGCAGCTCTTTGAAACTTTTTGGGAGGCTTGGAGTCTCATGATCTGGATGTGATGATTTGGTAAGTTTCAAGACCAGAAGGTAAGACCAGAAGGGTCAATTTCTGTGTTTATCCAAAAAAACACAAAAACAAACAAACAAAAAAACTATCTGTAGAACTATTAGGTAGATTTCAGTCTCATGAAACAAATCTATCTTTTTTAATTTAACCGGTATCTTAAAACTATACTTAAATTTTCTCATATTAAAAAAACAAGTAAATTATGATTTAGAAGATACACACAACTATAAATGTTATTAAGAACCGACCATGCACCAGGTATTGTGGTCTGTTTGCAGGATACAAAGTAGAATGGAATATAGTCTCTGACTTCTGGAGTGTTACAATTTAGTGGGGAGACAAATAATTAGAGGAAAGTGAGCTGAGCTACTTTACAAGCATGAACAAGGCAGTGTGGAGGCAGAGAAGGATGTGTTTACCTCCTACTTTGTTTTAGGCAAACTAACAACAGTGAATCCTTGAGTGGGGGAGGTAGTTAAGGGGACTAATTTTGGAGCGTTTAGGTCTAGAATCATGGTGAGGAGAATACAGAAAGATACTGCCAGCTAATTAAGGGGAACCTACTCTCTTTTCTTGCACTATGGCAGTCCTGGAGATAGCCATTTCTAAAAGAAAAAAATGACCACTCCTTCAGCTCACTAGTTTGACCCAAAGTTGACAACCCCTATTTTGAGGGACCATAAGATAGAAAAAGCTTTTTTCCTGTAAAGTGAGTCTGATTCTACACAACCCAGTTGACAACAGCAAGGCTTCTACATCACTTTGTCAGGGAGAGGCCAGTAATTTTAGGGTGGCAACTGATCCATTTACACAATGAGAGAATTTCCCTCATGCACAAAGTGTTCCATAGCAATTTGCGGTCTTACAGAATGCCATTTATAGTTCCTACCATGACAGGAAAATTAGGGGGCAGACTGATGATTACTCTGACTGCAAACTGAAGGATGCATGTTGGTCAACTGGTCGACTTTCCCTTTCACACCAGCAAGGGACTGGCAGCTGGGTTTTCTATATTTGAAGAAGCAAAGCAAAAAGTCCAGTCAGTTCCCTGGTTAGATATCATCTTTCAGCTTGAAGGTGTCTTCATCAGCTGCTAACTATAGCCTAGGGTCTGAAGTCATTACCCAGAATACTACTTCATCTGCATTAAAAAATATCTTACATGCCACTTCAGGGAGATAACCTGGGCTTGGAAAGCTAGGTCTCAACGAAAACGAGGTCTTCGCCGGGTGCGGTGGCTCTCGCCTATAATCCTAGCACTTTGGGAGGCCGAGGTGGGCGGATCACGAGGTCAGGAGATCGAGACCACCCTGGCTAACATAGTGAAACCCCGTCTCTACTAAAAAATACAAAAAATACAAAAAATTAGCCGGGCATGGTGGCGGGCACCTGTAGTCCCAGCTACTCAGGAGGCTGAGGCAGGAGAATGGCGTGAACCCAGGAGGTGGAGCTTGCAGTGAGCCGAGATTGCGCCACTGCACCCCAGCCTGGGTGACAGAGCAAGACTCTGTCTCAAAAAAAAAAAAAAAAAAAAAGAAAACGAAGTCTCCAAAGAAGCCTGATGATATTGCATAGAGCTCCTCATTGTCATTTCCAAACAGTTGATTTAAATGTTTAATTTATTCTTGCTAAATACTTGGATGGCTCCCAATTTGCACTTTGCAAGGAAGACATAAACACGCTCTTCCTGTCTGGTTTGTGTGGAGAGGTATTCATAGCAGGACCTCTTTGTTGTGCTCGGCTAATTATATAGTGATGGATGTAAATTGCACTGTAGGCTTTCAGGCTCACAGGCTCACGATCCATTTCTTCAACCTAAAGGAGAAGGACTGAGAAAAATATTAAGAGACTCCAACCATATCTTTATCTATGAAAATGGAGTCTAAATGAGTGAAATAACCCTTCAGAAGAGCAGAAAAGGTTTCAGAGAAGAGGATACCAGTGGTGGCTCCTGCTCAGACCCTGCCCTGATTTTATATAATAGCAGAGGGTTATGAGAAAAATGTTCTGTGAGTCTCACTTAACATGCAAAGAAGAATGGATACTTTTGCTTGCCGGGGTAGCAATGTCCCTAGTCTCTGAATGTTTTGTTCAGAGATAACTAAACGACAGTAATAGTAATACCTTACCTTTGAAAGCCGTGTTGATGTTGTATGCCTTTCTTACATGCTACCTCCTCAAATTGTCCAGTAACAAGGTTATTGAATAGGTCATTTTATTGTTACTGAAACACCAGGGGTTTAGTCTAGGTGGTGCTGCTGGCTGCACAGAAAGCCAATCACTGAGATGACAATTATTGCCAAAGAAGAAGGCTTTAATTGGGTGCTGCCAAGGTGATGGGAGCTGTCTCAAATCCACCTTCCTGACCAACTAAAACTACGGGTTTATATAGCAGGGAAGAAATGTAACCATGATTGAGAAAACAAGAACTCAGGAGGGGAAAGGAAGCAATCATGATCAATGAGGCATCTGTCATCTCATTGTCTGGATGTGGTGATCTGGTGAGTTTCAGTTCTTTTTGATACTTTTTTTTTTTTGAGAGGCGTGAAAGTTGTTTTCTGAGGAAGGCACTCAGATAAATAGAAGTTTCAAGCTTTAAGATTAGAAGGATCAATTTTGATGTTTATAAAAAAAAAAAAAAACCACCAAAAACCTATCTATAGGACTATTGGGTCAGTTTCATTATTAACACCGACATGAAATTAAAAACCCAGGAAAGGCTAATGATTCAGCCAAGCCTCCCTACCAATTAGTTGTAAAGCAGACAGATCCCAATATCACTTTTGCCATTAGTCTCATGCTGATGTGGCCGTAGCTTAGCATTCTATTAATATGATTTGTAATTTGGTTTGCAGGTTCATTTTAAGTAGGAAGGTTTTTATTTACGACTTTCTCGCTTCCTTTCTCTCCGTTGCATCTTGGATGCTGAGAAAGTAAAAATTAGTTCAGACAAGAAAAGTAAAATACCTGCCTGGCTACTCATCACGCTGGGATAGCTGAAACAGATAAGGCCTGCTGCCATGTTAACAGCAACATACGTTCTTCCCAAGGACACTCTGCCACTGTAGTGTCATAACAACCCACTTTTTTGAAGGGGTCTTTCTTTTACTCATTCACTGAAAAACCTTGTTTTCTAAAATCATAGATTGTCTGAAATCTTGCAGTTGGAAATTATATCAGTAAGAATGAAGCATTTCATTTTTGCCTGGAAGATCTGAGTCACTTTGCAACAGAGAAGCAGCTTCGGTTACCAACCCAGATGGAGAGCTGTAGGTAAAGGTTTCTGAACGCAGGATTTCACATTCACTTAATTTCTCAGCTTCTAAAGAAATAAGACCCCGAGTCCACTTCACAGTCCTGACCTCATGTCTCAACACAGCCCTACTAGTGTTGAGGCTATTGAAACATTGCCTCCTTCCACGATGAGATACCATGTCACACCTATTAGGAAGGCTATAATGAAAACCACAGATAGCCAGGCATGGTGGCTTATGCCTATAATCCCAGCACTTTGGGAGGCAGAAGCAGGCAAATCACTTGAGGCCAGGAGTTCGAGACCAGCCTGGCCAATGTGGCAAAATGCCATCTCTACAAAAAATACAAAAATTAGCCGGGCATGTTGGTACATGCTTGTAATCCCAGCTACTTGGGAGGCTGAGACATGAGAATTGCTTGAACCCAGGAGGCAGAGGTTGCAGTGAGCCGAGATCAAGCCACTGCACTCTAGCCTGGGGGGCAGAGTGAGACTCTGTCTCAAAAGAAACAAACAAACAAAAAACACAGATAATAACAAATATTGAAAGGGATGTGGAGAAATTGCAACCCTTATACATTGCTGATAGAAATGAAAAATGGTGTAGCTATTGTGGAAAACAGTTTGCAGTTCCTCACAGAATTAAACATGGAATTACTACATAATCTAGAAATCTCACTAGGATGTATATACCTAAGAATTGAAAGCAGGAACTCAAATAGATATTTGCACACCAGTGTTCATAGCATCACTATTCCTGATAGCCAAAAAGGTGTAAACAACCCAATGTCCATCACGGATGAATGGCTAAAGAAAATGTGGCCTACATTTATACCAAAAATTTATTGAGACTTATGAGGGAAGGACATTCTGGAACACGCTATGACATGGATGAACTTTGAGGACATTATATGCTAAGTGAAACCAAGCAGTCACAGAACAGACACTGTATGATTCCACTCATGAGGTTCCTAGAGTAGTCCAATTCACAGAGACAGAAAATAGAATGGTGGATGCCAGAGGATGGGGCTGGGGATGGGGAATGCGGAGTTAATGTTTAATGTGTACACAGTTTCAGTTTTGTAAGATAAAGAGTTCTGGGGATGGATGGTGGTGATGGGAGCCCAACAATGAGAATTCACTTAATACCACTGAACTGAGACTTATAAATGGTTAAGATGGCAAGGAAAAAAAAAAACCCTCCAAATCTCTTCATTTGAATTCCACCTACACTCCACTCTTTCCCTAATCCTAAGCTAACTCTATTTTTTCCCTTTGTTGGTGAGACACCCACAGTTCCTCAGGGAGTGCTATCTCCATCATAGCAATGAGCCAATAAACCTAACTTTGTTGGACTACAGGTTTGTCCCAGGTGGTCCTAGGTTGGTTGGATTCAGAAAGTGTTCACTGTTCTCCATCTAGCACACCAGATTTTATTATCACGGAATTTGGGGAATACTGGCACATGGTGACCTTGGGGGATATTGTAGATCCATTTATGGAGCCAAGGGGAAAACTTAACTCAGTCTCCAGTTGAGGACTGGTTTTTTCTCTCCTCTCCCAGGGCCCTGAGTTTCTACAAAGCCATGGCTCCAGGCAGAGAGGGTGGCCAGTGACTGCATTTAGCATCCTCTCAAGAGCAGAGGAGCCCGCCCCAGTCCCTGGGCTCTCCATGCACCAGGCTCCCGGCCCGCCCAGGGGCAGCACTCTTCATCCTTGCCATTCTGAAGGAGCTGACTCCTCCACCACCACTGCTGGCTTCCTGCCCCTGATCCCAGCCGGCCTGCGGCTTCTATCTCTTGCAGTATTCTGGGTCCTGTTCTGTTTCTGGTCCACAGAGATATTTATGCTTTTGTTGTTGTTGTTGTTTTTACATTTCTATGCCTATATGGCTATCATTGCTATTGGTTTTGAACAGGGGATGACAGTGGGGAATAGGGAGTGCAGTGAAACATGAAGACACTGTGTTATCTGTGGGGTCCTAATTAGGGAAAAGGAGTCAGGCAGGTAGGACTGGGGAAAAACCAAAAGAGAAAGCAGATAAGCTATAAGTCTGCCTTTCTTTATGGTTCAGGATGTGTAGCCCTCCTGCACCCAACTTATCACCAGACACCTTAAAGTTAGCTGCCTGTTACCTTGCCATTATCAATCAGCCCAAGAACCATTCCATAAAATCTCCAACAAGCCTTTGTTTCCTGGCAGTCAGCTCCTGTTCGCTGATTCTGCCCATTGCAACCTTGCAACATATTTTCCAACTTTCTCTAATAAATCTGCCTTTCTTTACCAACAACTGTTTCAGTTAATTCTTTTTTTTTTTTTTTTTTTTTTAGACAGAGTCTCCCTGGTCACCCAGGCTGGAGTGCACTGGCACAATCTCGGTTCACTGCAACCTCTGCCTCCTGGGTTCAACTGATTCTCCTGCCTCAGCCTCCCGAGTAGCTGGGATTACAGGTGCATGCCACCATGCCCAGCTAATTTTTTGTATTTTAAGTAGAGACGGGGTTTTACCATGCTGGCCAGGCTGGTCTCAAATTCTTGACCTCGTGATCCACCTGCCTCAGCTTCCCAAAGTGCTGGGATTACAGGCATGAGCCACCACATCTGGCCTTGGTTAATTCTTTTACTCCTGTGCCACTGGCCCAGATAGATGCTGCTCACCTGTAACATCATCTTGACCAGAGGTTCTGGATTAAAAATGTAAGTACACTAAGTTTTAAAAAGACTATCGAGCCCCTCAGCCATAGGCATTTAAAATAAAAATACCAGGCTGGGTCCGGTGGCTCATGCCTGTAATCCCAGCACTTCGGGGGGCCGAGGCAGGCAGATCACTTGAGGTCAGGAGCTGAAGACCAGACTGGCCAACATGGTGAAACCCTGTCTCTACTAAAAATACAAAAATTAGCCGGGTATGGTAGTGCATGCCTTTAATCCCAGCTACTGGGGAGGCTGAGACAGGAGAATTAGTTGAACCTGGGAGGCAGTGGTTGCAGTGAGCCGATATTGCGCCACTGCACTCCAGCCTGGTCAACAGAGCAAGATTCTGTCTCCAAAACATACATAAATAAATAAAATAAAATAAAAATACTACTAAGCTGTAAAATAAGTCACAAAACCATCTAACAGCATTTCAATTTAAATGAAGACTACTTCAATTTTTTTTTTAAAGAAATATCACCTCTCAAATTCTCCCATTTTCTTTTCTGCGTCTGCTTTGCTGGTTTCCCCACTGTGTACAGAGTGCGTCCACTCAGTAACCCAACACACAGCCACCATAAGCCAGCGACCACAGGTGGAGGAAAGCCACAGAAAACCTGCCTTTCTGGTCCTTCTGAAATGACTGACTTAGGTGTCAGCTTCATTGTCCTGCTCTGCCATAATGGTGACTGTTTCCTCTTTTAAAGCTGGGTGACTTTTAGTCAAAATCCTCTTTTGAGATTTGTTTGCTAAGGAAGATTCAGTAGGAAGAAATGGACCTTGCCTCTTGCCTCTTGGGTTTCCCAAATCTTACCAGAATCTCTACAGCTTTTTTTGTTTGTTTGTTTGTTCTTCAAGATAAGATCTCGCTCTGTCCCCCAAGGTGGAGTGCAATGGTGCGATCTTGGCTCACTGCAACCTCCACCTTCTGCTTTCAAGCAATTTTTGAGCCTCAGCTTCCAGAGTAGCTGGGATTACAGGTGCCCACCACCACGCCCGGCTGTTTGTATTTTTTAGTAGAGATGGGGTTTTGCCATGTTGGCCAGAATGGTCTCGAACTCCTACACTCATGTGATTTGCCCTCCTCAGGCTCCCAAAGTGCTGGGATTACAGGAGCAAGCCACAGGGCTCAGTCGAATCCTTTGATTTTTTAACAGTGAGCATTTCGGCTAGGTAGATGGAGAAATAATTTTCTGTGGAAATCTTTCAAGAGACCTTAAGTCACAAAGAAAATTGATTTACTTATTTGTGGCTGGGCGCGGTGGCTCATGCCTGTAATCCCAGTACTCTGGGAAGCTGAAGTTGGCGGATCACGAGGTCAGGAGATCGAGACCATCCTGGCTAACACGGTGAAGCCCCGTCCGTACTAAAAATACAAAAAAATTAGCCGGGCGTGGTGGCGGGCCCCTATAGTCCCAGCTACTCGGGAGGCTGAGGCAGGAGAATGGCGTGAACCCGGGAGGCGGAGCTTGCAGTGAGCCGAGATCCCTCCGCTGCACTCCAGCCTGGACGACAGAGCGAGACTCCTTCTCAAAAAACAAACAAAAAAAAAAGCAAAGGAAAATTGATTTACTTATTTGTAAATCTGGAGGAGGGAAAGAAAATGACAAGTGATTTTGATTCACTGGCTTAATTACTTTCACCAGTTTGTAATTCTGTGTTAACAAGCACTAATGTGATGGTCCTGTGATCCTTTTTCTCTTTTAACAAAGCACGTTCTGCGTAGCTCCCATTGTTCTTCTGTTTTTCTCTGGTGTTCATTTATGACTTTCATGATATACGTTGCTTGTGGTTAAATTTATGTCACTAAATAATACCACTGTAAATTAGGTGCCGCTATTCCCTGGTCTTGTTTAGATCTCATCAGTGGAGCTCTGTTAACTCAGAGATATTTTCAGTCGCAGATAAATTGCTCTGTTCAATTTGCATTTCAGTAATTTTCTGATTTAGACATGGGGTTGCTAATGGGCATAATAATTCAGGAAGGCGATTAAGGGGAGGGAATTTCCTGAAATGCTTGCATCTTTAGCAACACCCCAAAATAGTCTCTTTTTTTTCACTGTGCGGTATCTTCTTACATGTGCATAAGTAAAAGTTAATTATCTTTATAAAGTGGTGTTGGAAATGGTGTTGGCTATTTTCCTTTCTCTGTGCTATAGCTTGCTGTCTATTTGAACTGAAATTGGTTTGGTAAGAAGTTTTGCCCAAGGGGTTCATTTAATAGCAGCATTTCTGATTTGTCATAGTTTGCTGGAATACATGGACTATTAAAACCTCAATTCCAAAGGCAATTCTTAGAAGGAAAGCATTGGTCATTAATTTTGCAGCTTGATTTCTGCCTGTGGACTTTCAGGTCCCCCTTCTTCCGTGAAGTCTTTCCTTACAATTTCCTGTGTGTTTATATTGTTCTTCCCACCTTTTCAGAGTATGAGCTTCTTGAGAGAAGGGCTTTGTTTACTTATAGGACCTAATCGAGAACTAGACAAGCAGTAGGCACATGGCAAATTAAGTAGAATTATATACCTAAATCTTAAAACATAGTACTTGTCTAAAGAAGGAGGAGGAGGAAGGGGAGGAGGGGAGGGAAGAGAAGAAACACACACACACACACACACACACACACACACCCAGTCCTGAAGTGGTATATTGATTTGTTGCTTTGCTTTCAAAATGCCAAACAAAATGATCTGGGTGATTTATTTCCATTATTGAATTTATGTATTTGTATGTAAGGTGTGGGAAGCACTTAATCAACTGTCCTGACAGGTTGTTTTTGCCTTCTGAAAACAGAACTTTTAAACAACAACAAAAAATGGTTCCATTAACTGATATGAAATTGCTTTAACCCTATGCACTATATAAAATGTGATATATATATGTGTGTGTGTGTATGTGTGTGTTTCTGTATTCATACACACAGTATTCAAATTATAAAAGAGAAACAAGCTTGACTATTATCTTTTAAGATGCATTTCTCTCTTTTAGAAAAATAAGTCATACATGTTTATGAAAGAAAACACTTTCATGAATAAAACAGCAACAAAAAATCTCCCCAACCCACTGGAAATACTTCTCAGAAACAATCATTATTAATGGCTTCTTATATAGCATTCTGGAAGTGCTTAATGGACACACTCACATTCCATAGACTGTTTTGCTCATTACTTGAATGTTGTCTATAATGGACATTTTTTTCATATCAGCAAATGTGGTTCTCTCTCTTATAATGGCTGCAATGTATTTCCATGTAATAGGTGTATCAAATTTATTTCACAATTTCCTGTTGATTTAAATCTAATATTGACTATTATAATGAAAGTGGTGAGTGAACATCCTGTTGTAGATGTATCTTGGCACATGTATGTAGGATATGTTTGTTTTAAATGTTGGTAGATATTCTCAATAGAGAATGTGAAGCTACACTTCCACCAATAGTATCTAAAAGTGTCCGTTTTCTTGCATCCTCACCAACAGTAGGTTTCATCAAGATTTAAAATTTTTTCAGGTCAGTCATTCTACATTCCCTTAGTTGATTTACACTCCCACTCTCATACATAATCATGTCATGCATTCTCGTCCTGAACGTGATGTTCACTCACAACTTTTTTTTTTTTTTTGAGACGGAGTCTCGCTCTGTCGCCCAGGCTGGAGTGCGGTGGCGCGATCTCGCCTCCCTGCAAGCTCTGCCTCCAGGGTTCACGCCATTCTCCTGCCTCAGCCTCCCGAGTAGCTGGGACTATGGTCGCCTGCCACCACGCCCGGCTATTTTTTTGTATTTTTAGTAGAGATGGGGTTTTACTGCATTATCCAGGATCGTCTCGATCTCCTGACCTGGTGATCCGCCCGCCTCGGCCTCCCAAAGTGCTGGGATTACAGGCGTGAGCCACCGTGCCCGGCCCACAACTTTCATTATAGTAGTAAATATTAGATTTAAATCCATATGAAATTGTTAAATAAATTTGATATGCCCATTAACATGGAAATACTTTGCAGCCATTAAAATGAAGGAGAGATGGGTGAAATTTGGTGTCGCTATGGTTTTGAGTTCTCTTTCTTTAATTATGAACAATGTTGAACATATTTTTTGGCTAGTATGTATTGTCATTTATATTTCTTTTGTATGTGAACTCTCCATATCGCCTTTGTCCATTTTAATCAATTGTTTTCTCTCATTGATTTGTAAGAGTTTTTGTGTATAATGAGCAAACTAGTCCTCTGTCATATTCATTTGTGTATTATTCAAAAAAATATTTATTGACCGGCTACTATGTTGCAGGTGCTGGAGACAGAGCAATGAACAAAACAGGTAAAATCGTCACTCTCATGTAACTTACATTTATTAGGAAAAGACAGAAAATAAGTAAGATAAATAATCAAAATAGGTAGTATGTAATATAGATGGGGAGATATGGTGAAAGCTTGAGAAAGGGGCCTTCTGATTGCTTCTACTCCCTCAGCAAGAGAGGAAGCAACATCATTTGCTGAAGGTGAAGGTCAGGGAGAAGATGGTGGAGGTTTCAGGAGAGAAGAGAACGCGTGATATGATTATGTATGAGAGTAGGAGAGTAAATCAACTAAGGAAATGCAGAGTGATTGTCCTGAAACACTGAGGACCCACTTGAGGTTATTAGTCACGAGTTAATGTATGTTAAGTCCCCAGGGTTGAGGGTACTTTGGTTGGTTGGTTTTGTTTTTTGCAGCCAAATTCAACTGCACAGCTACACACAGGGGGTTAACAGAAGGATTTAATTGAGCTTGGGATTTGCCAGGTGTATTCATTTGTTAGGGCTGCCATAAGAAAATAACACAGACTGGGCAGCTTAAACAACAGAAACGAATTTTCTCCTAGTTCCGAAGGCCAGAAATCCAAGATCAAGATGCCACCAGGGTTGGTTTTTCCTGAGTGCCATCTCCTTGGCTTGTACATGGCTGTTTACTCACTGTGTCGTCACACGGCTTTTCTCTGTGTGTCTCTTCCTGGTCTCATAAGCACACCAATCATATTGGATTAGGGTCCCATCCTCATTACCTCATCTAACCTTAATAATCTTCTTAAAGACCCTATCTCCAACAAAAGTCATGCTGGGAGTTAAAGCTTCACTGTATAAATGTTGGTGGTAGCTGGGGAGACTCGAGTCAGTCCATGACACCAGATGAGTTTGAAGAAGAAAGAGGGAGCAGGTAAGTGGAAGCTCAGTGCAAAGGAGTGATTGAAATTATGGAGCCTGGGATTTAAGGTAAGGAAATGAAATACCCAAGGTGAGTAAGAGACAGTAGGTTTAATGCTTCTCCTTATCTCTGTGGTAAGGGTCAAATAATTGTTCACGAGAGAGTATTAGCTGGAAACACAGGAGTGGGTGATTGGAGAACAGAGTGCTTACTGTTGACTTGTAGAGGGATGGCAGTTATTGGTAATAACAATATTTGACCATGGGAGAGTCAGTGGCTGAGACAAGGCCAGGGACAAGAACACTGGGAGGAAACAGGTCAAATAATCCAGATGCCAGGTTGTTACAAGGATCATCATTGAAACCATGAACAGTTATGAGAGGAGTAGTGTTGAAAAGAATGGAAATGGACCACGACCTCAAAAATCTTCAAGAAATGGAGGGAAGTGGCCTGGGACAGTGAGTGACTGTACTGAAGAGCGTTGTTCTTATGACGTGGCCGCTGAGCTGGGGTGCTGATGGCCCGGCCACGGTCATGAGAAGGGGGAGGACAC
Source organism: Homo sapiens (assembly GCF_000001405.40). Lineage (NCBI taxonomy): Eukaryota > Metazoa > Chordata > Mammalia > Primates > Hominidae > Homo > Homo sapiens. The sequence goes on from NW_018654717.1 coordinate 3,856,868, forward strand.
CAACCTGATTTCCAGGACTACAGGTTAAGTGGGGGAAGGAGAGAAAATAGAGGGCCCTGGACAGGGATTTGAGGAAGCAGTGTCCTCAGAAATAGCCAGGTTGCAGTAAGAGCAGAAAGTAGATGGAAATGTCCAGAGAGGAAATCAGACGTGGTGGGGTTCTGCTGCGAACTCAGGGCACAGGAAAATTGTTTTAGAAATTAGGGACAGGTGGGCCAGGCGCGGTGGCTCATGCCTGTAATCCCAGCACTTTGGGAGGCCGAGATGGGTGGATCACGAGGTCAGGAGGTCAATACCAACCTGGCCAAGATGTTGAAACCCCGTCTCTACTAAAAATACAAAAAAAATTAGCTGGGTGTGGTGGCAGGTGCCTGTATTCCCAGCTACTCAGGAGGCTGAGGCAGAGAATTGCTTGAACCCAAGAAGCGGAGGTTGCAGTGAGATGAGATCGCACCACTACACTGCAGCCTGGGCGACAGAGTGACACTCGGTCTCAAAAAAAAAGAAATTAAGGATGGGTGAGGTGTTGGGTCAGAAATGGGATATAAGGACCGAATATGAGAGTAAGAGTTCAAGTAACAAGGGGAGTCTGGGTTTCTTGAGGTGATTGATCTGAACAGGGATAAAAGTCATGACGGAAATTAGCACTGATGATTCCAAGGAAGACACTGGAGGTGAAGCTGGGAGGGTGGGGAGGAGGGTGCTGGGAGACTGAAGCTAGTAGAAGAGGGAGCTGTGACATGAGCAATTAGAGTTTTGGGGTGGTTTTTAAACTCCTGCCGACGGAGGTGTAGAGGCCAGGTGAGAGAGGCAGTCATATGTGTTGCAAATTCTTTTTTTCTCAGATTGTCTTTTGACTTTATTAAAATATATTTATATTATAGGCTGGGCACAGTGGCTCACACCTGTAATCCCAGCACTTCGGGAGGCCGAGATGGGTGGATCACAAGGTCAGGGGCTCGAGACCATCCTGGCTAACATGGTGAAACCTCGTTTCTACTAAAAATACAAAAAATTAGCTGGGTGTGGTGGCGTGTGCCTGTATTACCAGCTACTCAGGCGGCTGAGGCAGGAGAAATCGCTTGAACTCGGGAGGCGGAGGTTGCAGTGAACCGAGACTGCGCCACCGCACTCCAGCCTGGGTGACAGAGCAAGACTCCGTCTCAAAAAAAAAAAAAAACCAGAAAACAAAAAACATAATTACATTATATATTAATACATATTTACGAGGTTTTACTTTTTTGTTTTTTTTAATTTGAGACAGGGTCTTGCTTTGTCATCCAGACTGGAGTGCAGTGGTGTGAACATGGCTCACTGCAGCTTCAAACTCCCGGGCTCTAGTGATCTTCCCAACTCTTAGCTTCCTGAGTCGCTGGGAATACAGGCATGCGCCACCACGCCTGGCTAATATTTTGGAGTTTTTATAAAGACAGGGTTTCACTATGCTTCCCAGGCTGGTCTCAAACTCCTGGACTCAAGTGATCTGGCCACCTTGGTCTCCTAAAGTGCTGGGATTAAAGGCATGAGCCAACATGCCTGGCCACCATTTTTACTTTTTATAATGTCAAACTTATCAATCTTTTTTTCTTTATGGCTTTTAGTATATTTTACGCTTAGGAATTCTTCCCTAATCCAAAATTATAATTACTTTTTTAAAAAAATAAAAACATTTTTAGATGATTTGTTTTAGTATTTTGATTTTCCATCTGGAGTCTACTTTGGATAAATGAGTACGCAGGAATCTAAATCTCTTATTTTTTTCTACATGGCCAGCTTAATGCTCCAACACCATGTTTTGAAATACCCCAAGTTGCCCTTTGAATTTTTATTTATCACAAATTCAAGTCTTTCCCTCTTTATTACTAACCAGTCTTGCACTAAGATTTTCAGTTCACAGGCTTATTTAACATTTCTGTGCTCTAGGCCTTCTGTCTCTCTGTTTATCATAAAAATCTGAAAGCAAATGTCTTTTGCCTTTAAAATCCAGATGTATCCTTGAACCTTAGGCATTTAGGAGGGTTTGGATGTATCTGGTCCTGGGGCATTCGTGGTAATCCTGCCATTTGTGCTTTGGGAGCAAAGATGGTAAGATAGCCCCTGAAGGAAAATCCTCTCGGTCAGTATTCTCTTTCCTAATGACTTGATTTTGATCAATATACTTTCTCCAGAAGAATGGTGGAATGCAGAGCCATGGGAAAATGGGAATATGATATTCATCAGTCCATTTATTGAACAGCAACTCCAATAGATGTTTATACTGCAAAATCCTATTGTAGGTATTTTTAGATTCAACCAGGAAGCCATCCAGATCAAGTAACATTGCACTGCTGCCAAGCCCACTAATGACCCTGAATTTTTTTTTTTTGAGACGGAGGAGTCTCGCTCTGTCACCCAGGCTGGGGTGCAATGGCGCAATCTTGACTCACTGCAACCTCTGCCTCCCAGATTCAAGCAATTCTCCCGCCTCAGCCACCTGAGTAGCTGGGATTGCAGGTGCCCACCACTACACCCAGCTAATTTTTGTATTTTTAGTAGAGACGGGGTTTCACCATGTTAGTCAGGCTGGTCTTGAACTCCTGAACTCAGGTGATCCACCCACCTCGGCCTCCCAAAGTGCTGGGATTACAGGCGTGAGCCACCGGGCCTGGCACCCTAATTTTTTTGTTTGTCTCTTATGTTCAGAGTTCCTCCACTTCTCAAGTGCTTAAGTACCTCCTTAAACTTACATGACTTTTGATTTTGAAAAAGAGGATGGAACACCAAGCAGCATTGCCCTAGAGAAAGGAGTAACAGGCCTGCCTCATTGACACTTGCCATCCACCCGGTCAGGCAGGAGCTGTGCTCTCAATTCCCTTCCCACACTCTTGTTCACCCCTCATGTTCTGCAGTCTCACTGTGGTCTCACTGAGTCCAGCAGGAAGACCCTTATGATGCGTGGTCTAGATGGCCTTTCCGATTCCCATTCCAACATGCAAATGAGAATATGCTTAGAAAGTTCTCGCGGCTCCCCACTGGGTGCAGAATGAAGCCCAAGCCCTGGAGCCTGGTAGGCTAGATTCTTCCCACTCTGACACTAACCTACGTTCTAGCTGGATCTGCTACTGTTCTCCTCCACGGACCCTCCCATTTATTTCTGCCTGACAGCTTGGCCACATGTTGTCATATCTCAAGCCTTGTTTACTGAGTTCCCCATTCCTGTAATACAATCCCTTGCAATCCCTGAATTGCAAAAGGTTGTAATGCTGGAATGCCCCCATCCACATCCCAAACCAGGGAAATATGACAGATCCTGTAAGGCTCATCTAAAGAGAGCCTTCTCTATGCCCTCAGGCAGAATCCGTCTCTTCCTCATGAGTACTTCGTTTATATCATGATTAAAACAGAGCTTGCCATTTCTTTGAGAGTTGATTAAGACCCTAGCTTTACTGCTATAATGGGGTTGCTTCAGTCGCAAAATCGTAGCTAAACCTTTTGTCTCCAGCATAGTTGCTCTGTGGTGAGCATTTTCCATGTACTATCCCACCTTATCTTTCAAACAGTCCTCGGAGCCAGGCATTTTTATAGTCTTCGTTTTCAAATGAGAACCTTCAGACTTGAAAAGATTAAGTGGGAGGCTGAGGTGTGCAGATCACCTGAGGTCAGGAGTTTGAGACCAGCCTGACCAACATGGAGAAATCCCATCTCTACTAAAAATACAAAATTAGCTGGGCGTGGTGGCGCATGCCTGTAATCCCAGCTAACTCGGGAGGCTGAGGCAGGAGAATCACTTGAACCTGGGAGGCTGAGGTTGTGGTGAGCCGAGATTGTGCCATTGCACTCCAGCCTGGGAAACAAGAGCAAAACTCCATCTCAGAAAAACATAAAATGAAAAAATTAAAATAAAAAAGTAAGTAACTAACTTGCACACAGATTTATAGTCAATCAGTATATCCAGTACCTGGGACTCAATCCCTTTGTCTGACTTCAAAGCCTGTGGATGAGTAAAAGAACCAGTCCATGTGCTGGATGCAACTTGGTGACTTCTCCCAAAAAGAAATGTCCTTGTGTAAATGTCCTTGTCCTGCTTACAGTCTGTGTGACCTTGGGCAAGTTACCGAATATCTCTGAGTCTTCGGGTGTACATCTGTGAAACTAAGATAATGAGCTGCTTAACTACCTCACAGGGCTTTGGAGAGGATTAAATGAAATAATGTATGCAAAATACATAAAGGCTGGCAGAAGTCAGTAACAGACACCTTCTCTTCCCTTTTCCCTCATTGCCTATTCCACAAAGACCACAAACTCTCCTACAAGGCGTGTCCGGTTGCCCTGACCAGAGACGAAACCGTGCAGAGGCTGTGGAGATAAATAACCAATGGAATGATGAGTTTGGGCAGAATTAACCGTAGCTCATGCTGCTTCCCACGCAGATCCCAAGTGAATAATGATCTGAAATATACCATACCATTGTTTTTAACTTCCATACTCATTTTGGGGGAAGAAATGGCCTCATAGAATCCTATAAAACAGGAGACATAACTACAAATGATCTCTTGCTTGTCCTAAAGGGACTATCTCTTCTTGCCACAACATCCCAGAGTTTGGTCACTGGCTTTCAAAATCAAAAGAACAACAACACCTTAGAGATTTTTTTTTTTTAATTCACATCACTCATACTCTTATCAAATAACTTTGATGGTCTCTGTTGCGGTGATACAATTGCAGATCCCATGACTGCTGAGAAGGTGGGTAAGGAAAACCGTCACAACACTTTTGAGGGTGTGGCTTTATGGAACTTTGGGGGTATCTTTATTTGACTCAACTTTCAGGTATCTAGTGTATGTTTGGCACCTCCTACATGTGAAGGGTTACAGGGTGAGGTTGAGAGTTGCTCTTTCCAAACTCTTCTAGTACAGTGGCAGAGGTGAAGAGGCAAACCACAGCAATGAATGCAGAGTGGCTGGTGATTTGAGATAGGTCAACACAGTGTCAGAGGAGTGCAAGAAGAAATGCCCAGCTCATCTGGAAGTCAGCCGGGAGGGTGGGGTGGCCAGGAGCTGCCCAGAGAAGGTATCCCACGGTCTATATCTCAGAAGAAGAGGAGGAGTTAGCCAGCATAAGAAGGAGGAAATAGTCTTCTTAACCCAAGAGTCAAACCTGCTATTAGAAATGGAAGCAAACGGCCAGGCCCAGTGGCTCATGCCTGTAATCCCAGCACTTTGGGAGGCCTGGCTAACACGGTGAAACCCCGTCTCTACTAAAAAATACAAAAAATTAGTGGGGCGTGGTGGTGGGCGCCTGTAGTCCCAGCTACTCGGAAGGCTGAGGCAGGAGAATGGCGTGAACCTGGGAGGTAGAGCTTGCAGTGAGCTGGGATCGCACCACTGTACTCCAACCTGGGCGACAGAGCAAGACTCCATCTCAGAAAAAAAAAAAAAAAAAGAGTTACAACGTGACTGAGCTGGGATTTGAAACTGGTTTTCCAAAGCTACGTATCGTTCTTCTGCATCTTTCTCCAAGCTGTGTACATTTTTCCCAGCTGTATTCCAAATTGAGCACAGCGCCTGTCACATTGTGGGCACTCAGTAATTTTGCGAAATGACTAAGTGATACATAGAACGTGTACATCAGTGACTAACAAGGCAGGGTGGCAGAAAGAAGAGTATTTGATACACTCTAAGTCTCATATCAAAGAAATGCTTATCACGTTGTCAAGGAAATTCTGTGGTGTTTTGTGTTGAAGAGATTTTCCCTTTCTGCTTTCCTATCTATTTAGTGAAGGACTATCGTTCCAACAACAGAGGTAGAAGTCCAGGCCGTGGGAGTGAAATCCTACCCAATAAAAGCCTATTTGGCAAAAGGAAGTAGGGGAAATGTTACGGAAAATCTTTCTGAGTCTTTTTCTCTGGGTCCATAAGCACAACATTGTACAATGTGCTTCTCTGGGCCCCCAGCTGCATTGTTTATGGAATCACTGCTTCCTATCCTTACTCTAAAGTCCTTCCCCAAAACACCTTTGCCCTTTGTCTGACCTTCAAAGCAATGCAGGGCCTCTCCAATGAATGTCTTAGGCTATAGCCCAAATGCAAAATGCCTTTCCTTTTTTATTTATTAAGGATGCCATTTGTCATAGATGACTGTCTGCTAATGCATACTATTGGCTTTAATTGGATTGGATTCTCCATTATGCCACAAATATTTATTAAACAGCTTTTATGAACAAGGGAGGACATTATTAATTTTCCTTTAGATGGCAGAGGAAACCTGTTGTCATATGAAGTTCCGCTAACTGAGTTCGAGTCCTGCCTCTACCATCCATGACTGGCTACCATCCATGATCTGGGCTGCTGAGCATCTTACTTTGAACATCTGTAAAGTTCAGATATTCACTGGATCTTGGCCTGTGGCCTAACTGTGCCTTAGGTGGCCTGTGGCCTAACTGTGCCTTAGGGGATATTTGGGGATCTGTGGGAGTGTATGGGACCATTACAAGGACTGCAGGTTGCTACTGGCATTTAGTGCCTGGGACCAGGGATGATAATGCCATGGATTATGGGGCCCAGTTCCCTACCACAAGAACATATTCTGACCAAGATTGTAACTGTGTCTCCACTGAGAAACACTGACTGAACTCATCCCCAGCTTCAGTGTTCCTTAATTTCAGAAGCGACTGAGAGGCAAATTATAGTTCTGCTAACTCTCACAAAGTCAACAAGCAGTGATGTTAAATATAGGCAAGCCACTGGCAAGATGCCTTCCAAGGAGCAAGAACAAAAGAAATGGGAGTATGAAATACTGGTGGACTTTGCAATGCATGCTGGCAAATAAGTTGCTAAAATACCATTCATTTTGTAGCACATTTTCTATTAATTATCTTAGACACTTTGTAAAGCAATAGCTTGAACGCCACATGGAATATTAATTCTGCTAATGAATTCAGTGACTGTGTTTTCCCCAGCTTGTCTCCCGAAGCTTATCTTCATACTGCTTCAGTTCACATGAAAGAGCCATAGACTTGGTAAGCTTGCCTTCACACCATTGAATTTCTTTTATTACAAAAGAGCTATATACTCCAGACTTACTGCTGCCTAATGATTTCATTTTGCCATTAAAGCTAATTGTCAATAAGGATAATGAAAATGACTCCCAGTCATTTTAGTAATTTGAAACATCATGAGCCTCATGGTAGCATGATGCTGGCTGGCAGTACCATCCCGGGCCAGCTCTGTCGCTACTCACAAGGCATCCCCTCTGGAACAGGTCCGTTCATAGCCCTCTGTGCCTGGTGAGATTATAGGGTTCCAAAGCTGTTCTCAGACAATACAATCTATTTTTAAAACATTGACATATGCAAAAAATGTGGTTATTGACCAAATCAACGTTTCAATATCTTTCTCCCATGTCGCTCAGTTCGAGCGTATTTGAACCAACCTGCTCTTCTCACGTTTGGGAGTGGGGCTAGGAGTGGAATTTCGGGGGTTTTGTTTTCCCTGGTTTTTAGGGCTACCTGGCCTCATTTCCTTATTTTCTCTGGACTCGGGTATCCATTAGCCTTACCACATTAGATGTGAGCCGTGTGGGGCAGGCTCCCTTACCACAACCAAACCTGGATTTTGTTTTGAGCAGCCATGAGTGCAGCTGCAGGTGATGATGGATGGTGATTGGTCATGATCAGTTATGACAAGCCTGTTCCCTCATTTTCTAGCCTCTCTTGCAGAGAAAATTTGCTGTGTTAACTAGCTCTGGCCAATGAGATCTTGAAATCTAAAGGGAATTCTTCTGGAGGGATTTCTGAGAAAGCTTCACTTTATCTGACAACAAACAAACAAACAAAAGGAGAGAACAGATGAGGCTTCGCCTTTCCCCTTGAGTGTGAACATAATGCCTGGAGATGCAGCAGCCATTTGTGACTAGTAGGTGGAGCAGAATAATATAAATAATCTCATTTCTTGATGGCGTCTTTCAGCACCTGTCTTGACTACCTGTCCAACTCAGGACTCCTTGGAATGTGAAAAAAATCAACCCCTATTTGTCTACATCATTATAGTGAAATATTATTTTATTCACAAATATAAACCTTATTGACCTTTTTTCCTCTACATACACCTTTTTTCCTATACCTATACCTATACCTATACCTTTTTTCCTATACATACACACCTATCCTAAAGTTTAATTTATAAATTGGGCACAGTGGGCCGGGCGCAGTGGCTCATGCCTGTAATCCCAGCACTTTGGGAGGCCGAGATGGGTGGATCACAAGGTCAGGAGATTGAGACCATCCTGGCTAACGCAGTGAAACCCTGTCTCTACAAAAAAAAAAAAAAATTAGCCAGGCATGGTGGTGGGTGCCTGTAGTCCCAGCTACTCGGGAGGCTGAGGCAGGAGAATGGCGTGAACCTGGGAGGCGGAGCTTGCAGTGAGCCGAGATCACACCACTGCACTCCAGCCTGGGAGACAGAGCGAGACTGCGTCTCGAAAAAAAACTGGGCACAGTAAGAGATTAACAATACTAATGAATAATATAAAAGAACAATTATAATAATATGCTGTAATAAAATTTTGTGACTGTCGTCTCCTCTCTCAAAATATCTTATTGTACTGTATTCATCATTCCTGTGATCTGTCAATCTGATCACCGAGATGGCGACTAATGGGTGGGCAGTGTCTACAGCATGAATCCACTGGACAAAGGGAAGACTCATGTTCTGAGTGGTACGAGCCATGCAGGGGTGAGATTTCATCACAATACTAAGAACGCTGTGCAGTTTAAAACTGATGAATTATTTATTTGGGGGATTTTCCATTTAATATTTCTGACAGCTCTTGTCCTGGGGTCATTGAAACCTTGGAAAGTGAAGTCTTGGATAAGGGAGGCCTACTGTATGGAAAAAGAAGACAAGCAAAAAAAAAAGAGAGAGAGAGAGAGAAAAAGAGAAAGAAGAAAGGTACAATCCCACCCACCCTTAGTAAACACTCCCAAACACTTAATATAAGTTCCTGGCCTCTGGAGCTTCTGTGCAAGAGTTTTTGTGCTTTGGGTCATGTGGTTCTGCAACCCTGGCCATTGCTGGGAATCAGGTGTCTGTGACGGTCCCAAAGGCAGAAATACACAGATTGGACACCAGGAAGCCAGAGGTCTCTGAAATGATTTGGTGTGAGAAATTTAACCAGAAAGGGTGCTCTATCCTGAGTGATTTGGTTCCTTCTTTTGGAGCTAGGACAGAAGAAAAACAAAGCTAGATGTGAATAGTAGAGAAGCACAGAGGTGAAGAAATACAGAGAGGAAGCAGTGAGCCAAGGCCATGGGGCAGTAGGAGTAGGGAGTAAGCAGAAACCATGGGTTAGAGAGCAGGCCGAGAGGCGTGTGTAGTCATTTGGCAGTGGCCAAAGTTAGGGAAAGACCAAAAGGAACTGCATCCTGTGGGTAATAGAATAAAGCCGGGAGCTCTAAGGCGATGACAAGGCAAGCTGTCACACGGCCATCTATTCCTGGTTTGCCAGATGGGAGCATAGAGCCACTGCTGTGTTCTGAACAGGATGAGGTCACTGCAGTTCCATAAAGCCTGAATGCACCTCATTCAAAGTTTCCTTTTCATTCTTCCTCTTGCATGTCGTCTGATGTAACCTAAACCTACCTCTGTTCCAGTCATCCCCTCCAAAACATGAATATAGTCGCCTTTATGTATACATGTATCCATGGATACATGCACCTATTTTGTTTGTTAGTATTTTATTTTATTTATTTATTTATTTATTTATTTATTTATTTATTTATTTTTGAGATGGGGTCTCGCTCTGTTGCCCAAGCTGGAGTGCAGTGGCACGATCTTTGTTCACTGCAAGCTCTGCCTCCCGGGTTCACGCCATTCTCCTGCTTCAGCCTCCCGAGTAGCTGGGACTACAGGCGCCTGCCACCACGCCCGGCTAATTTTTTGTATTTTTAGTAAAGACGGGGTTTCACCATTTTAGCCAGGATGGTGTCGATCTCCTGACCTCGTGATCCACCTGCCTCAGCCTCCCACAGTGCTGGGATTACAGGTGCGAGCCACGGTGCCCAGCCGTTTGTTAGTATTTTAAATGGGAGCAGCCATTTGTCCTGTTTGGTAATATTTCCTCCTTACATATGAGTGTATCATGAATATCTTACCATATTAATGAATATAACTCTATCATTTTTAATTGTGTATTGGATACTTGCAGAAAACTTCCCCTTCTCTCCTAGCATACAGAGAAATAGCAGATAAGATAATAACAGGATATTAAAATGAGCTGTGCTCCAAAATAGGAAAGGGAATCATCATGGACAAAAATAGAGGGATCCCAAAGTATTTTTTTTTTTTTAAATAGCAGTGAGGAGAGGCTGAAACTTTGTAGTTCAATGGGAACCAGAAATCCACACCATTCTCTCTCAAGCTGGGAACCAGATTCCTGTGACTTTAGGTCTGAGGCTGTGTTAGATACTCCTACCAGTCAGGAAACCACAAAGATCTTAGGAGCTCTGTGTCAGGAACTGGGATCAAAGACTGAATATCAGAACAAAGATTCTTCCAGTGCTCTCTACTAGGGTTCTAGGAACTTTATGTTAGGAACCAGGGGCAGAGATCAAATATATATTGTTGTGATTTTTCCTCTAATTTCAGTCTTGAGGTCTCTCTTTGGAAATTGACTATAAACTCTAGCCCTGCCCTGATTGGAATCCAAGGAGTTTGGTCATGGATGTTTACAGTGTGCCTTTGGTGGGATAATTCTTTATCCTGGTGGATGGCTTAATGTCTAAGTGTCCAACCTGTGACCAGATGTCCCTTTCACAGGAAACCTGTTTATATTGGCAGATGCCCTTGTGGTTCTCCTCTGACTTGTGTCCAGTTTATTCTTACTCTGGTAGCCACTCTCTAGGAGAGCTCTGACTGGGAAAGAAGTCAGGTTCAGGTGTGTTGGTCAGGTGAGACAGAGGAAGCAGCACAAAAAAAAACATAGGGAGTAACAGAAGCAGTGTGTTCCTTACAGATCCATGAAAGAAGAGGGATGCTGATGAAAGACAAGCAGAAGATTGCAGAGGGAGGGACAGGAGGAGACTGGAGGTGGGGGTGCTTGGGGGAGAGGCCAGGCATCATCATGCTCAACCAGCAGGTAGCAAGTGAGAGAGAAAGAGAGAGAGAGACAGACAGAGAGACAGAGAGAGAGACAGGGCAAATCTGTGTGCCAAAATCTTTACTGGGGTCCAGGGCTTTACCCAAGTGGTTTTCCTGTGAGGAGTTCTAATTGGTGGGTTTAGAGAAAGTGGACCTGAGTCTGTAGGGACCATACTGTGACTTTGTACTTAGGAGTGCTCACTGTAGCATATCTACACCGTCTATGAGGTTGTGGGATCATGGGATGAGTCTGGTATGTTGAATCTATATGTCCCTTAGGGAGATGGTTGTACAGGGCAGGTATCTGGATTGACCACATGATCTATCCTACAGCATGTTCCATGTGCGCTTGAGAAGAATGTGTATTCTGCTGCTTCTGGGTAGAATCTTCCTGTATGTCTGTTAGGTCCATTTGGTCTAAAGTGTCATTCATGTCCTCTATGACCTCATTCATCTTCTGTCTGAAAGTTTTATCCAATATTGAAAATGGAGCATTGAAATCTCCTATTATTATTGTGAGGCTCTCTATTTCTCCTTCAGTTCTGCCAATGTTTGCCTCATATATTTGGGTGCCCTGAGGCTGGGTCCATATTTACTTATAGTTATTATTGTCTTCCTAGTGAATTTATCCTTTTATCATTGAATAATATCCTAATTTTTCTGTGGTAATTTTTGATTATTTTGTCTGATGTAAGTGTGCTCTCTTTGGATTCCATTTGCATAGAACATCTTTTCCAGCCTTCCACTTTGGCCTATGTGTGTTCTTAAATCTACAGTGAATCCTTCATAGACAGTTCCAGTGCTCCAGGTACCTGTCATGCTTCTAGGCCTCTGGAGCTTTTGTGTAAGAGTTTTTGTGTTTTGGGTCATGTAGTTCTGCAACCCTGGCCATTGCTGGGAACCAGGTGTCTGTGACTGTCCCAAAGGCAGAAATAGATAGCGTATAGTTGGATCTTGTTTGTTTTATTAAAAATTCATTCAGCCATGATGTATGTCTTTTGATTGAGAAGTTTAATCCATTTACATTTAAATTTATTACTTGTATGTAGGGATTTCTATTGCCATTTCATTAATTATTTTCTGTCTTGTGGCTTTTTTGTTCATCTTTTCCTCTCCTACTGTATTCCTTTGTATGTTGATTTTTTTTTTGTAGTGACCTGCTTTGTTTCCTTTCTCATTTTCCTTTGTGTACCTTCTATAGGTATTTTATGTGGAGTTACCATGGAACTTACATAAAACATCTTATAATAACAATCAATTTTAAGCTGGTAACAATCTAACTGTAATTGTATACAAAAACACTACTCTTTTACTTCTCTCTAGTTCTATACTGTGTTATTAAAATCACAAATGACAGCTTTTAGGAGTGTGTGTCCTTTAACAAGTTTGTATAGTTATAGTTATTTTTTATACTTTTGTATTTCAACTTCTTCTTCTTTTTTTTTTTTTTTCAAGACGGAGTCTCGCTTTGTTGCCCAGGCTGGAGTGCAGTGCTGTGATCTTGGCTCACTGCAACCTCTGCCTCCCAGGTTCAAGTGATTCTCCTGCCTCAGCCTCCTGAGTAGCTGGGATTACAAGCGCCTGCCACCACGCCCAGCTAATTTTTGTATTTTTAGTAGAGATGGGGTTTCACCATGTCAGCCAGGATGGTCTCAGTCTCCTGACCTCGTAATCTGCCCGTCTCGGCCTCCCATAGTGCTGGGATTACAGCCATGAACCACCGCACCCGGGCTTTCTATTTCAGCTTCTACACTGGAATTAAAAGTGATTTATAACTACCATTACAATATGAAAGTATTCTGTATTTCATACATTTACTTTTACCAGTATGTGTTATACTTTCATATGACTTCATTTTGCTGTCTGACTTCCTTTCATTTCAAGTTGAACAACTTCCTCTAGCCTTTCTTGTAGGGCCGATCTAGTGGTAATGAACTCTTCCCTACATTCCAATGAATGTAGGGAAAGTCTTTATTTCTCCTTCAATTTTGAAGGATAGTTTTGTCATCCTCTTTAGAATTAGTAATACACAAATAGTATTGTTGGTTTGCAGTTTTTTTCTTTCAGTACTTTGAGTATATCATCCCACTGCCTTCTGGCCTGCAAGGTTTCTATCGAGAAATTTACCCATAGTCTTAAATATGTGCCCTCATACGTGATAAATCACTTTTCTCTTGCTGCTTTCAAAATTTTGTCTTTGTCTGGGTGCGGTGGCTCACACCTGTAATCCCAGCACTTTGGGAGGCCGAGGCAGGCAGATCACGAGGTCAGGAGATTGAGACCATCCTGGCTAATACAGTGAAACCCCATCTCTACTAAAAATACAGAAAATTAGCCGGGCATGGTGGTGGGCGCCTGTAGTCCCAGCTACTCGGGAAGCTGAGGCAGGAGAATGGTGTGAACCCGGGAGGCGGAGTTTGCAGTGACCCGAGATCACGCCACAGCACTCCAGCCTGGGCGACAGAGCAAGACTACGTCTCAAAAAAAATAAAATAAAATAAAAAATAAACAAAATTTTGTCTTTGATTTTTGACAATTTGACTATAATGTTTCTTCATGTTGACTTCTTTGGGATCATCCTAGTTGGAGTATTTTGGGCTTCTGAGATCTGAATGTCAATTTCCTTTCCCAGATTGGAAATTGTCATCTATTTTTCTTAGATGAGCTTTCTGCTTCTTTCTCTCTTTCTTCCTCTTCTGCTGCTTCCATTATGCATATATTGGTGCTTCTGATGCAGTCCCATAAATTCCTTAGGGAATTTTATTCTGATAAATTTACTCTTTTTATTGTTTTTTCTTTTTGCTCCTTTGATTAGATCATTTCAAGTGACTTGACTTTGGGTTCCCTGATTTTTTCTTCTGCTTGATCAGGTCTGCTGTTGAGCCTCTCTAGGGAATTTTTTGATTCAGTTATTCTATTTTCCAGCTCAAAAATCTGCTTGAATCTTTTAAATATTTTCTACCTCTGTGTTAATGTTCTCATTTTGTTTATGGACCATTTTCTGGAGCTAATTGAGCATCTTTATGGTGGTTCTTTTAAATTAATTGTAAGGTAATTCACATCTACATTCCTTTAGTGTCAATTTCTGGAGATTGGTTTTGTTTCTTTGATTGGGCCATGCTTTCCTGTTTTGTCACATGCCTTGTAACAGCCACCTCTCAGTCTTTATGAACTGGCTTCATACAGAGGAAGACCTTCACCAGTCAGCCTGGCTAGAGACTTTACCAGAATCTCACACCTTCTCTGTAGATATGTCTTCTCTGTCTCTGTGCATGTAAATTCCCAATTAGAAGGATTTTCTGGTTTCTTTTTTTGGGAGCTCATAATCTATTACTCCTTATGGTGTAAGCCTTCCATACTGAAGTTTCTCTGGAACTGGAATTTCAACAAGCCTCCCAACTCAGTTTTCTCATCAACAACTTCCAGGCTTCTAGAGTGTGACAGTTCCTGTCAGAGCTTTGAGTCAGATGAGACAGAAACCAGTCTCTTGGGAAACTCCTGGAAAAGCAGTAACATTGGATACACATTCCAACTCTTTCCCTCCTCAGGGAGAAGCCAGGAGTTGGGAGGTTTTTCCGCTCATTCCATCCTGACATCAATTGAGTATATGCTAGTCCAAACTTCACATTTGTTTTCTGTTTGTTTTTTGAGACAGGGTCTCACTCCGTCACCCAGGCTACAGTGTAGTCACCAATTGCTACCTCCGCCACGTAGGTTCAAGAAATTCTCCTGCCTCAGCCTCATGAGTAGCTGGGATTACAGGCGTGAAGCACCACGCCCAGCTAATTTTTGTATTTTTAGTAGAGACAGGGTTTCACCATGTTGGCCAGGCTGATGTCAAACTCCTGACCTCAAGTGATCCGCCCGCCTCGGCCTCCCAAAGTGCTAGGATTACAGGTGTGAGCCACCGCGCCTGGCCTACATTTGTTCTCATTGCCCTCCTGGCTCTCTCTCATGTTAATGCTTAGATTCAGGTAAGATAGAAACCAGGTTCTTGGGCAACCCTCGAAAAGTCTGTATGTTGGATATATGTTTCAATCTTCTCTTTGCCTCCCCAAGGGAGAAGCCCCTGAAGAGTTTCTTACAATTACACTGCATTGAGCCAGGGAAAGGCACTATATGGTGAGTAGTGCCACAAATTAACGTGGCTGATTTTGTGCATCTGGGGTGCAGGAACCTCATAACTTTTTTCAGGATTTCTCATGAAGGGAATTATTCTGTGTATTGTAGAATCGGTGTCTCTGTGAGGAGAAGGAGGGTCTGAGGCTTCTTATTTTGCTATCTGGCTTGCTAGATACATATTTTAAAATTATCTTGTAATGTCATTAAAAAGCAGTGTTAAAAACTTTTCTAGCAGCATCATGTAAAAAAGAAACAAGTGAAGTTCATTTCAATAATATCTTCTGTTTAACTGAGTATATCCTTACTACCATTTCAACATGTAATCATTTTAAAATTATTAATAAGATATTTTACATTCTTTATTTTGCAATGTTTTTAAATCTTGTAATGTTTTTTAAAACACAGTGTCAATTTTACACTTAGAACACACTTTAGTTTGATTTACCCACAGTTTATGTGCTCAACAATCACATGTGGCCGGTAGCTACTGTATTGGATAACATAAATCTGTAATATAGATATCTGTAATATAGATTTACTCTTATTAACAAATTAAAAAAGACAACCATAATACTAATTTAGGGCCATTCACAGAGGAGAAAATCTGAATGACCAAAAACATATGTAAAAGTATTTTTTTATAGAGAAATAAGGTCAAAGAATAAGATACCATTTTATATCTATTGGATTGTCAAGATGTTTAAGAGAAACAGAAGAAAATCATAAAACTTTTGGGTGGTTCTTTCTATGACTGCCTTTTTTCAAACAGAAAAGAATATTTTTTCCTTCCACTTGATATGAATCTAATTTGCATTTCTGTCCTCGTTGGAAATGATGACATGACGGAATGAGAAAATGAGTAATGATATGGTTACATTAGTTTGTTTCTTGTACTTATGGATGAGCCTCTATAAATCAATCAAACGTTATCAGACTTTAGCTTTAAAAACAAAATTACTCAAATTCAGTTCATCAAGTTTTATAGACTTTAGCTATAAAAACAAAAAATATGGTTTAGATTTTTATATATGAAATGTTATTTTAGCATAGGCTTTCATTATAGTCCGAAGGATTTACATCTCTGAGAGATTTTAATTTTTTGGTTGTTCTGACAGGTTGATTTCAAATTTCTCTCCAAATTAATTTTTATTATCCAGTGAATTTCCATCAATCTCTCAATTATAGCAAATGATCTGTATGTGACTACCTATAGAAATCAATCTTGGGAAGAATTCCTTTTTGGAAGGACTACCTTTAATTGCTGTCAGTATGTTTGAAAGTTCAGATTTCTGCAGATTGAGCATTTTTTAGACAGCGGCTCACCTACAGAGGGTAAAATGTTTCCCGGCCACCAGCTTTAAGATCTGTCTGTATATCTGCCTGTGGTTAGTCTTAGTCAAGCAGAACCATTGATGAGAACAAACATTTTTTTTTCTGTGATTGAATAAAAGGACTAGGGGAATTGCCCTTAAAATAAAGACAGAAAAAAGAAGCAAGCTGTTTTATTCCCTGGGTATTGTCATTAGAGAAGAGACCAAAGCACAATGGCCAAGCTGAAGAATGAGTGTCATTGAAACAAGAAATCTGGGCCAGACCAGCCCGGGGCACAAGGGATTGTGGGTAACCAAGTCTTCTGAATGTCACTTAAAAGGGTTCCACCAGGCGCACACACCTTAAAATGATGCTTCTAATTGTTCTTCCTTTCTTTTTTTCTTTCACAAATCACAAAGATAAAGTTGGGGAAAAGCCCAGCAGGAAGAGCCAGCTGCTGAGCCTGTTATGAGAAGAAAGACCTCGGTAGAATGCTAATTTTTCTTTATTATCTTACCCTCTACAAAAGGCCAGCGGGCAGGTGAACACTCTGCCGAGAGAATCTGTGGAGTTTTGATCAGGAGCAGCAGTCTGTCTGCTGTGGTGGAATTATCTAAAAATCTCCACGAACAGGGTAGGAGAAAGAAGCGGTAACCTATGTGATTTCCATCAATTCTCCAAGGCCATATATAGCTTGCTGGTGGACTGAGGAAAGATAACAGGCTCTGCTCTCCTTAGCTGGAGACACACAGCTTCCAGAACACAGGCACATTGAAGAGAAGCAGCAATGTGTATTGTAATTACTTCTGGGAAAGAAGACAGGTTTGGAATCAGGCTTCTATAGCAAAGGAGGTCTTTGCACAAGCTACTGTGCTCCTCTCTCCCTCTCTCTGTCTCTCTCTCTCTCTCACACACACACACACACACACACACACACACAAACCCCAATGCACTCAGCACTGCAAACACCCAGAGGACCACGATCAATTGTTCAAAGCACAGTGATCCTGATCTGCCACTCAGGAAATGCAAATACTGATGTTTGAGAAGAGTCAGGGAATAAGAATTCCCTGTTTAAAGAAAAAGGCAGAGAGGCTGTTTTTCTGAACCTCAGATTAGGAAGACAGAAAGAATCGTCCATGTTTCTCTGCTCAGACCACATATCTAACCAGAAGGCTTTTACACTGATTCTGTGTTTGACTGAAAATCATGCCAGGCAGGCCAACGTCTCTTTTTCTTTGAGACAGAGTCTTGCTCTGTCACCCAGGCTAGAGTGCAGTGGTGCTATCTCCATTCACTGCAACCTCCACCTCCCAGGTTCAAGTGATTCTCCTGCTTCAGCCTCCCAAGTAGCTGGGATTACAGGTGCCCGCCACCACGCCTAGCTAATTTTTGTATTTTTAGTAGAGACAGGGTTTCACCATGTTGGTCACTCTGGCCTCAAACTCCTGACCTCGTGATCCACTCACCAAGGCCTCCCAAAGTGCTGGGATTACAGGCGTGAGCCACTGTGCTCGGTCACCAACATTTCTTTATTATGTTTCAAACAGTTCCCGTGGGCTACTACCACTTTTCAGCTCAGAGAACTACCTCATCTCCAAGAGTTAAAAGTCACAGTCCCAAGGGTGCTTCAGGACGTTTACTAGTTCGTGTTTGGCCACGCACCTTTAGCGCTCAGTTCTTGCAACGTCTTCTCTCCAAGTAAATTCACCGACAGGCCGAAGGGAGGAGGTGTTGCTAGTCCCTGCCTCTGCTAGTCCCAGTTAAGAATCATTCGCTCTCAGTCCTGCCCCACTTACAAATCAATCCTGATGGAGGTAGAAAAATCCACTGCCAGAGTGGGCAGACCAGACTGAGAGATCCAGAATTAGAACTTGCTGTAAACTCACTTACTATCCTGGATTTCCTACGCATGCCCGTTGGGTCAAAGACCTCCCCTGACCCCCAAGATATTGCTTACCCCTGCATAATCACTTTAGCTATTGTTAAAAATGCAGATCCCTGAATCTCACCCCAAACTTTTAAATATGGGTGGGCCTGGACATCTGTATTTTAACCGAGGAAGACCAATAGCCTATAAGAAGGAATATAATGCAGTGACTAAGAACACAAGCTCTGGAGAGATTCTCTGCTCTTTCCCTTAATCTTGGTGTAATCTTGGGGAAAATTACTTAACTTTCCTCTGGCTCATTGGTTGGATGGTGATAATCACCTTAATACCATCCCCACAGAAAGGATTAAATGAGTAAACCAGTTGAAAGTGCCTAGAATGGTGCCAGGCCCATAGTAAGGCTTGATAAATGCCAGTTATTCCTCATAATGTAATAAGCACCTCAGAGAATTCTTAGAATCAAGTTTGAGATCCACAGGTCCAGTGTGTTTATCTTGGATTATAAATCTACTTTTTGGCTGGACACAGTGGCTCATGCCTGGAATCTCAGCACTTTGGGAAGCTGAGGTGAATGGACTGCTTGAAGCCAGGAATTCAAGATTGCAGTGAGCTACAATTGCGCCACTGTACTTCAGCCTGGGTGACAGAGCAAGACCCTGTCTCAAAAACAACAACAACAACACCAACAAAACAAAACAAATCTGCTTTTTGCTTAGCCCTCCTGAGTCCTCCTGGGTTTGGAGCTCTGTGTTGTCCTCTCAACCTGTGTCTCTCAAACTTAGACCCACTTGACTCTCTAGTAAATCTTTCCTACCCTTCTCTGTGCATGCTGGGAATGGGTGTCTTACCCAGTTCCTGCCTGCCCTTTAGTCAGAATGGACTGGTCACTGAGAACAGGAATGCTGCTGTCGGCTTGAGGAGTATCTGCTCCCCAAATGGGGAAAAATACATTTTCTGTATTTTGGCCCCAACCATAGGAAGTCCCTGATCATTCCATATAATTTGTCATCAGAGATTGTTCCATCCTAGCCCAAGCTGCTATGCTTCTTTGGGCACAGTACATTAGGAAAGGACCCCTTCTGGCTGGGCACAGTGGCTCATACCTGTAATCCCAGCACTTTGGGAGGCCAAGGCAGGAGGATCACTTGAGATCAGGAGCTCGAGACCAGTCTGAGGAACATGGAGAAACCATGTCTCTGCTAAAAATACAGAAACTAGCTGGTCTTGGCAGTGCCCACCTGTAATCACAGCTACTCGGGAGGCTGAGGCAGAAGAATCACTTGAACCCAGGAGGCAGAGGTTGGAGTGAGCAGAGATCATCCTGCTGCACTCCAGCCTGGGTGACAGAGTAAGACTCTGTCTCAAAAAAAGACAGACTCCTCCCCTTAGGGATCCAACCTCAGAGTGACCACCTGTCTCATTTTTCCCAGGACTGTCTTGATTCTAGCACTGAAAGTCTCAAGTCCCTGGAAATCTCTCAATCCCAGGTAAACCAGGTTGGTTGGTCACCCTGTCCCCTGTAGTTACTGGGTTGGGTCACCGGTAGACCAAGCAGAAATGCCTAATCTGACTCCCAGTCACAAGGCAGTGACTGACCTGGGGCCTGGCCTTAGCCATAAAAAACCTACAGAGGCACGGGCTGGGCACGGTGGCTCATGCCTGTAATCTCAGCACTTTCGGAGGCAGAGGCGGGCAGATCACGAGATCAGGAGATCGAGACCATCCTGGCTAACTCGGTGAAACCCCGTCTCTACTAAAAATACAAAAAAAATTAGCCGGGCGTGGTGACAGGCGCCTGTAGTCCCAGCTACTCGGGAGGCTGAGGCAGGAGAATGGCGTGAACCCGGGAGGCAGAGTTTGCAGTGAGCCGAGATCGCGCTACTGCACTCCAGCCTGGGCGACAGAGCGAGACTCTGTCTCAAAAAAACAAAAAAACAAAAAAACGAAAAAACAAAAAAACAAAACAAAACCTACAGAGGCATGCATCTCAGAGCAAGAGAGACCTTGACTGTGTTGGTTTAGGCCACCCAGGCCTGGAAAACATAATAGCACTCGATTTGCAAAGCTGACAGAGCACAGTTGTACCAAACTCTTCATGTTTTCTGTAACTCAGTAGAGATCCAAGGACTCCCACACTGTGGTGCTTCACGGTAGACACTCAAAGTTTGTATCCTCCAGTCTGCCAAGTTTTCTAATGTGAATAACAGCAAGAGCTATAAATATCAATTCTTCCCTGGGTCTAGAGATTTATAGACTGATTACAGTTGAGTTGAAGAATGGCAGAAAGGCTTGCTTTCTTAATTTTTCAGAAGAGATTTGGGAGGGAGAAAACAAGGATCTAGATTTTATAGAGCTGTAGAAATTACCAATATTGCCAAGGTGGTTAATCAACACCCAAAGACAAAACAAAATCTCACCCTGTGCTTGCATATATAGTCCTCTAGCCCCAGTAGGTGTGAGTAATAATACTGAAATGAAGGAAATTACTTGAAGGAAATTGCCTGAATGGGACTGTTACAAGAGCAGGGTAGGGCTTACTTAATTAAAGCACAGTTTAATTACTGCTATAACTTAAGGCAATGCTGTACTGCGCAATAAGGTGAGAATATGAGAGGCTTGGGCCTTGGTGGATAACAATTAATTTCAAACAGTTTTTGGGGGGTGTTGGTAAAGCATGATTAAATACAGGAACAGGCTGATAAATGAATCATTAGGGAAGCGCATTTTTAACTAAATAGAAATGAGTCTAGGAAGAATAGAAAAAAGTCATTATAATTATCATTGTGTGGCCTTGTTAGGGAAGAGAGGGAGGATGGTCTCCAGGTCAGAATAATAGCCCAACCTACCTTGAGCTCAGGTTCTGCCTCTTTGATGGAATCTGGTTCTCCTGGGAAGTGCCCAGGAAGTAGTAAGCTCATCATCGCAGCAGGGCTGCTCAGAAAAATCCCTGAACCTCCGCTTTCCTTGGGTCATACCCTGCTCCAAACCATCACTATGTCTCTGCTGTCTCCGAGAGGCCAGAGTCCTAGTGCAAAATCCACATCGGGCCTCCCCTTCTCCTTGACTAATTTCTGGCAAGAACATTCTCTTTTCAGACTGTAGTCTTTTGTTTTTGTTTTTCATTTGTCAACCGGGAAGAGAAAAATCTTCTCTTACCAACCTCAAAATAAAATTGTAAGATGAAACAACATATAAAGGTATCGGTAAAGGAAGTTTTTTGTTTTTGTTTGTTTGTTTTGTTTTGTTTTGTTTTGTTTGATATGAAGTCTTGCTCTGTTGCCCAGGCTGGAGTGCAGTGGCACAGTCTTGGCTCATTGCAACCTCCGCCTCCTGGGTTCAAGCAATTCTATGCCTCAGCCTCCCAAGTAGCTGGGATTACAGGGCCTGTCACCACGCCTGGCTAATTTTTGTACTTTTAGTAGAGACAGCGTTTCGCCATGTTGGCCAGGCTGGTCTCGAACTCCTGACCTCAGGTAATCCATCTGCCTCGGCCTCCGAAAATGCTTGGATTACAAGTGTGAGCCACTGCACCCAGCCAGGAAAAGGTTCTTCTAGTCAAACATGAAGATGAGACAGGAACATAAAACATTGTCTTTCATTTAAGGGAATTGTCCAAGCTGAGTGAGAATGAGAAAAAAGGAAGTCCTCGACCTGTTCAGAAATTTATATACGTATCAGTGTATTCAAAGAATTTCCATATACTCTTTATTCAAATTCACCAATTGTTTTTAACATGTTGTTACCAAAACACCAGGGGTTCGCTCTAAGTCCTGCTACTTGGTGCACAGAAAGTCAATCACTGAGACAATGGGTATTGCCAAGGAAGGTTTTAATCAGGTGCTCCAGTGGAGGAGATGGGAGATCAATCTCAAGTTCATCTCTGTGACTGAGTAAAACTAGGGATTTATATAGCAGGGAAGAAATGTAACAATGTGTGGGAAAACAGGAACTAGGGAAGGGGTAAGGAAAAGGAGTTGGTCAACAGGAAGCAGGTGGTTGCTTAGAAAAACAAGAACTAGGGCCGTGCACGGTGGCTCACGCCTGTAATCGCAACACTTTGGGAGGCCGAGGCAGGCGGATCACAAGGTCAGGAGATCGAGACCATCCTGGCTAACACGGTGAAAGCCTGTGTCTACTAAAAATACAAAAAATTATCCGGGCGTGGTGGCAGGCGCCTGTAGTCCCAGCTACTCGGGAGGCTGAGGCAGGAGAATGGTGTGAACCCGGGAGGCAGAGCTTGCAGTGAGCCAAGATTGCACCACTGCACTCCAGCATGGGCAACAGCAAGACTCCATCTCAAAAAAAAAGAAAAAAGAAAAAGAAAAAGAAAAACAGGAATTAGAGAGAGGTAAGGAAGCAATTATGAAGGATGAGGGGTCTGGCATCTCATTGTCTGGATATGGCGATCTGGTGAGTTTCAATTCTTTGGTACTTTTTGAGAGGCCTGAAGAAGGAACTCAGATAAAACAAATTTAAGTTTTAAGCTTTAAGACCAGAAGGGTCAATTTCTATGTCTATCCAAAATAATGGTCTATGGGACTATTGGGTCAGTTTCAATGTTACCTCATTTGTTCTGTCTCTCTCTCCACACATGCACATACACACAAAACACACATTATTATATAGAGTATGTTGACTATCACTGTGTTTAGAACATGTAATCACAGTAGTTACAAAATTTGGAAGTTCAACATAGACATAATAAATGCTTTATCAAAGACATATTCCAATTTTGTCAGTGGTTCTGATGAGAGCTTTATACCATGGTTTTTTTTTTCCCCTTCACTTCAGGATACAGTCCAGGGTCAGGTATGATGTTAAATTGTCACATCTCTTTATTTTCCTTTAATCTGTAATTGTCCTGTCTTTCTTTATCTTTCAAAACGTTGGTACTTTTGAAGGCAACAGGCCAGTTATTTTACATAATGTTTTTCAGTTTGGATTTGTTTGATGTTTCTTCATGATTAGATTCAAGTTTTGCATTGATGGCCAGAAAACAAACAAACAAAAAAACCCTGATATTGTATCCTCTTGGAGCATTGTATCTGCAGGCACACAACGCCCATCTGCCTCTCATTACCGGTGTTAATTGTGATCACTTAGTTTAGATGCTGTCCAGTTTCTCCACTGCATTATCACTATTTGCCCTTACAACCACGAAATATTCTGTGGGGAGGCACAGTAAGACCAGATAAATAAACTGCTCCTCATCAAACTCCCTTTCTACCTCAGATTTAGCATCTATTGTTGATTCTTACCCAAAACAATCTTCACTGTGATCATTGCAAAATAATGGTTTTTAACTCCATTACTTCCTGCACATTTATCAGTTGGCAGGGAGTGATACAGTTAAAAATCACGAGTTTTATTTTTAATGAATGAGCTTTATGAATGAACTCTTCCTCCTCACTCTCCTCTCTTTCTCTTCTGTCTCTCTCTCTGCCTGGTTGTCTATCATCAGTATAGACTCAGGGCTCCTGTTCTGGTAAAGGATCATCATCCAATACAGTTCTTGTTTACTTTCATGCTCAAATTCTCCTAGATGAATGAACTCTTATCTATCTATCTATCTATCTATCTATCTATCTATCTATCTATCATCTATCTAATCTGTCTATCTACCTACCTACCTTTCAATCTACCATCTGTCTCTTTATTATTATTATTTAGTTACTTTTTTTTGAGACAAGGTCTTGCTCTGTTACCCAGGCTGGAGTGCAATGGTGTGATCACAGCTCACTACAGCCTTGATTTCCTAGGCTCAAACGATTCTCCTACCTCAGCTTCCCAAGTAACTGGGAGTACAGGCATGTGCCTCTGCACCCAAATTTTTAAAAATTTTTTGTAGAGATGGGAGTCTTGCTGTGTTGCCGAGGCTGATCTGCAACTCCTAGGGTGCAAGCAATCCTCCTACCTTGGCCCTGCAAAGTGTTGGGATTATAGGCATGAACCACCATGCCTGGGCTATCTAGTTCTTTATTATCAGTAAGGACTCATAGTTCATGAGTCATTTATTTACATGTCCATTCATAAATAAACATTCTGATGCCCCAATTTTTTTAAGTTTAGCCAGTGAGAACTCCTTCAATGTAGCCATGGTATTTACAAATGAATATCTGGCTACTAGATGTGTTAATTGCTTTTAGGTCCTTTTAGCAGATAGTACTAGAAAATATCCATAATTTTAATATACTTGAAATATGAGTCTATACAGATACTTCCAATTTCAACCCAATCCCTCCATAGTGTTCTTTCTTGCCTTTCTCAACTCTACATTTTTATATCTTCCTTCTTCCACAGCGAGTATCCTGGCTCCCAATAATATCATCATATATGCTTTTTTGCTCGATTCCACAATACATATAAAATGACTTCAGAATTTCTATTCTAAAACCACTATGAAAAACAAAAAAGAAAACAAAAAACCATAAAACCCTCTAAGAAGCTCAAGATTTGTTTGCAGTTTTCCCCTAGACTGAGGGTATATAACTAAAGGACTGTGTTCAAATGTTCCCTGTATGTATTAGTCTGTTCTATTGCTATAAATTACCCCCTGAGACAGGGTAATTTATAAAGAAAAGAGTTTTAATTGGCTTATGGTTCTGCAGGCTCTACAGGCTTCTGTTTCTGGGGAGGCCTCAGGAAACACAATCCTGGCTGAAGGTGAAGGAAAAGCAGGCACCTTTTCACATGGCCAGGAGGAGAGAGAGAAGGAGAGGAAGAAGGAGGAGAGAGGAGAGACATTGAGATTGAGTTAAGGGGGGAAGTGCTACACACTTTAAAACAACCAGTTCTCATGATAACTTTATTATGTGACAGCACTAGGGGAATGGTGTTAAACCATTAGAAACCACTCCCATGATCCAATCACCTGCCACCAGGCCCCACCTCCGACACTCAAGATAACAATTCAACGTGAGTTTTGGGTGGGGACACAGACCCAAACCATATCATTTTGCCCCTGGCCCCTCCCAAATCTCATGTCCTTCTCACATTGCAAAATACAATCGTCCCTTCTCAACAGTTCCCCAAAGTCTTAATTCATTCCAGCATCAACTCAAAAGTCTAAGTCCAAAATCTCATCAGAGACAAAGCAAGTCCCTTCAGCCTATGAACCTATAAAATAAAAAAAGAAGTTATTTACCTCCAAGATAAAATGGGGGTACAGGCAGCGGGTAAATACTTCCTTTCCAAAAGAGAGAAATTGGCCAAAACAAAGGGGCTATAGGCCCCATGCAAGTCTGAAACCCAGCAGGGCAGTCATTAAATCTTAAAGCTCCAAAATAATCTCCTTTGACTCCATGTCTCACATCCAGGCCACACTGATGCAAGGGATGGGCTCCCAAGGCCTTGGGCAGCTCTACCCCTGTGACTCTGCAGGGTACAGCCTCCATACCTGCTTTTATGGGCTGGTGTTTAGTGCCTGTGGCTTTTCCAGGCACACAATGCAAGTTGTCAATGGATCTACTATTCCGGGGTCTAGATCATGGTGGCCCTCTTTTCAAAGATCCACTAGGCAGTACCCCAGTGGGGACTCGATGTGGGGGCTCCAACCACACAGTTCCCCTCTGCACTGCCCTAGTAGACGTTCTCCTTGAGCATTGTATCTGCTGGTACACGATGCCCATCTGTCCCTCATTACTGGTGTTAATTGTGATCACTTAGTCTGTGATCACTGCAGCAGACTTCTGCCTGGACATCCAGGTGTTTCCATGTATCCTCTGGAATCTAGGTGGAGGGCTGCTTTGCCTATGGAGTAGCCATTCTTTTATTCCTTTACTTTCTTAATAAACTTGCTTTCACTTTAAGAACAAACAAGAAAAGAAATCTAGGTGGAGGCTCCCAAGCCTCATTCTTGCTCTCTGGGCACCGGCAGGCTTAACACTGTGTAGAAGCTACCAAGGCTTGGGCCTTGCACCCTGTGAAGCAATGGCCAGAACTATACCTTGGCCCCTTTTAGCCATGGCTGGAGCTGAGGTATCCATGATGCAGAGCATTATGTCCTGAGGATGCACAGAGCAGCAGATCCCTGGACCTGACCCATGAAATCATTTTTTCCCTCCTACACTTCCAGGTCTGTGATGGGAGGGGCCACCACAAAGGTCCCTGAAACGTCTCGGTGGCATTTTCCCTATTGTCTTGGCTATTAACTTTTTTTTTTTTTTTTTTTTTTTTGAGACAGAGTCTTGCTCTGAAGCCAAGGCTGGAGTGCAGTGGTACGATCTCAGCTCACCACAGCCTCCGCCTCCTGGGTTCAAATGATTCTCCTGCCTCAGCCTCCTGAGTACCTGGCACTACAGGCACATGCCAGCACGCCCAGCTAATTTTTGCATTTTTAGTATAGATGGGGTTTCACCATGTTGGTTAGGATGGTCTTGATCTCCTGACCTCATGATCCTCCCACCTCAGCCTCCCAGAGTGCTAGGATTACAGGCATGAGCCACTGTGACTGGCTGGCTATTAACATTTTGCTCCTCTTATGCAAATTTCTACAGTAGGCTTGAGTTCCTCCCCAGAAAATGTTTTTTTCTTTTCTACCACATGGTCAGGCTGCAAATTTTCTAAACTTATGTGCTCTGCTTTCCTTTTAAATATAAGTTCCAATTTCAGATAATCACTTTGTGCACACATATTAGTGCATGCTGTTAGAAGCAGGCAAGTCACATATTGAACACTTTGCTGCTTACGAATTTCTTTCATCAGCTACCCTAAACCATCTCTCTCAAGTTCAACAATCAACAGATCCCTAGAGCAGGGGCATAATGCCGCCAGCCTCTTTGCTAAAGCATAGCAGGAGTGACCTTTACTCCAGTTCCCAATAAGTTTCTCTCCATCTGAAACCTCCTTAGCTTGGACTTCACTGTCCCTATCACTATCAGCATTTTGGTCTCAACCATTCAACAAGTCTCTAGGAAGCTCCAAAGCTTCCTTCATCTTCCTGTCCACTTCTGAGCCCTCCAAATGGTTTCAACCTCTGCCCAATAACCAGTTCCAAAGCTGCTTTCACATTTTCAGGTATCTTTATAGCAATGCCTCACTTGTCTGGTACCAATTTTCTGTATTAGTTCGTTCTCCCCATGTGTAAGTCTGTTCTCTCTGTGTTGCCCCATGCTCTAAAGAACTACCTGAGACTGGGTAATTTATAAAGAAAAGAGGTTTAATTGGCTATGGTTCTGTGGGCTCTACAGGCTTCTACTTCTGGAGAGGCCTCAGGATGGTGGAGGGGAACCAGGCCTATCTTCACGTGGCCAGCAAGAGAGAGAGTGAAGGGGACATGCTACACACTTTTAAACAACCCGATCTCATGATAACTCGATTACAAGACAGAACTGGCGGTGGGGGGGATAAACCATTAGAAACCACCACCATGATTCAATCACCTCCCATCAGGCCACACCTCCAACACTCGGGATCACAGTTCAACATGAGATTTGGGTGGGGACACAGGGTCAAACCAAATCAGTGTATTAGTACATACTTTCCTCCCTCAATGTGGTATGTTTTTTGTTTGTAATACTCTTTATATCATTTATTTCCAAATACATTATTTTTTAGGTTTTTTCCCCTCATTCTTGTTGATTTAACATATTAATTTGTTGACCTGCTTTCAAAAGTCATACCTGTATATGAAGATTTACTTATAAACATCTCATTCTTTTCTTTAGTTTTCCTATCCTATTTCCTTCATCCCTCATAGGTAAAAAATTTCATTGTTCTATGCTTAATTCATTGTACATACGTGTGTTTTGCAAAAGTAAGCAGATACATATATGTTTTCCTATTGCCCCATATTTCTTACACAAAACACAATGTATTACATAAACTCTTTTGCACTTTGATTTTTCTAACTTAACGAACTATCTTGAAAATAACTCCACATATGTTTATAAAGATCTTTCCTGTTCTTTTTTTCCCCACTGCATAGTACTCCATTGGGTGTATGTATCAATATCGAACCAGTTTCCAATATTGGGCATGTAGGTAATTGACAATAATTTGCAATGACAAATAATGAATAACCTATGCTTTTGTATTTTTATATTGTTGTAGATGTATGTTCAGGGTAGGTCTATAGAAGAGAGATTGCTGAATTCGCTGAAGGGTAAATGCGTGTGTAGTTTTGTTACATATTGCTAAATTCCACTCAACTTGGTTTACCATTTCATATGTCTCCCCGTGCTGTATGACTGAGGGAGAGTCTATTTCCCCCACAGTTTTGTCCGAAAGATATCATTAAACTTTGAATTTCTGCCTGATAGGTGAAAAATTGTATATCAGTGAGATTTTATTTTGTGTATATTATTATGAACAAAGTTGAATATATTTTCATAGGTTTAAAGGACATTTTTGTATGTTTTGTTGTGTTTTAATTGTTTATGTCTTCTCCTATTTTTCTGTAGAGTTTTGGTCTTCATTTTCCCCTCTCAATTTTCAACAGTTTCTTAGAGATATTACCTACATATTGCAAATATTTACAACATATTTGTCATTTGTCTTTTGACTTCATTTATGATGTATTTTTGTCATTCAAAACATTTTTAATGTAGTCAACTTTATCAGTCTTTGATGTCATTGCATTTGGATTTGGAGTCCTAGTTTGCCTTCTCCTACATCCATATGATAGAGGAAGTAACTCCTGCTTTCTTCTTCCTTTTTTTTTTTTTTCGTGACGGAGTCTTGCTCTGTCACCCAGGCTGGAGCGCAGTGGCACAATCTTGGCTCACTGCAACCTCCGCCTCCTGGGTTCAAGCAATTCTCCTGCCTCAGGCTCCAGAGTAGCTGGGATTACAGGTGCCCGCCACCATACCTGGCTAATTTTTGTATCTTTGTTAGAGACGGGGTTTCACCATGTTGGCCAGGCTAGTCTCAAACTCCTGACCCCATGATCTGGCCGCCTCAGCCTCCCAAAATGTTGGGATTACAGGCGTGAGCGACCATGCCCGGCCCCTGCTTTCTTCTAGTACTTTCATGGTTTTGTTTCTTATATTTAGAGCTCTGATCTTCATGTGTACGTGTGTGTGCCTCTGTGTGTGTGTGTGGATGTGTGTGTGAATGTGTGTGTGTTTGGTGTAAGGAATGGATCTAATTTCATCTTTCTCCAAATGGCTACCAGTTGTCTCAATACCATGTATTTGAAAAATCCACCTTTGCTCTAGTAATTTGAAATGTTCCGTTTATCACACTCTAAGTTTCCATATGCAGTTAAGATCTAGACTTTTATTCCACTCCCATTGGTCTGTTTATCTATTTATATGCCAATACCACACTACTTTAATTACAGAGGTTTTGTAGTATGTTTTACAACCTAAGAAGGCTAATCACTTTCACAGTTCCTCCTTTTCAGAGCTTCCTTAGCTATTCTTGCTTATTTATTTTTCTATAAGAATGTTGTTACCACTTGCCTACCTCCAGAAAAATAAAAGCTTATTTTAAAAACTATGATTGCATTATATTTATAACTAAACTCAGGGAGAACTCACATCATTATGATGTTGAAATGTCCTATTCAAGAACAAGGAAGGTCTTTTGCTTAGGAATTCATTAAAATTTGTATTAGAATTTTAAATTAATTAGAACTCTAAGTCCAGTTGAATTAACATGGTATGATTAAACCCAAGGGTATCATATTAGAGGAATTATGATCACCATGTGGACACATATGCACATCATA
Organism: Homo sapiens; assembly: GCF_000001405.40. Classification (NCBI taxonomy): domain Eukaryota; kingdom Metazoa; phylum Chordata; class Mammalia; order Primates; family Hominidae; genus Homo; species Homo sapiens. The sequence goes on from NW_018654717.1 coordinate 3,886,977, forward strand.
TTCTCTCCCAAATGCAAGTTTACAGAATACACACAAACTCTAATGTATTTCCTTTGAACAGGATCTTGTAGAAGAACTTAAAATTGCCCATTGAGCTATAAACATTTAACTTTCCTTCCAAAATGAAATAAAAATAACACAGGAGGCATGACCTTTTGCAAAATATGTGATTTGAAAAGCTCATTAAAAATGCAGGATGTTATTCTGATCCTACAAACATTGACCTCAGATGAAGGAAAGGTTCTTCAAAACAGATAGAAAGATCAGAGCTGAATTGCTGATGACCTAATGCAGAATAGTTTCATTCCTGCATATGGAGGTTAGCAACTCTAAGTTATTATTATATATAAAAACTTGTCATTTGTGTGAGAGAAGTACCTCCTTGCTCACAAAATCTGTTTTTTACTCTTGTGGTATGACTCATGAAAAGAATTTTAGAAAGAGCTTATTTTTGAACTTACCTTTGAAATTATTGTCATTCAATACTGATTCACTATTGTGCTTGTGGCCATTTGATAAACTGCCACATAACCACAGGGATGCTGGGAAGACCAGGTGGGCCTCACTGTCGCCAGGAGACAGAGGTCACCGAGACAGTAAGTTCTTCTACCACGGATCATTAGGCACAAAAACAAGCCATGCATAAAGCTCATTGTTTCAAAGGGCTTGACCACAAAGGAGTGAGCTCTTAAAATGTTGAATGTCTAAACATTAAAATACGATACCAAAAGCCCTGTGACATCCAGAAGGCTGTGGACTTTTGGTTTTGAATTTATGAGCTGTATTCATTTCTCCCCTCAATGTGATTTCCTGGGCAATTGCCTTACCCACTCATTTCTCTCATGAAATGTTACTTGCTATTTGTATTTCTTTCACTTACTCTTTGCTCTTTAGCCCAGTGTTTGAAATGTTGGATTCTATAGTCAGACATATATGGATTGAAACGCTCTCTGCCATGGTCCTGGCTGTGTCCCTGGGTGAAGAACTTAACATTTCTTGTGGCTTCGGTTCCTCTATTGCAAAATTGGGACTATATTGGTAGTGACTTATGGAGTTAATGTGCAGATTAAATTAGATAACATATACAAAGAGTAGTCCAAAGTGTTTGCTATGTTGGCAGTGAAGTCCAATAGATACAGCTGTTATTGTTATTTAATCTTTTGTTTGTTATTTAAAAATTTTTCAGTTACACAAATAATTAGAGAAAATTTAGAAAATTTGAGGAAAACAATAAACAATAATCCTATTCACCAAAACAATCACTTCTGTCATTATTGTATTGCTATTCATTCTTTTTAAAACAATGTTTTTTGAATTCTGTTTTCATCACTTGGCATCTTTACATTGTCCTTTAAAAAAAATTGAGACAGGGTCTTCCTCTGTCATTCAGGCTGGAGTGTGATGGCGTGACCACAGCTCACTGTAACCTCTGACCTCCTGGGCCCAAGTGATCCTTTTGCCTCAGGCTTCCAAGTAGCTGGGACTACAGGTGTGCACTACCACGCCTGGCTAATTTTTCCTTTTTCTTTTTTGTACAGACAGAGTCTCACTATGTTGCCCAGGATAGTCTCAAACTCCTGGGCTCAAGCAATCCTCCCACCTCAGGCTCCCAAAGTGCTGGGATTACAGGTGTGAGCCACCACACCCAGCCTACATTCTACATTTTATGCTACAAAACAGTCTTTGTAATTATTTTTAATGACTACATGATAATTTTATTAAGAAGGTGGACACTAATTTACTTGTTGGCTGATATACTAATGAATATTTTGGTGATTTTAATTTTTTTCTGTTAGTAATATTTCTGTGCAATGATAAGTATATTACATAGATTTATTCCTCTATAATTGTATTTTTCTCTGGGATATACTTATAGAATTGAAATTATTGAGTCAAGGATAGACACTTTTCATGGCTCTTAACACATATTATAAATCATTTTACTAAAAGTATTATTTCAGTTTGCCATGTCAGCAGCAAAAGTTAATTTGGAATAGTTTTTTTTAATGATGAAAGGATTTTTTTGTTTCTTAAATGTTTGCAATAATTTAATACTGAAGGCATTGTGGCTTGAAATATTCTATTGCGCTTAGCCCTCTGATAACATTTCTTATTTTTCTCCTGGTTATTTGCTTAGTCTGCTGGAGCACAGATCCCTGGCTGGGGCCCAGTATCCATTCTTCTCTTCTCCTTGGCAGTAGAATTTTGGATGTTTAGCTTACATATAGCCAATGAATTAAGACTACACTTTCCAGCTTCCTTTGCAGCTATGTGTAGCGATGTGAATCAGTATTGGTGAATGAAGAGTGTATTCGTATCTAGTAATAATATTATCACAATAGCAGCTTAAACAAAACCTATTCATTATCTCCACTTCTGTGGGTCAAGATTCTGGACTTACATAACTATTCTCTGCTTCAGCCTCTGTCTTAAAGCTGCAATCAAGGTGGCAGTTAGGTCTGGGGTCTCATCTGAGGTTGGACTGGGGAAGAATCCACTTTCAAGCTCAGATGGTTGTTGGCAGGATTCAGTTCCTTGTGAACTGTCAGATTGAGGGTCTCTGACCTTTGCTAGATGCTGACTAGAAGCTATGCTTGGTTCCTTGTTACCTGGGCTTCTTCATATATGTCAGCTAAGGTCATCTAAGCCAGCAAGGGAGAGAATTGTCACATCTCATCACCTTTAGCAGATCCTTTGTTAGAAACCAATCACAGGTCCTGCCCACACTACAGGGGACAGGATTACAGAAAGGTATTTGGGATATTTGAGAACCATCTTTGAGTCTGTCTACCACAGGGTGGATGCAAAAGTGATATTCGTAACTTCTGGATATCATCTTTAGAAGAAGAATTTGTGCCTTTTTTCTTACTTGCTAAAATAAAAAGGTGATGGCTGAAGACTCCCCAGCCATTTTGTGTCATGAGGTGGGAACCTCTTGCTGAGGATGGCAGAGCAACAAAATAACAGAGTTTAGGAGTCCCACAGTAGCTGGACTAAACTTCACTGTTATTTTGGATTTTCTGTCATTTGAAGCCAAAATGAATCCTAATGGATAGAGAATTTATTGTGCCAGTTTTAATCATTTTATATGTTTAGAAAATTATTCTAGTGAGATTTTGTCAAGTATTATTATGTACTTTTAAATTACCAGCTTATATTTTAAAATCTTGGCATCTGATATAGTACTATATTAATTATCTTTTTTGTTCATTACATTTTGTCTGACGTTTATTAATTATACAATTATTTTCAATGACCCAGCATGTGGTTTATTCTTTTTTCTTTTTTTTTTTTTTTTTTCTGAGATGGAGTCTTCCTCTGGAGTGCAGTGGTGCGATCTTGGCTCACTGCAAGCTCCACCTCCGGGGTTCACGCCATTATCCTGCCTCAGCCTCCCGAGTAGCTGGGACTACAGGCGCCCGACACCATGCCCAGCTAAATTTTTTTTTGTATTTTTAGTAGAGACGGGGTTCACCATGTAGCCAGGATGGTCTCGATCTCCTGACCTCGTGATCCACCCCTCCTTTGCCTCCCAAAGCACTGGGATTACAGGTGTGACCTACCGCGCCCGGCTGCATGTGGTTTATTTTCTAATGTGTGTTTGAATGAATGCAATATAGTACAAAGAGCAGACTGAAGTGGATAGTGGAATTAGAGGAATGTATGAAGTCATACTGACTTGAGCTCAAATTTCTTTCACAACTTACGAGCTATGAGGCCTCAGACAAGCTCCCCAACCTTGCTGAGACTAGTATTCTCATCTGCAAAATGGAATAGTAGTAATACCATATTTGAAATCTTGTAGGGATTAGAGAATGCATATAAGAGGACTATAAACATATTAGGCACTCATTATAAGAAAGTTATTATTATTTCTTCTTTTAATTATTTCCTTCCTTGGGACTCTTTTCTCCCCTGTAATTTTATCCTTATAGCTTAGCATGCTTTTTCTTTTTTTAATTAAACAATTAAAGTTTATGAATTTGTTTCTCAATCCTGCTTAGCCTCATTTCATGCTTTGATAAGTACTCATTATTTTCTAAATGACGTATTACAGCCATTTCTCAGTATCTGAATGATATTGGTTCCAGGAGCCCACTGCAGATGCCAAAATTTGTGGATGCTCAAGTCCCTGATATAAAATGGTATAGTATTATATACTACCTACATATATTCTCCCATATGCTTTTTTTTTTTTTTTTTTTTGAGACAGTGTCTCACTCTGTCAACCAGGCTGCAATACAGTGGCACGATCTCAGTTCACTGCAACCTTCTCCTCCCAGGTTCAAGCAATTCTCCTGCCTCAGCCTCCTGAGTAGCTGGGATTCCAGGTGCGTGCCATCATGCTCTGCTAGGTTTTTTTGTATTTTTAATACAGAAAGAGTTTCACCATGTTGGCCAGGCTGGGCTCGAACTCCTGACCTCAGGTGATCTGCCCGCCTTGGCCTCCCAAAATGCTAGGATTACAGGCATGAGCTACCGCGCCTGGCCCCATATACTTCAAATCGTTTCTAGATTACTTATAATACCCAGCACAATGTAAATGGTTATTATATTGTTTAGGGAATAATGATAAGAAAAAAAGTCTATACATGTTAGTTATAGGCCTAACTACATAGTATAAATCAGCAACAACATAAACTTTCCTGGAATTTTTTCTGAATATTTTTGATTTACAGTTGGTCGAATCTGCAGATGTGGAACCCATGGATAGCGAGGGCTGACTGTTCTCTATTATTGATCTCCTCCTTTGTCTAGTTATTAGAATACTTCTTTATTTTTTTAGATGAAGTCTCATTCTTGTCAACTAGGCTGGAGTGCAATGGCGCAATCTTGGCTCACTGCAAACTCTGCCTCCCAGGTTCAAGCAATTCTCCTGCCTCAGCCTCCCGAGTAGCTGGGATTACAGTTGCGTGCCCCCAGGCTCAACTAATTTTTGTATTTTTAGTAGAGACGGGGTTGCACCATGTGGGCCAGGCTTGTCTCGAACTCCTGACCTCAGGTGATCCACCCGACTCGGCCTCCCAAAGTGCTGGGATTACAGGCTTGAGCCACTATGCCTGGCCTAGAATACTTCTAAAAAAATTCCAAATATTTAGGGGTAATTTGGGTTATAATTTAAATAAACTACTTTTAGTTTTATTGCATTGTGATTAGGGAATGTGGCCTACCCAATTTCTGTTTTTGTGAATTTATTAAGATTTTCTTTATTTCTGACTACATGATTCATAGTTGGTAAATGTTCTATGGAGCTCTCAGAAAGAGAAGATTTCCTTTTTTTTTTTTTTTTGAGACAGAGTCTCGCTCTGTCGCCCAGGCTGGAGTGTAGTGGCACGATCTCGGCTCACTGCAAACTCTGCCCCCTGGGTTCATGCTATTCTCTTGCCTCAGCCTCCCGAGTGGCTGGGACTACAGGCGCCCGCCACCATGCCCAGCTAATTTTTTGTATTTTTAGTAGAGATGGGGTTTCACCATGTTAGCCAGGATGGTCTTGATCTCCTGACCTCATGATCCGCCCACCTTGGCCTCCCAAAGCGCTGGGATTACAGGCATGAGCCACCATGTCCGGCCAAGAAGATTTATTTTCTGTAGAATATAGTAGTATCAGGGGCCTCAGCTAGATCGATATTCAGGTTCAATGATGCCGGAGTGCGAGTTGGACAACCTCCTGGGAAACCAGCCATAGGCCAGATGTGGCAAGAAGCCATGTAAGCGGCTGGGCGCTGTGCCTCACACCTGTAATCCCAGCACTTTGGGAGGCCAAGGCGGGCAGATCACCTGAGGTCAGGAGTTCGAGACCAGCCTGACCAGTATGATGAAACCCCATCTGTACTAAAAATACAAAAATTAGTCGGGCATGGTGGTGGGCACCTGTAATCCCAGCTACTTGGGAGGCTGAGACAGAAGAATCACTTGAACCTGGGAGGCAGAGGTTGCAGTAAGCCGAGACCGAGATCACGCCACTGCACTCCAGCCTGGGCAACAAGAGCGAAACTCTGTCTCATAAAAAAAAAAAAAAAAAAAGAAAAAAAAAAAAAAGAAACCATGTGGGCAACAACTCAAAATCTGTCCAAACTGCGATTGAAGCAGATACAGGCACAGTTAGTGAACTAGGATGCTGGGGAGTCCATTCGGATTCCTGGGTGGAATTAGACAGTTAAGCAATAAATTGGCTGGGGAACTGGTCTTTAGAGCAAGGCTGATGTGCCCTGGGAGCTTCCTCCTTAGCTCCGGGATCTAGGTAGCAGAAGTGATAAAATTGTCCCCATTGCCTAGGAGATGCTGCTGCTTTCTTTCCTCGTCTCTCCCCACCAGGAAGAGAAGCTCAGGGGTGGCCCCCTAATACAACAGGTGGATACGGTAGTTACAGAAATCAGTGACGTTATAGGAGAACACTGGCATGAATTGTATGCCAGGCAAGTCCTCTCTGCTGTCAGTGGAGAGGCCTGAGTAATGGCCCTTGGCAGAGGAAGGCAAGGGCAGATGACGGGAGTCTGCTGCTGCTGCAATCAGAGCTGATGTACATTGGGCATCCACACTGGAGCAGACACTGTTACAGGGCTTTCTATGCATTATCACAGACAGCTGTTCCATTACCCCATTTTACTCATGAGGAAAGTGAGGTTCAGAGAAACAAAATATTTCCTTTTATTAAGTGAACAGAAGAGTCAAGAAGTGAACCTGTTTGTGTGATTCCAGTGCTTTACCCTTTATGCTAGATGGCTTTTTTCCCCAAAGATCCAGTGACCAGCTATTAAAGGACCACATCCAAGATCCTAGCCTTGGCAAGGTTATAATAGATACATATAAATACAGATTACTTTTTAAAATTATATTGCTCAAATATATTATCAAGCTTGAGGGGCATCTGTTTGATCTGTCAGAGACTGAAATGGCTCATGAAAACTGTATTTCTGCAGTATCTTTTTCATTCTAATGGTTTTAGCTCTAGATCTTTTGTTGCTGCTGTCGTTGAGATGTGGCAGTTTGCCATTGTTACGACTTCCATTTTTTTCTTGCATGTTTATAGAAGTACTGCTTTACATGCTGATTATACAACTCATATTGAAAGTACACATGCATTCACATACACTTCCAAAGGTTTTTCAGCACTCTACCACCCCTGTAGTTCCTGGGCGATCCATCACAGTTGCATAGATTCTTGCTTAACTGTGATATGATCATGGTACGGTGATCCTAAGCCATCTTATAATCTATATCAAAAGCATCTTATGTCGATATTTTCTCTTCCCAGATCCAAAAGTGAAAGGATTCATATTTCTCTACACTACCTCTGCTATGTCTTAAAATGCAGATACTTATTCAATGTCTCTAAATGCCTCATTGGTCCACAGATTAATTTTTAATGATTTAAACATACTCTTTTTTTTTTTTTTTTTGAGACAGAGTCTCGCTCTGTCACCCAAGCTGGAATGCAGTGGCACGATCTTGGCTCACTGCAAGCTCCGCCTCCTGAGTTCACGCTATTAACCTGCCTCAGCCTCCTGAGTAGCTGGGACTACAGGCGCCCATCACCACGCTCAGCTAAATTTTTTTGAATTTTTAGTAGAGATGGGGTTTCACTGTGTTAGCCAGGATGGTCTCGATCTCCTGACCTCGTGATTTGCCCTCCTCGGCCTCCCAAAGTGTTGGGATTACAGGCGTGAACTACTGTGCCCGGCCCAAACAAACTTTTCAGTAGTTCCTGGTTAAGTAAATTATCACTTTTTTGCAATAAAGAGACCATTGGGTCATTTTGTGTGTGGACATTCCAGAGGATGTTCAAGGGTGTCCCAGATCCAGATGTAGTTTTATATTCCCTAAAACATGCATACTAAAATGTATTTATCACCTTCAGACATATAATGATGGAGAATCTTTGAATACCTGGTACAATGCTCAGAAAAAAAAAAATCAATCCTGCTAAGCGACTGCACAAGTTAAAATGTCTAAAGCACCACACCAGCTTCCAAAAGGCAATTGGATGATAATCCACAAAGTCTGTTATTGTTATTGCATGATCATCTTCATTTTCCAAGAAGCTTTCAAGTCCCTTCTACACTAAGACTAATATATGAAACAGTGATTGAATCTGGATTTGGACAGTGTCATTCTGATCTTAAAGAATCTGAAGCTCCTTGTAAAGTAGCTGGCTCTCTGTCTGCAGGAATGACCTTCTGTCCTCCAGTGCCTCCCTTATCCAAGATGCCATAAGTATAACACTTCTGGTCATTGTAACTATTGGACTTTGTGACATAAGTTGTTGATTTATTAGTCAGCAGGGATTTGCATACTTTGGGCACATGAATTTTCCTGTGGTTTAGATTTGTTATTTTTAGATAAATATCCCCTTGAACTGAGGTAAGATGTATGAAGGCAAGAGGCTGATGCTGAGATGCAAGATTGCCTTGTCTGACTTGAAAAGAGGATGCAAAATATGTATTTTCTGTAGACTGGCTTGACTTCAAAAATTGTGTTTCAGGTCATTTAAAATTTCTTATTTCAAAATTTAGAAAAGGTAAGAACAGATTGCCACAAAACATGGAGCACTGAGATATGAATTGCCTGCTGTCCAGCCCGTCATGACTTCCTCATCATGGATGAGACAATCACATGTTAACATTCTTTTCAACTATTTATTTATTTATTTATTTGAGACAGAGTCTCACTCTGTTGCCCAGACTGTAGTGCAATGGCATGATCTCAGCTCACTGCAACCTCCGCCTCTAGGGTTCAAGTGATTCTCCTGCCTCAGCCTCCTGAGTACCTGGGATTACAGGGGTCCACCACCTTAGCGCCCAGCTAATTTTTGTATTTTTAATAGAGACGAGGTTTCACCGTGTTGGTCAGGCTGGTCTCGAACTCCTGACCTCAGGTTTATTACACGGGTATATTGCATGATGCTGAGGTTTAGGGTATCAATGATCCCATTACCCAGGCAGTGAGCATATTACCCAGTAGTTTTTCAGCCCATGTCCCCCTCCTCCCTCTCCCCAGTAGTCCCCAATATCAGTTGTTCCCATCTTTATGTCCATGTGTGCCCAGAGCTTCACTTCCACTTATAAGTGAGAACATGTAGTATTTGTTTTTCTGTCCCTGCATTAATTTGCTTAGGAAAATAGCCTCCAGCTACATCTGCGTAGCTGCAAAGGGCATGATTTCATTATTTTTTAGGGCTGTGTGGCATTTCTTTCTTTCTTTTTTTTTTTGTTTGAGACAGAGTCTTGCTGTTGCCCAGGCTGGAGTGCATTGGTGCGATCTCGGCTCACTGCAAGCTCCACCTCCCGGGTTCACGCCATCCTCCTACCTCAGCCTCCTGAGTAGCTGGGACTACAGGCACATGCCACCATGCCTGGCTAATTTTTTGTATTTGTAGTAGAGACGGGGTTTCACCGTGTTAGCCAGGATGGTCTTGATCTCCTGACCTTGTGATCTGCTCACCTCGGCCTCCCAAAGGGCTGGGATTACAGGCGTGAGCCACCGCGCCCAGCCAGGGCTGCATAGCATTTCATGGAGTATGTGTACTACATTTCCTTTGTCCAAGCCACCATCAATGGGCACCTAGGTTGATTCTATGTCTTTGCTAGACAATTACACTTTTGATACCAAGAGTGAGCGACTTGAGATGAGAACCTCCATTGCAGAATTCTAGAAGTTATTTGTATTTATTCATGTTGCGGGAAGATGCTACTTCTCATTTCTCAGGTAAGGCAAACTTTGACAAGGATCCTTCTAAGGTAAGGCAGAACTTTCCAGGCTTGTTGAGCTGAGATCAAATTCTTTATTCCCCAAAGTGGGAGGATGCAGCTCCTTCCAACTCATGACAGATATCTTCATCTGTTTAACAGGTAGAGTCAGAACCCTGGGCTCCCACTTAGACAATGAGGTATATATGGTGGATCTTGAGCACCGTTTGCTTGCTTTCTTTGCTGCTCTATTTCCATCAGTGAATGGAATATTCCTTGCAACATCTAGGTTATGTACTAGTAGGGTATCTAAATTAAATGAAGGCAGTGAGTGATTCATGTACATTGAGAGTCTTGCCTAAATGGGCAAGTAGATGACAAGGCTGGAGAAGATCAGAGGCTCTTCCTTGGCCTATCTTCACTTTTTGTATAACTTTTAGATTTAGTAAGTCTCACTGGTCTAGAATAATTAGGACATAGTCTAGATCTTCCATATGCCTTCACCAACGTTGGACTTTTCTTTTTTCTTTTTTTTTTTGAGACAGTCTCACTCTGTTGTCCAGGCTGGAGTACAGTGGTGCGATCTCGGCTCACTGCAAGCTCTGCCTCCCAGATTCAAGCCATTCTCCTGCCTCAGCCTCCCAGCTAGCTGGGACTACAGGCGCCCACCACCACGCCTGGCTAATTTTTTTGTATTTTTAGTAGAAACAGGGTTTCATCATGTTAGCCAGGATGGTCTTGCTCTCCTGACCTTGTGATCTGTCCTCCTCGGCCTCCCAAAGTGCTGGGATTACAGGCATGAGCCACCACGCCCGGCCAATGTTGGACTTTTCTTACTGGTTAACCTTATCATCCCATGTCTAGTGTAATCAGTGCTTGGTGTGCCACTTGTCAAAGGACTACTCATGTTATTCATCTTCATCACAATCTCTTCACCTAAATCGTTCTCAGCAGACAGTGTTGAAATGCTTGGTATCACCTTCTTCCTCCTCTTCTTATTATTTTATGTATTGTTCACCCTCAGCAACCAAAAGAAAGATGAATAAAATCCTTTTGCAACATCAGTTTTGTTTTTCAAAGGGTTTCACTGAAAAGCTGCTGTTCATATGTTGAAGCCTCTTAGAATTTTGCTCTACAAAATCTCATTTATAGAATTATCAAATTTATAGAATGAAATTACTTCTTTTAACACTTCATTCACCTTTTTCCCCTGCCTGGAATGCCTATTGACATCTGCCTGATAAACTTGTGCTTCAAGGACCATTTAACTATCTTCTCCCAGCAAGCCCTTTAAAGAAACTCCCTTTCCTCTACTCAGCTCTTTTTTTTTTTTTTTTTTTTCACTCTGTCACCTAGGCTGGAGTACAGTGGCGCCATCTCAGCTCACTGGCTCACTACAACCTCCGCCTCCTGGGTTCAAACCATTCTCCTGCCTCAGCCTCCCAAGTAGCTGGGATTACAAGTGCCTGCCACATGCCTGGCTAATGTTTCTACTTTTAGTAGAGACAGAGTTTCACTGTATTGGCCTGGCTGGTCTCAAACTTCTGACCTCAGGTGATTCGCCTGACTCAGCCTCCCAAAGTGCTGGAATTACAGGCATGAGCCACTGCACCCAGCCGTACTCAGCTCTTCTCTACTGCTATAGAACCTCTGCTTTTGGAAGCCTTTTTTTTCCTCTGTGTTTTAGCATATTTTGTACATATCATTTCTGTGGTACATATAATATTATATCACAGTTGATTATTCCACAGCCCAGATTCAGAACTTCTAGGGACCATGTCTTATTCTCTCTGTCATCATAACCTCGTTCAGAATCTGGTGTACTTAGCATCTGCTCACAGATGTGTGCTGAGTGAGCACATGCCTGTGCAGCATGGGGCTTTTTCACCCTGAGCATGAACTGTGATTTTTTTACCCTGTGACTGTCTCCAGGTATCTATTTGCATGAGTGCATGATAAGCTTTAAGGAAAAAGACGAGACCAAAGTCAGGCATGGAAGATTGGGAAGACAGTAAGACGTCTGTTCTGTAAGACCTAGGCTTGATCCCTTTTAAGGAGAGGGGCTTTGGCCAATAATGAAAGAGCTGTTTCCTTGAAGATTTTGTAGGACTCTGGACACTGTCAGTGCTACCCTGGAACCCAGAAAGCACTGTGCAGTACAGGCCTGGGGAGAAGGGTGCCTTCCATTTCTCCACCATAACTGTCTGGTTCTGGGGGTGCAAAGATGCATTGAAAGAACTTCATGACAATTTGTTACCTTGAGGTACCAAAATACAGCTTTGCAAACTTGCAGAGACAGTGCTCTCAGAAGAAGAAATCTCATGGATTGCTGCAACACCAAAAATAATGGCAGTGACAAAGGCCGGGCTCTCTTGGAAGTGATCTGCAGGCAGCCAACATTTAAAACAAGGCCAGCCAGGAGGTTGAGGCTGTACTGAGCTATGATCTTGCCATTGCACTCTAGCCTCAGTGACAAAGCAAGACCTTGCCTCTAAAAAAATAAAATAAAATAAAATAGGCCAGGCGCAGTGGCTAACACCTGTGATCCTAGCACTGTGGGAGGCTGAGGCAGGTGGATCACCTGAGGTCAGGAGTTCAAGACCAGCCTGGCCAACACGGTGAAACCCTGACTCTACTAAAAATACAAAAATTAGCTGGGCATGGTGGCGGGCACCTATAATCCCAGCTACTCAGGAGGCTGAGGCAGGAGAATCGCTGGAATACAGGAGAGGGAGGCTGCAGTGAGCCGAGATGGTACCACTGCACTCCAGCCTGGAAGACAGAGCAAGACTCCATCTCAAAAAACAAACAAACAAAAACAAAAACAAGAAAACCAACAACAACAAAAAAATTGTTTTTAACTTAAAAAGAGACCAGAGGAGAGGACCGTGAGCACACAGGGCCCCTCAGAAAACTCCCAAGACAGATGGGAAGACTTGGGGACAGAGGTTAATGACCAGCCTTCTGCAGGTGGGGTCACCCCACCAGCACCACTGGATTTAAAGGGAACATAACCTAATTTGTACTGTCTGGTGTGGCCTACGAAAGCTTGGGTTACAACTGAATAACAGTTTCATCATTTTGAATAGGGGATCTACATAAGATGCTAAAAACCACATGCTTATTAGAATTATGTTTTGATTAAGTGCCTTTATAGACATGTTAAAACATTGATTAGGTGGCTCAGGGGAGGAGAAAGTTTCCCATTTCCTGAGCTTACCACCATGGAATCAATCATTTGAGTGGGCATTGAACATGGAGTGTTCACCTTGAAAGATGAAAGTCCACAAGAGAAATGTGTTTGACAGGAGGTGGAGGAAAGGGCGGCTGTCTGTCTGCCAGAGACTTCAAAAGGGAATTTACCTTGGTGATTTCACCGCAGTCTAAGGGCTGGCCCTTAGTTTTTCAGGTTCAGAAACTGAGAAAATTGGTTTTGTCAGCACACGGAGGTAAGATCGGTTTATCGGGCTCTCAGTCACACTCACCAAGTTCACAAGAGACGGGTGTGTAAATCAAAATGCCATTTTATTAATTTACGATGACAAGTAAAATCAGCCAAGAGATCCGACACACATCCTGTTTCAAGCACGTTCTCTCCCTGTGGTGCAATCTAGGTGGGAAGTCAAGTGATCATCAGAAGACAGCCTGGAGAGGCTAGAATCAGAGTGAGAAGAGGGCGCCGGCTGCCTGATTGGAAAGTTAACTGAAGCCGATGCTTCACTCTCCACCAAAGGGATAGGAATCTCCAGACAGGTCACCCACTCCCACACAGACCTGGACGTACATGACTCCCTCTTCCTCCTGGACACGGTTTTGTCCTGTGCTGGGCACACCTCTTGTACTAGACATGTTCTTTGTTCTGCAGTGTCAATTCCATGGATTATGTTACAGCCCAGTTCTTGATCTTCTTTGACCTTGCCTCCACCCTGCCTACCAAGTGAAGCCAGGAAATAGACAACTGTCCCAGAGCGACCCTAACTGAGCTTCAGGGTCCTCAGTGGCTATCATGTTCTGCTGAAGTTAGGAAATGTCATGTGATCACGTGTGATCTGTGTGTAAACCTAACAACCTCCCCACCCCCAACCCGGGCTTCGCCTGCCAATCTTCCAGGCAGGTTGAGTGGTGCAGAGGCTGATGAATTGATAATGATGGGTGTTCAATACCTTTATCTCAGAACAGGGGCTGCCTCTTCTCTGTAAACCATTTGCTACCTTAATTCAACCCAGAGTAAGCTGTGGTTGGGAGCTGAATTGATGAGAGCACTGCTCAAGTCCTAGAATTACAGGCTCATTCCCTGCATTGGCACTCAGACATGATACCTGAAATGCTCAGGATGTTAGCTGACATCTTTGTGAAAAGGAAAAAAGTATCCTAAAGGTAACCTCTTTGGTTTGGTTTGTGGGGAAAGAAATCTTCCCTGCCTTCATAGCTTTCAGTGCTGCCCGTTTGTTCTAATGTGTTCTGACTTCCCCAGCTCAGCACTTCCTTAGACACCTCCCTCACCAACAGGATGGCCGTGTCAGCCTCCACTGGGCTTAAATTATATGAATAGACAGCAATGCAGAGAGCTTGTCATGTGCTAGACTCTCTTTGCAGCACTTTACATATTAATTCCTTGAACTTTCATAATAATCCTTTGATGTTTGGCACTATGATTTCCTTCATATTACAGATGAGGAGAGGAGACATGGAAATTAAGTAACTTGCCCAAGGTCACTAATTAATGAGTAGCAGGGCCAGAATCTAACACCGTCAGCCCACCTTCCTATCCACAGTGGTAAGCAGAGCTGAAAGATTTCTGTACATGTATTCAATTCTCCCCGTATTAAATTTTAGCTGATGATGCTAAAGTTGCCATCTGGGTTTCCAGGAATCTGCTTGAAAACTCGGGTATATTGGCCAGGCGTGGTGGTTCATGCCTGTAATCCCAGCACTTTGGGAGGCCAAGGCGGGTGGATCACGAGGTCAGGAGATCAAGACCATCCTGGCTAACATGGTGAAACCCCATCTCTACTGAAAATACAAAAAAAAATAGCTGGCTGTGGTGGCGGGTGCCTGTAGTCCCAGCTACTTGGGAGGCTGAGGCAGGAGAATGGCGTGAACATGGAAGGCGGAGCTTGCAGTGAGCCAAGATGGCGCCACTCTGCTCCAGCCTGGGCAACAGAGAGAGACTCCATCTCAAAAAAAAAAAAAAAAAAGAAAGAAAGAAAGAAAGAAAATCAGGGCATATTAACAACATATATTTGCTTCTGCTGTTTGTCCATTCTTGGATAAAGCATTAATCTCCCTGGAAGTCAGTTTGTTTAAACTCAGGGGAGTAGACTACAGAATGTCTAAGCCCCCTTCTAGTTTTGACTTTCTGAGTTTACTACTGTGGTCACCATTGCCCCACTACTACTACTTTGTATTTGCATGGAGTTTAACATTGTGCATAAAAATGGAGTTTAACAATGTACATAATAATGTACATACCTACATTTTATTTTATCATTAAATGGCCACTGAGCTAAAAAGTAATTTTTATTTACTTATCTATTTCCAGAGATATCTGGTATAGTGCTGTGCATAGTAGGTACTTCTCATTTGCTTACTAACTAACTTGAACTGATTCTCACTATCATCCTGTAAGATGGGCATGGAACATTATTATCTTCACTGTACAGATGAACAAACTAATGATTAGGGGGTTTAATAAGTGACCTAAAATCATAGAGTTCCTTTTAAGCTCTCCTTTATTTCCTTTTATCCATCCCTCACTGGCATGGTAAATGCACCTGTCCTCCTACAGAAACAAATTCTCAAGCAATAAACAACAGTACAGATTTTATTTCCTAGGCAGCTGTCTGCCAGAGAAACAAGAAGATTATGCCTGGCATAATGTGTAACTTTTCTAGCTACTCATTTAACAGAACAAATTGTCCTAAGGTGGTTTTTGTGGAGCTATGAAGGGACTGAATGCTGTGAGTACGTGTCATTTTCAAATTGCATAATTGGCAGCTAAAGATGAACTTGTGATAGCATTTTGTTTACTGAATTAGAACTTCTCAGTGTTGAACAATGATTCATGCAAGATCGCCCAGGAGCTTTGTGCAATAAAAAGATAGCTCAAGTGACTCAGACTTCAACATCTTACAGTGTGTGTATGTGACTCCTTTTTTGTTATGGGGTAAAGTAGTCCAAACTTCTGCAAACCACAAATCTAATAGAGATCAAAACAGCAAGTTAAAAATTGGATCCATACTTTGGTTAAACAGGGTGTTATATAGATTCATTAATGACTTTTGCCACCAAAATTTTTCCAAAGAGATACTCTGCACATGGAGGATAAGAGCACTAAATATCTTAAGATCATCCTGAAGTTTAATTCCCTGCGGTTCTGGTCTCTGGGAACTGTTTAGCTCTTCCAAGCTTCACATTCTCCAAACTTTCAAAGGGATGTCAGCCTCAGATGGGATGATCCTCTGGGAAAACAGAGCTCCATAAATACATCAAGTCTAATTATCAGCATGAAAAATCCTTTCTGAGGATGCCTGGTGGTAGTCAGGATCAGAACACAGGAGGAAAGGAAAGGGCGGAAAGAGATGAGAGATGAAAGAATCATGTTAGCTGGAACGTGGCCCATGGCCCATCCAAACGAAAAGCGTAGACATTTATGTTTGGCTATTAGTTATCTGTGTGCTTCCTCTTCTTCCTTGTGAAATGGCTGGACTCCTCTGCAACTGCTGTGCTTTCTCTCCTTCTTTCTTTTCTCTTCTTTTTTTTTTTTTTTTTTTTTTTTGAGATGGAGTCTGGCTGTGTCACCCAGGCTGGAGTGCAGTGACGCAATCTCGGCTCACTGCAAGCTGTGACTCCCAGGTTCACGCCATTCTCCTGACTCAGCCTCCCGAGTAGCTGGGATTACAGGCGCCCGCCACCACCCCCGGCTAATTTTTTGTATTTTTAGTAGAGACGAGGTTTCACTGTGTTAGCCAGGATGGTCTCGATCTCCTGACCTCGTGACCGCCTGCCTTGGCCTCCCAAAGTGTTGGGATTACAGGCGTGAGCCACTGTGCCCGGCCAACTGCTGTGCTTTTTCAAAAATGCCTTTGAGGGGCAAGAAATAAATATCTAGACATAGTTTTAATGGGATATTCTTTATCCCGTTCACTCACAGAAGTTCCTATGCTCAGCTAATAGATTGTGAGCCACTTGAGGGCAGGGACATTTTGTTTGACATCTCTAGCTCCTTTTTTCTCTGAATTCCTTCTTACTCTCCACGATCAGGTTCATGTTGCTTCTTGAAGGAATCTTCAGCCGAGTTCTAAATAATTTTTTAATTAGAAAATTAGGTGTGGGGAGATCATCTGGGGAGGTTCCAAGATGGCCGAATAGGAACAGCTCCAGTCTACAGCTCCCAGCGTGAGCAACGCAGAAGATGGGTGATTTCTGCATTTCCAACTGAGGTACCAAGTTCATCTCACTGGGGCTCATTGGACAGTGGGGGCAGGACAGTAGGTGCAGCCCACTGAGCGTAAGCCAAAGCAGGGCGAGGCATCGCCTCACGTGGGAAGCTCAAGGGGTCAGGGAATTCCCTTTCCTAGCCAAGGGAAGGGGTGACAGACGGTACCTGGAAAATTGGGTCACTCCCACCCTAATACTACGCTTTTCCAATGGTCTTCACAAACAGTACACCAGGAGATTATATCCCGCACCTGGCTCGGAGGGTCCCACGCCCATGGAACCTCCCTCATTGCTAGCACAGCAGTCTGAGATAGAAATGCCAGGTGGCAGCAAGGCTGGGGGAGGAGCACCCGCCATTGCTGAGGCTTGAATAGGTAAACAAAGCCTCCAGGAAGCCCGAACTGGGTGGAGCCCACCGCAGCTCAAGGAGGCCTGCCTGCCTCTGTAGACTCCACCTCTGGGGGCAGGGCATAGCCAAACAAAAGGCAGCAGAAACCTCTGCAGACTTAAATGTCCCTGTCTGACAGCTTTGAAGAGAGTAGTGGTTCTCCCAGCATGGAGTTTGAGATCTGAGAACGCACAGACTGCTTTCTCAAGTGGGTCCCTGACCTCCGAGTAGCCCAACTGGGAGGCACTCCCCAGTAGGGGCAGACTGACACCTCACGTGGCCAGGTACCCCACTGAGACAAAGCTTCCAGAGGAACCATCAGGCAGAAACATTTGCTATTCAGCAATATTCATTTTTCTGCAGCCTCTGCTGCTGATACCCAGGAAAACAGGGTCTGGAGTGGACCTCCAGCAAACTCCATCAGACCTGCAGCTGAGGATCCTGACTGTTAGAAGGAAAACCAACAAACAGAAAGGACATCCACACCAAAACCCCATCTGTATGTCACCATCATCAAAGACCAAAGGCAGATAAAACCACAATGATAGGGAAAAAACAGAACAGAAAAGCTGAAAATTCTAAAAATCAGAGCACTTCTCCCCCTCCAAAGGAACGCAGCTCCTTGACAGCAACGGAACAAAGCTTCATGGAGAATGACTTTGACGAGTTGAGAGAAGAAGGCTTCAGACGATCAAACTTCTCCAAGCTAAAGGAGGAAGTTCGAACCCAACGCAAAGAAGTTAAAAACCTTGAAAAAAGATTAGACGAATGGCTAACTAGAATAACCAGTGTAGAGAAGTCCTTAAATGACCTGACTGAGCTGAAAAACATGGCACGAGAACTAACTGATGAATACATAAGCTTCGGTAACCGATTTGATCAACTGGAAGAAAGGGTATCAGTGACTGAAGATCAAATGAATGAAATGAAGGGAGAAGAGAAGTTTAGAGAAAAAAGAGTAAAAAGAAATGAACAAACCTCCAAAAAATATGAGACTATGTGTAAAGACCAAATCTACGTCTGATTGGTGTACCTGAAAGTGACGGGGAGAATGGAACCAAGTTGGAAAACACTCTGCAGGATAGTATCCAGGAGAACTTCCCCCACCTAGCAAGACAGGCTAATATTCAAATTCAGGAAATACAGAGAACACCACAAAGATACTCCTCGAGAAGAGCAACTCCAAGACACATAATTGTCAAAATCACCAAAGTTGAAATGAGGGAAAAAATGTTAAGGGCAGCCAGAGACAAAGGTCAGGTTACCCACAAAGGGAAACCCATCAGACTAACAGCTGATCTCTTGGCAGAAACTCTATAAGCCAGAAGACAGTGGGGGCCAATATTCAACATTCTTAAATAAAAGAATTTTCTACCCAGAATTTCATAACCAGCCAGACTAAGCTTCATAAGTCAAGGAGAAATAAAATCCTTTACAGACAAGCAAATGCTGAGAGATTTTGTCACCACCAGGCCTACCCTACAAGAGCTCCTGAAGGAAGCACTAAACATGGAAAGGAACAACCGGTACCAGCCACTGCAAAAACATGCCAAATTGTAAAGACCATCAAGGCTAGGAAGAAACTGCATCAACTAATGAGCAAAATAACCAGCTAACATCATAATGACAGGATCAAATTCACACATAACAATATTAACCTTAAATGTAAATGGGCTAAATGCTCCAATTAAAAGACACAGACTGGCAAATTGGATAAAGAGTCAAGACCCATCAGTGTGCTGTATTCAGGAGACCCATCTCACATGCAGAGACACACATAGGCTCAAAATAAAGGGATGGAGGAAGATCTACCAAGCAAATGGAAAATAAAAAAAGGCAGGGGTTGCAATCCTAGTCTTGGATAAAACAGACTTTAAACCAACCAAGATCAAAAGAGACAAGGCCATTACATAATGGTAAAGGGATCAATTCAACAAGAAGAGCTAACTATCTTAAATATATATGCACCTAATACAGGAGCACCCAGATTCATAAAGCAAGTCCTTAGAGACCTACAAAGAGACTTAGACTCCCACACAATAATAATGGGGGACTTTAACACCCCACTGTCAACATTAGACAGATCAACAAGACAGAAAGTTAACACAGATACCCAGGAATTGAACTCAGCTCTGCACCAAGTGGACCTAACAGACATCTACAGAACTCTCCACCCCATATTAACAGAGTATACATTCTTCTCAGCACCACATCGCACTTATTCCAAAAATGACCACATAGTTGGAAGTAAAGCACTCCTCAGCAAATGTAAAAGAACAGAAATTATAACAAACTGTCTCTCAGACCACAGTGCAATCAAACTAGAACACAGGATTAAGAAACTCACTCAAAACTACTCAACTACATGGAAACTGAACAACCTACTCCTGAATGACTACTAGGTACATAATGAAATGAAGGCAGAAATAAAGATGTTCTTTGAAACCAATGAGAACAAAGACACAACATACCAGAATCTCCGGGACACATTTAAACCAGTGTGTAGAGGGAAATTTATAGCACTAAATGCCCACAAGAGAAAGCAGGAAAGATCTAAAATTGACACCCTAACATCACAATTAAAAGAACTAGAGAAGCAAGAGCAAACACATTCAAAAGCTAGCAGAAGGTAAGAAATAACTAAGATCAGAGCAGAACTGAAGGAGATAGAGACACAAAAAACCCTTCGAAAAAATCAATGAATCCAGGAGCTGGTTTTTTGGAAAGATCAACAAAATTGATAGATTGCTAGCAAGACTAATAAAGAAGAAAAGAGAGAAGAATCAAATAGATGCAATAAAAAATGATAAAGGGCATACCACCACGGATCCCACGGAAATACAAACTACTATCAGAGAATACTATAAACACCTCTATGCAAATAAACTAGAAAATCTAGAAGAAATGGATAATTTCCTGGATACATACACCCTCCCAAGACTAAACCAGGAAGAACTTGAATCCCTGAATAGACCAATAACAGGCTCTGAAATTGAGGCAATAATTAATAGCTTACCAACCAAAACAAGTCCAGGACCAGATGGATTCACAGCTGAATTCTACCAGAGGTACAAGGAGGAGCTGGTACCATTCCTTCTGAAACTATTCCAATCAATAGAAAAAGAGGGAATCCTCCCTAACTCATTTTATGAGGCCAGCCTCATCCTGATACCAAAGCCTGGCAGAGACACAACAAAAAAAGAGAATTTTAGACCAATATCCCTGATGAACATCGATGCAAAAATCCTCAATAAAATACTGGCAAACCAAATCCAGCAGCACATCAAAAAGCTTATCCACCATGATAAAGTGGGCTTCATGCCTGGGATGCAAGCCTGCTTCAACATATGCAAATCAATAAACATAATCCAGCATATAAACAGAACCAAAGACAAAAACCACATGATTATCTCAATAGATACAGAAAAGGCCTTTGACAAAATTCAACAACCTTCATGCTACAAACTCTCAATAAATTCAGTATTGATGGGACGTATCTCAAAATAATAGGAGCTATTTATGACAAACCCACAGCCAATATCATACTGAATGGGCAAAAACTGGAAACATTCTCTTTGAAAACTGGCAGAAGACATTGATGCCCTCTCTCACCACTCCTATTCAACATAGTGTTGGAAGTTCTGGCCAGGGCAATCAGGCAGGAGAAAGAAATAAAGGCATTCAATTAGGAAAAGAGGAAGTCAAATTGTCCCTGTTTGCAGATGACATGACTGTATATTTAGATAACCCCATCGTCTCAGCCCAAAATCTCCTTAAGCTGATAAGCAACTTCAGCAGTCTCAGGATACAAAATCAATGTGCAAAAATCACAAGCATTCTTATACACCAATAACAGACAAATAGAGAGCCAAATCATGAGTGAACTCCCATTCACAATTGTTTCAAAGAGAATAAAATACCTAGGAATCCAACTTACAAGGAATGTGAAGGACCTCTTCAAGGAGAACTACAAACCACTGCTCAACCGAATAAAAGAGGATGCAAACAAATGGAAGAACATTCCATGCTCATGCGTAGGAAGAATCAATACCATGAAAATGGCCATACTGCACAAGGTAATTTATAGATTCAATGCCATCCCCATCAAGCTACCAATGACTTTCTTCACAGAATTGGAAACAACTACTTTAAAGTTCATATGGAACCAAAAGAGAGCCCACATTTCCAAGAGAATCCTAAGCCAAAAGAACAAAGCTGGAGGCATCACGCTACCTGACTTCAAACTATATACAAGGCTATAGTAAGCAAAACAGCATGGTACTGGTACCAAAACAGAGATATAGACCAATGGAACAGAACAGAGCCCTCAGAAATAATACCACGTATCTACAACCATCTGATCTTTGACAAACCTGAGAAAAAGAAGAAATGGGGAAATGATTCCCTATTTAATAAATGGTGCTGGGAAAACTGGCTAGCCATATGTAGAAAGCTGAAACTGGATCCCTTCCTTATACCTTAGACAAAAATTAATTCAAGATGGATTAAAGACTTACATATTAGACCTAAAACCATAAAAACCCTAGAAGAAAACCTAGGCAATACCATTCAGGACATAGGCATGGGCAAGGACTTCATGTCTAAAACACCAAAAGCAACGGCAACAAAAGCCAAAATTGACAAATGGGATCTAATTAAACTAAAGAGCTTCTGCACAGCAAAAGAAATTACCATCAGAATGAACAGGCAACATACAGAATGGGAGAAAATTTTTGCAATCTACTCATCTGAGAAAGGGCTAATATCAAGAATCTACAAAGAACTCAAACAAATTTACAAGAAAAAAACAAACAACCTCATCAAAAAGTGGGCAAAGGATATGAACAGACACTTCTCAAAAGCAGACATTTATGCAGCCAACAGACACATGAAAAAATGCTCATCATCACTGGCCATCAGAGAAAGGCAAATCAAAACCACAATGAGATACCATCTCACACCAGTTAGAATGGCGATCATTAAAAAGTCAGGAAACAACAGGTGTTGGAGAGGATGTGGAGAAATAGGAACACTTTTACACTGTTGGTGGGACTGTAAACTAGTTCAACCATTATGGAAGACAGTGTGGCGCTTCCTCAAGGATCTAGAACTAGAAATGTCATTTGACCCAGCCATCTCATTACTGAATATATACCCAAAGGATTATAAACCATGCTGCTATAAAGGCACATGCACACGTATGTTTATTGCGGCACTATTCACTATAGCAAAGACTTGGAACCAACCCAAATGTCCATCAACGATAGACTGGATTAAGAAAATCTGGCACATATACACGATGGAATACTATACAGCCATAAAGAAGGATGAGATCATGTCCTTTGTAGGGACATGGATGAAGCTGGAAACCATCATTCTCAGCAAACTATTGCAAGAACAAAAAACCAAACACCATATGTTCTCACTCCTAGGTGGGAATTTAACAATGAGAACACTTGGACACAGGAAGGGGAACATCACACACTGGGGCCTGTTGTGGGGTGGGAGAAGCGGGGAGGGAAAGCATTAGAAGATATACCTAATGTAAATGACGAGTTAATGGGTGCAGCACACCAACCAACATGGCACATATATACATATGTAACAAACCTGCACGTTGTGCACATGTACCCTAAAACTTAAAGTATAATAAAATAAAAATAAAAATAAGGTGTCAGTCAGGTGCAGTGGCCCATGCATACAATCCCAGTACTTTGAGAGGCTGAGGCAGGACGACTGCTTGAGCCCAGGAGTTCGAGACCAGGCTGGGCAACATAGGGAGACCCCGTCTCTACAAAATAGAAAATTAATGGGCAGGGTGGCCCTCACCTATAATCCCAGCTACTCAAGAGGCTGAGATGGGAGGAGATCACTTGAGCCTGGGAGGTTGAGGCTGCAGTGAGCCATGATTGCATTACTGCACTCCAGCTTGGGTGAAAGAGTGAAATCCCATCTCACAGAAAAAAAAGAAGAAGAAAGAAAATAATGTAATAATATGTCCTCCACAAATAACATTTCAGTTCACATGTTCAAGAGCTGCTGAAGGGTAATAAAACTAGGTATTTTATGGCTTTTGTTGCTATTGTGGGTTAGTTTTTCCCTTCACATTGTATCTGCTAATTAGTTATTTCTTATAGGAATGCTTATTATTTATTTATTTATTTATTTATTTTTTTATTTATTTATTATTTTTGAGACAGGGTCTTGTTCTATCCCCCAGGCTACATTGCAGTGGCATGATCACTGCTCACTCCAGCCTCAGCCTCCTGGGCTCAGGTGATCCTCCCACTTCCGGCTCTCAAGTAGCTGGGACTAAAGGTGTGTGACGCCATGCCCAGCTAGTTTTTGTATTTTTAGTAGAGACAGGGTTTGCCATGTTGCCCAGGCTGGTCTTGAACTTCTGAGCTCAAGCAATCCATCCACCTTGGCCTCCCAAAGTGCTGGTATTACAAGTGTGAAACACCGCGCCCAGCCTCTTGTAGGAATACTTACTGCATTGTTTAGGTATTGCTGCAAAAATGCCTCACAACAAACCACCCCAAAGCGTAGTGGATTATAACAACAATCTTGTATTCTCATGGCCTGTGGGTCACATGGAGGCCTGCTTTAAGCTGCAGGCCCATCTGGCTGAGGAAGTTCCTGCTCCGTGGGTCTTCGTCCTTGGGCCTGGGCTGAAGATCAACAGTTCCCCCAGAGGAGCTCTTTTCCTGGTAATGGCACAAGTACAAGAGGCCAAGCAGAAAAATCAAATGCCTTTTAGAGCCTGTTGTGGGTTGAACTGTGTGCCCCAAAAAGATAGGTTGAAGTCCTAATCTCTGCCCACCTCCTACCTGTGACTGTCACCTAATTTGGAATAGGGTCTTTGCAGATGTAATTAAGTTAGGGTGAAGTCATACTAGGGGTGGATCCAAATCCAGTGACTGGTGTCCTTATAAAACGAGGGAAATGTGGGCACAGACACGCAGGGAGAATGTCATGGGACAGTGAAAGCAGATGTTACAGATACACTGACAACCAAGGAGCACCATTGCCTGCAGCCACCAGAAGCCAGGAGGCAAATGTGGAACAGTCTCTCTCTGAGCCTGCAAGAAGAAACCAACCCTAGCAAAGGCTTTATTTTGGATTTCTGGCCTCCAAAACCACCATGAGAGAATATGTTTCTGGTTTTTTTGTTTCTGTGTTTTATTTTTGAGATGGAGTTTCCCTCCTTTTGCCCAGGCTGGAGTGCAATGGCACAATCTTAGCTCACTGCAACCTCCACCTCGCCGGATCAAGCGATTCTCCTGCCTCAGCCCTCCTGAGCAGCTGGGATTACAGGTGCCCACCACCAACTGGGCTAATTTTTTTTTTTTTTTTTTTTTGTATTTTTAGTAGAGGCGGGGCTTCACTGCGTTGGCCAGGCTGGTCTCGAACTCCTGACCTCAGATGATCCACTCACGTCAGCCTCCAGAATTGCTGGGACTACAGGCATGAGCCACTGCGCCGGCCCATTTATGTTGTTTTAAGCCACTAAATGTGTAGTGATTTGTGATGGCAGTCCCGGGAAACTAACACAGGATCTAAGCCATCACTTCTACCCACATTTCATTGGCCAAGCAAGACACATGGCTAAGCCCCAAATCAAGGCACAGAAAGAACATACTGAAGAAAATATTTTTTAAAAAATAAAAAATAATAATAAGAAAGAAAGAACATGCTGAACTATTATGAGGCACATGGATATAGAGAGGGGTGCAAAACTGGGGATAGTACTTTGATCCACCATACAAAAGATTCAGATTGGTGTTCTGAGGCATCTTTAGGCTGGACAGTAGAATCTAATGGCCAGTTACCTGGGTCTGATATTAAGAGAGAGTTGAGCTTGAATCCTTGTTCTAACACTTCCCAGCTGCATCATCTCAGGCAGATTATTTAACCTTCGAGCATCAGCTTATTTGTAAAATAAAAATAATACCTATCTTACAGGGCTCTTATTAATATTGATAGAGGAGTTAAAAAGGAATTATTTAGGCAGATAGTGAGGGTAAGGAAGTCCTCAGTAAGGTTTTCCTTTTAATGAAAAGCAGCCCCCACATCATTTTCTTTTCTAACAAAGAGCAGCCTGTAAAATCAAGCTGCAGACATAGACAAGCAAGCTGGAAGCTTGCATGGGTGAAAGCTGACAGCTGTGCCACGAGGAAAAGGCTGCCTGGGACTACGGATGTTCAAAATGGCGGCTCCACCTTCCCTTCTCCTTTACAGCCACGTGTACCACGTGTACAGTAGGGAGCAGACAACATGGCCTCAGCCAGGCAAAGACTCCATTTGCACAATAAGATTAGGATGGGGTGGCCAGCTTCCTCTTGTGCTATGTCAACCTCACACTTCTTCCAACCAATCTGTGAGCCCTATGTAAATCAGATACCACCTCCTCAAGCCTGTCTATAAAATCCAGTGCACTGAGCCACAGGCCAGAGGTCCCACTCAGGCACCCCTGTCTCTCTCACAGAAGAGAGAGCTCTTCTCCTTTCTCTATCTTATGCCTATTAAACCTCTGCTCCTAAACCTACTTCTTGTGTCTGCATCCTTGATTCCCTTGGTGTGAGATGATGAACTCCAGGTATTTATCCCAGACAACGATGCCACTTCAATATTACATGAATTTATATTTGTGGAGTGTTTATTTCAGTTGTGAACATACAATAGGGGCCAAAAAATGCTACCTCTTACCATGATTATTGCTACAATAATACAGCAGCAAAGGACTTAGAAATATAGGTAGTATTTTTCTACTGGGACTTTAGAGGTGAGAGGAAAACTGGCTTTGCCAAAGGGAATATTTAAATGTTGATTTATGAAGCACAGTTTAAGATATGTGAATGATCCATTGGGTGGGCCTGGCTTGCATCTCATGAAGAAAAGGAAGAGCTTATTTGCCTGGAGAATACCTAGTGAGTTTCAGAGGTCTTAAAACTAAATATAAAGGAGGGTGAGATCAAGTTCCCAACTACAGAAGAATCAGGATGGGGGCTTTTCAGAAAATTCGCATGGGAAAACATTGAAGGAGGAAGGTGGCAAGGCACAAACAAGACTTGAAGCTTTGCCGTGTAAATGCCGACATATAGAGCCTTGAGGTTAAGTGGTTATAACATTAAAATATAGTCTCAGGAAGTGATTGCCTCAACCTATAAGATGGAAATCGGGATTTTATTTTATTTTATTTTGTTTTTTGAGACAGAGTCTTGCTCTGTCCCCCACGCTGGAGTACAATGGCGCAATCTTGGCTCACTGCAACCTCTGCCTCCCGGGCTCAAGCGTTTCTCTTGCCTCAGCCTCCCAAGTAGCTGGGATTACAGGCATGTGCCACCGCATCCAGCTCATTTTTGTATTTTTTAGAAGAGACGGCATTTCACCATGTTGCCCAGGCTGGTCTTGAACTCCTGACCTCAGGTGATCCACCTGCCTCGGCCTCCCAAAGTGCTGGGATTACAGGCATGAGCCACTGCACCCAGCCGGAACTCAGGATTTTAGTATGGGGGTGGGATGAATGTGCCCTTTTAGGAGGAGCCAGCTTGTAAGAGGGAGACATGGTGTGGCCCTAGGCACTGAGAAATGTTTACCTGCTAGGGAAGCTGCAAGTCTAAGGGAATTTGAGAGAACCTATGGGCAGAGGTCAAAGAAGAGCAACTCAGGACATGTTACTACTGGAGTTTTCTGTATGTTTCATAATTAGATGAAACACAGGGGCAATATCTGCTTTTAGCAGATGCCAGAAAAATAAAGATAACAGTGGAAATGTGTGGTGGAATGGGGAGAACCTCATACTTCATCACATTTAATCCTTGCAGCAACCTTATGGAGTTTGTACCTGGTAACCTTTTAATCTTCATCTTACAGGTGAGGAAACTGAGGCAATAAAAGGCTAAGTTAATTGTTGGAAGTCACACAGAAGTGGGAGAAGGGACTTCAGAGTGTGTGCTCTTCACCGAGTCTTGTTTCTGCCACGCTACCTTCCTCTCTCAGTGTTTTTTCATAGGAATTTCCTGAAAAGCCCCCATCCTTATTCCTCTGTAGTTGGGAACTTTACCTCACCCTCCTTTGTATTCTTTTTCTGTTTTAATTTGTTTTTTTTTTTTTTCAAGACAGGGTCTCCCTCTGTCACCCAGGCTGGAATGTAATGGTGGTGATCCCGGCTCACTGCAGCCTCCACCTCCCAGGTTCAGTCGATCCTCCTGCCTCAGCCTCCCTAGTAGCTGGGACCACAGGTGCACACCACCATGCCCAGCTACTTTTTGTATTTTAGTAGAGATGGGATTTCACCATGTTGGCCAGGCTGGTCTCCAACTCCTGGGCTCAAGTAATCTACCCACCTTGACCTCCCAAAGTGCTAGGATTACAGGCATGAGCCACCATTCCCGGCCTCATCTTTCTTTATATTCTGCTCCCACTGCCTAAAAGTGGATGGATTACTTCTATCTTTATGAGCATGGGACATTTTTGCAAGAAGGTGACCCTGAGACTGAAGTGGATGGTGATCGGAGCCAGCTGCTTGGTGCTGAAGGGCCAAGAAACCTGGGCTCAAGTGTCCTGTGATCAAGAATTAGGACATGAGCCAGAAGGCACATAAACAATCTATGCTTTTACCAGTTTGCAAGCAAAGTCACACCTTTGTTCAAGGAATGATAACTGCCTTCTTATTACATGTACTGACTTCATTTCCTGAACCGATTATGCAATTTTGCACCTTTGAGCCTTTGAAGAGGCTGTTTCACTGCTTGGAAATCCATTTCTTCTCTCTTCCACCTGACAGACTTCTACTCTTCCTTCAAGGGTCAGCCCGAGTGGCATCCTTTTGAAGTTTCTTCTGTCTCCCTGACCAGCTGTGAGCCCTCTAGGGCCAAGACAGTGGCTTCCTAACCTGGTCTGGGCACTTTAACACTAGCACAGGACTTGGCACAAGGTAAGTGTCAATACATGTTGAATTCCTGTACACACAAATATGAGTCCGTATGGAAGTCACCAGAAAATAATCAAAATGTAATAAGCAGAACACTGGGCTATTTGTCTAGTGTTTTGGAAGAATGCTATTGCTTATTCTAACTGAAAAGCAAAAGTTAAAGATGCATGCAACCTATTTTCTTTTGAAGGAAAATTTGTCTTGCTGCTTTTTTGCAACTAAGTAAAATATGCTTGTAAAACAATCTGTTCTGAGAATGGCAAATGTTTCAGGAAAATTTCAGGGGAATAAGTTCTCTGTGATTTCATTACCTGACTTTCTTTAGATGACTGAAAAGACAAAATACGATAGAGATGAGGGGAATGGCTCCAAATATTATAGAGGAAAGCAGAATAAGTGAGCAGGAATTTGTCATTAACAAAGATTTATGCAAATCTCAAGAGCACCTTAAAAGTTAATCTTAAAAAATTCCCTTCAGTATGAGCAGATTATGATTAAGAAAATCATTCTGGCTAAATCCATGGAAAAATAAATTTTATTACATAATTTAAAGGAAAATAATATACACTTGTAATAGTGGTTTAGGATTTATTGTTTTAGGTAAAATCCTGCCAAAAATGTTTTTCATTGATATATCTTGCCTATGTGTTTTCTAGGTTATTTGTGAAAGTCCTTATTTCAGCTAAAATATGTTAGCTGTAATAAATCAATCAAAAATATTTTTCAAGCAAAATATTTTTTTTTTTTTTTTAGGAAAAACACCTGTTCTTTTTGGAAGATGAGCCAATTAAATGTTGGGTTGTCAGTCATAGACTAGGAAATGATGAGATCTAAATATACAGTTGCTTAGGTAGGTATAGAACAAAAGCAATTATCACATATAAATCTTATTACTTGATTGAGACCCTTGCTCTAATCAACTAAGAAGAAAATAAATCACCACATCTGGAGATGTGAATTTTACATATTGATCTATTTCAAACTTCCTGCATAGGGTATGAAAAGAATGAACAGGCCAGGCGCGGTGGCTCACACCTGTAATCCCAGCACTTTGGGAGGCCGAGGTGGGCAGATCATGAGGTCAGGAGATAGAGACCGTCCTGGCTAACACAGTGAAACCCCGTCTGTACTAAAAATACAAAACATTAGCCTGGCGTGGTGGCGGGCGCCTGTAGTCCCAGCTACTCGGGAGGCTGAGACAGGAGAATGGCATGAACCTGGGAGGTGGAGCTGGTAGTGAGCCAAGATTGCACCACTGCACTCCAGCCAGGGTGACAGAGCAAGACTCTGTCTCAAAAAAAAAAAAAAAAAAGAGAAGTAAATGCTCTAAAGTCTTACAACTGTGGTAGCATTCAGTTTTCTTACGCCTGTTTGGCCAGTGGGAGGGAGTGATACCAGTCTTTTACTCCCACTGCCCGCAAGTTCTGGGTTCTTGTCCATGTCCATCAAAAAGGCACACAGACACCGGAGGATGAGTAAGGCAGAGTTGGATTTATTAAGGGACAGAAAAGCTCTAAGCAGAGAGAGGGAACCCGAAGGAGGGTTGCCAGCTATCAGGCTGAATCTAGGGTCTTTATGGACTGGAAAGGGGAGGAGTGTGCTGATTGGTTTGCAGGCCGTCTTGGAGAAAGCACCACTCAGAAAGAGGTATGACAGTGTAAAGAACCAACTGAAGACAGAGGTGAAGGCTTGGCCTGGGACTTTGGCCCAGAACCAACCAGGGGCTGAAGTGAAAGCTCGGCTGGAGACTTTGGACCCAGACCAATTAGGGGCTGAAGTGATGATTCACCCTATGTAAATGGAGACTCAGCCCATGGCCAATCACAGAAAGATAGGCATATGTAAAATAGGTGAAAAGTAAGAGCCAAAAAGGAGTGGAATTTGGTCATCTGGTATCACAGAGTTGGTGTTTTCATCCAAGGATGCGGGCTCTTTCTTATCTAAGGCCTGCAGTTTAATTTCCAGGCTATTCTCTGCTTGAAGGAGTTTTACCAAGGACCCATCCTAACTGCCTGCCTGACTGGTTTCTTCCTTCCCTCCCTCTCAGGAGAGCTGGAATTAGGACCTAGGTTGGACCCTGGAGTTCTTCTTGCATGTGAACACGACATTACTGTATGCTACTTCCCATTTAAATTGCTCCTGCAAAAATCCCACCAGTCAATCTAGGCCATGTTTGAATGCTTTCATGACATTAGTGACTCTATAAGATCAGAGATGGTGTGATTTTTTTCCTGATAACTATCTTCAAGATATTGCACATAGCCTTGCTAGCTGTTCATTACTTGTGGCTGCTTGTATTTTTTATGTTTGTTGTTTTGGGGGTTTTTTTGAGACTGGGTCTCACTCTGTTATCCAGGTTGGAGTGCAGTGATGTATCATAGCTCACTGCAGCCTTGACCTCCCAGGCTCAAACAATCCTCCTGCCTCAGCCTCCCAATAGCTAGGACTATGGGCATGCACCGCCATATCTGGATAATTCTTACATTTTTTGTAGAGATGGGGTCCCTCTATTTCCCCGGGCTGGTCTCGAACTCCTGGCCCCAAGTGATCCTCCCACCTGTGCCTCTGTAATCCTGTTGGGATTATAAGCAAGAGCAACCATGCCCAACCAAGCACAAGCACATTTGTTAAATGAACAAACTCTCCTAATAGGACTTGGGTATATCAAACGTTGATGTGTATGGAACTTGAGCAAATCCATATAACTATATTAGTCTTCTGCTCCATTAAGAAGCACAGCTTTTAACAGATGAGAAACACAGAAGCCTAAAAGGATTGAAGGAATTGACCAGATGTGTATAGCAGCCAGTGGCTTATACCAGGTCGCTTCTCTCTCAGGACTATGCTTGATGCCAAAAACACACTCTGTCTCCTTGGTCTCTGATTTTCTGTCTCTCCATCCCTATTTCCCTTTCCATCTCCTGCTTCATCTTTCTCCCTTGTAAGACAGAGGCAGAGACTATACCATTTTGCATACCTTAACTATCTTTAAATTCCCAGAACTTAGGCAGCTTTATTTTATTTTTTTGAGACAGAGTCTTGCTCTGTGGCCCAGGCTGGAGTGCAGTGGCGTGATGTCAGTTCACTGTAACCTCCGCCTCCAGGATTCAAGTGATTCCCCTGCCTCAGCCTCCTGAGTAGGTGGGATTACATGTGTGCACCACCATGCCTGGCTAATTTTTGTATTTTTAGTAGAGGCAGAGTTTCACCATGTTTACCAGGCTGGTCTCAAACTCCTGACCTCAAGTGATCCTCCCACCTTGGCCTCCCAGAGTGCTGGGAGTACAGGCGTGAGCCACCACACCCGGCCCCTAGGGGGCTTTTAAAAATACTTGTTAAGTAAATGAATGAGTCATTAACTAAAACATATATTTTGACCTCAAACACCATCATTCTTTCCTTTTGTGGACCTGAGACCACTTTCTGCGATATAAATGGTTTCTTTAAGCCATACTTTTGTGAAACAGCATGGAGAAGCTGCAGAAAAAAACCAACAAAAAAAAACTTACCTGATGTAATTTGATGACCTGCTCAAGTCTGTAGTTACTTATTTTTTAATCACTGAGAAATTGTACCTGTGTTAGCTGATTTGCTTCCTCGTCTCATTGATTAGTATAGCTGAGTGTAATGTTCAGTACTCTGATCTTACATTAGCCTTCCAGAGAACCTCTGAAGCAATCAGGACCAATGCACAGATGGAGTGGGACTACATCGAATTCCACCTTTTCTGAAAGCCACTGACAGTCCCCCACACGTGGCTCTTTGTGTTCTGGGACATAAAGAAACAGATTTTTTTCCCCCTACAAATCACAAAGCTTCCATTTTGTAAAAATGCAGGTCATGTACGATAGCAGGTGCAGAATTGCCAATGGAATTCCAGCTCTAAGGACCATATTGCAGCTCTTTCATGCTTATAAATGTGCTTCCTTGCTCTTTAGGGAGATTTCAAGAACAAATTTGGGAAATATTAAAAGGCCAGCACCTTGTGCTCATCTGTAATCGAGCTAATATGTGGGCTTTCTTTGGATGAGCTTCTTCTTGTTTTGGGAATGAGGTGGTTAAGGTACCTTTAATGATTCCTGCCAGGTTTTGTCTGAAAGAAAAGTATTTTTGCAGGCAGCATTAGACATCTGCTGTGAGCTAGCAATGCCAACATTAGCAGTAGGAATGAAGAAAGCCTCTCAATACTTCGAACAAACTCAAGTTTGTTGGGGAGAGACTTTTCAGAGACACTATCTTCCCACCCTACCTGCCTACAAAAGAAATCTGTGCCTGCAGGCTGCTCACACATGCACAAGTCAATGTCATCACAGGCCGTTTCCGTCTAACATGAAGAGCTTCCAAAGACAAGGAAGCTCAGCGTCTGCTCTTAGTGCCTGTTTTATGTTGCACCATAAGCAAGCAAGTAAATAAATGGAGGATAACCACCCCTCCCATTCTGAAAGTATAGCAGGAAGAGTATAGCAGGAAGAGCACAGGGCAGACAAACCTAAGAACCTGCGTCACCCAGTGCTATTTGGGAAAGTGACGAAGGTGAAAAAAGGTGAGGTGAGGCACTCACATGGTCACAGTAAGACAGCCTGGGCTGTAATGCGTTCATTTGTCAATTCTTGCAGCCCTCATTATGTTCGCCTCATTTGGCTGTAGGAGTTTCGGGGGACTTGCCCCGAAAATCACGTAGGTTCTTTTCTATTTTCCTAAGCGTCGGCTGGCTTGAGAAATAAAGGGACAGAGTACAAAAGACAGAAGTTTTAAAGCTGGGCATCTGGAGGAGACATCACATGTTGGTAGGATCTGTGATGCCTCACAAGCCATAAAAACCAGCAAGTTTTTATTAGGGAGTTTCAAAAGGGGAGGGAGTATATGAATAGGTGTGGGTGACAGACATCAAGTACTTAACAGGGTAATAGAATATCACAAGGCAAGTGGAGACAGGGCGAGATCACAGGGCCACAGGACCGAGGCAAAATTAAAATTGCTAATGAAGTTTTGGGCACCACTGTCATTGATAACATCTTATCAGGAGACAGGGCTTTGAGATCAACCGGTCTGACCAAAATTTATTAGGCGGGAATCTCCTCTTCCTAATAAGCCTGGGAGCGCTATGGGAGACTGGAGTTTATTTCACCCCTGCAGTCTCAACCATAAGAGACAGGTACGCCCAGGGGGGCCAGTTCAGCGACCTACCCCTAGGTGCGCATTCTCTTTCTCAGGGATATATCATGCTGAGAAAAAGAATTCAGCAATATTTCTCCCATTCGCTTTTGAAAGAAGAGAAATATGGCTCTGTTCTGCCCGGCTCACCGGCAATCAGAGTTTAAGGTTATCTCTCTTGTTCCCTGAACAATTGCTGTTATACTGTTCTTTTTTCAGGGTGCCCACATTTCATATTGCTCAAACACACATGTTGTACAATTTGTGTAGTTAACGCAATTATTACAGGGTCCTGAGACGATATACATCCTTCTCAACTGACAGGATTAAGAGATTAAATTAAAGACAGGCATAGGAAATCACAAGAGTATTGATTGCGGAAGTGATAAGTGTCCATGAAATTTTTACAATTTATGTTTAGAGATTGCAGTAAAGCCAGGCATAAGAAATTACAAAAGTATTACTTTGGGGAACTAATAAATGTCCATAAAATCTTCACAATCCACATTCTTCTGCCATGGCTTCAGCTGGTCCCTCCGTTTGGGGTCCCTGACTTCCCGCAACATAGGAGGGTTGGGGTCTCTGTTTTCTACAACTTTTCTAGGTAATTCTGACTCTTAAGAAGATTTTCTAGGTCATGGTGATAACGGTCCATTTTTCTTCATAGTCCAGAAGGCTGCACCTTCTTTCTCTTGTCCACATCCCAAGAGGAGGCAGAAGTGCCATTGCCCAAGCTGGGGAAGAGGAAGCCACACCTGCACAGAACTTAATGGTTTAAAAGTGCTTCCCAGCCAGGCGCGGTGGCTCACGCTCATAATCCTAACACTTTGGGAGGCCAAGGTGGATGGATCACTCGAGGCCAGGAGTTTGAGACCAGCCTGGTCAACATGGCAAAACCCTGTCTCTACTAAAAATACAAAAACTAGCCGGGTGTGATGGCACACCCCTGTAATTCTGTCTACTCAGGAGGCTGAGGCAGAAGAATTGCTTGAACCTGGGAGGCAGAGTTTGCAGTGAGCTGAGATTGCACTACTGCACTCCAGCTTGGGTGACAGAGTGAGACTCTGTCTCAAAAAAAAAAACAAAAAACAAAGTGCTTCCCCACTTTCTGATTTTGCTCTCTTCATAACCATGTGAGAGACTCACTATGGGAAGTATCCTTTTTTTATGGATGAAGACACAGAAGAGCAGACGGCTGGATGACTCTGCTGGGGCCTCAGGGCTCATAAGTGGCAGAGGCAGAGGTGGCTTGAATCCAGGTGTCCCCACTCAGCAATTCTAGTAAGCATGTTCTCTAAAAGCAGTGTCTACTCACCAGGTTTCCTTTGCTTCTTTTTAGGGTGACATGTTGGCGGTTAGGACAATGGACAGGCCAGAGATTGTGGTCAAAAGATGTCTCCTGTTCTGTGCGTGCACTCCATAGCTTCCCAAGAGCCACCCCCTTCACCCAGAAGGTTCCCAGGCCTGCTGTCTGGTTTTGGAAACTGGTTATACCTCAGCTTCCAAGCAAATACTCTTCTCTTTTTATCTTGCCTATAGCATTACTACAGTGCCCACCTTCACTAATATCACTCCAAGTCTCTCAGATACAGGGTAGGTCTTTATTTCTTGACATAACATTTTACTTTCATTAAATTATTATGAGCTCATTGGCTTTTTAAATTTTTATTTTTATTTCAAGAGTTTTTGGGATACAGGTGCTTTTTGGTTACATGGATAAATTCTTCAGTGATGATTCTGAGATTTTAGTGAACCTGTCTCCGAGCAGTGTACACTCTACTCAATGAGTAGTTTTCTATCCCTCACCATCCCACCCCACCCTTCCCCTCTGAGTCACCAAAGTCCATTGTATCATTCTTATGCCTTTACATCATCATAGCTTAGCTCCCACTTATAAGTGAGAACATAACGGTATTTGGTTTTCCATTTCTGAATTACTTCACTTAGAAAAATGGTCTCCAGCCCCATCCAAGTTGCTGCAAAAGACATTATTTCATTCCATTTTAGAGCTCTTTTTTTTTTTTTTTTTGACAGATTCTCGCTCTGTCCCCAGGCTGGAGTGCAGTGGTGCGATCTTGGCTCACTGCAACCTCTGCCTCCCAGGTTCAAGTGATTCTCCTGCCTCAGCCTCCCTAGTAGCTGGGACTACAGCTGTGCACCACCATGCCCAGCAAATTTTTGTATTTTTTAGTGGAGACAGGGTTTCACCATGTTGGCCAGGGTGGTATTGATCTCTTGACCTCGTGATCCACCCACCTCAGCCTCCCAAAGTGCTGGGATTACAGGCGTGAGCCACCTCATGCAGTTGAGCTCACTGGTTTTAAAGAAATCATACACAACTAAAACGTTCATCTTAGGGGTTGGCATCAGTTTCTTTTCCCACCCCTTTTCACCTCCAGTTTTCTTTCCTAGAAACAAGCCCTTTCAGATGTGAAGGACCTCTTCAAGGAGAACTACAAACCACTGCTCAACAAAATAAAAGAAGACACAGACAAATGGAAGAACATTCCATGCTCATGCATAGGAAGAATCAATATCATGAAAATGGCCATACTGCCCAAGGTAATTTATAGATTCAATGCCATCCCCATCAAGCTACCAATGGCTTTCTTCACAGAATTGGAAAAAAACTACTTTAAAGTTCATATGGAACCAAAAAAGGGCCCACATTGCCAAGACAATCCTAAGCCTAAAGAACAAAGCTGGAAGCATCACACTACCTGACTTCAAACTATATACAAGGCTATAGTAACCAAAACAGCATGGTACTCGTACCAAAACAGAGATATAGACCAATGGAACAGAACAGAGCCCTCAGAAATAATACCACGCATCTACAACCATCTGAACTTTGACAAACCTGACAAAAACAAGAAATGGGGAAAGGATTTCCTATTTAATAAATGGTGCTGGGAAAACTGGCTAGCCATATGGAGAAAGCTGAAACTGGATCCCTTCCTTATACCTTAGACAAAAATTAATTCAAGATGGATTAAAGACTTAAATATTAGACCTAAAACCATAAAAACCCTAGAAGAAAACCTAGGCAATACCATTCAGGGCATAGGCATGGGCAAGGACTTCATGTCTAAAACACCAAAAGCAATGGCAACAAAAGCCAAAATTGACAAATGGGATCTAATTAAACTAAAGACCTGCACAGTAAAAGAAACTACCATCAGAATGAACAGGCAAACTACAGAATGGGAGAAAATTTTTGCAA
This sequence comes from Homo sapiens, assembly GCF_000001405.40. Lineage (NCBI taxonomy): Eukaryota > Metazoa > Chordata > Mammalia > Primates > Hominidae > Homo > Homo sapiens. The sequence goes on from NW_018654717.1 coordinate 3,923,804, forward strand.
TCTACTCATCTGACAAAGGGCTAATATCCAGAATCTACAAAGAACTCAAACAAATTTACAAGAAAAAAACAAACAACCTTATCAAAAAGTGAGTGAAGGATATGAACAGACACTTCTCAAAAGCAGACATTTATGCAGCCAAAAGACACACAAAAAAATGCTCATCATCACTGGTCATCAGAGAAAGGCAAATCAAAACCACAATGAGATACCATCTCACACCAGTTAGAATGGCGATCATTAAAAAGTCAGGAAACAACAGGTGCTGGAGAGGATGTGGAGAAATAGGAACACTTTTACACTGTTGGTGGGACTGTAAACTAGTTCAACCATTATGGAAGACAGTGCGGTGCTTCCTCATGGATCTGGAACTAGAAATACCATTTGACCCAACAATCCCATTACTGGATATATACCCAAAGGATTATAAATCATGCTGCTATAAAGACACATGCACACATATGTTTATTGTGGCACTATTCACAATAGCAAAGATTTGGAACCAACCCAAATGTCCATCAATGATAGACTGGATTAAGAAAATGTGACACATATACACCATGGAATACTATGCAGCCATAAAAAAGGATGAGTTCATGTCCTTTGTAGGGACATGGATGAAGCTGGAAGCCATCATTCTCAGCAAACTATTGCAAGGACAGAAAACCAAACACCACGTTTTCACTCATAGGTGGGAATTGAACAATGAGAACACATGAACACAGGAAGGGGAACATCACACATCGGGGAATGTTGTGGGGTGGGGGGAGGGGGGAGGGATAGCATTAGGAGATATACCTAATGTAAATGACGAGTTAATGGGTGCAGCACACCAACATGGGACATGTATACATATGTAACAAACCTGCACATTGTGCACATGTACCCTAGAACTTAAAGTACAATAATAAAAAAAAAAAAAGAAACAAGGCCTTTCAACAATTTTAGGTAATTCTTCTAATATTTGTCTCCGTATTTTCTACATAATATGCATGTTCTGCTATTTATGCATCAGTTTTAGATGGTGTTCACTGACTCTGTTAAGGGATGTAGGTTTTTAGCTCTTGTATCTCTACCTGTTTGCCTTTCCTTTGCTCCAATATGGCTATACCCCAATTTTTTTTTTTTTTTTTGAGATGGAGTCTCGTTCTGTCACCCAGGCTGGAGTACAGTTGCGCTATCTCGGCTTCCTGGGCGATCTCGGCTTCCTGCAAGCTCTGCCTCCCGGGTTCATGCTATTCTCTTGTCTCAGCCTCCTGAGTAGCTGGAACTGCAGGTCCTCACCACCAGGCCCAGCTAATTTTCTGTATTTTTAATAGAGACAGGGTTTCACCGTGTTAGCCAGTGAGGTCTCGATCTCCTAACCTCATGATCTACCAACCTCATGATGTGGCCTCCCAAAGTGCTGGGATTACAGGCGTGAGCCACTGTGCCTGGCCATCCAACTTTTAAATATTAATTTATTTTAATTAATTTAAATTATTGATGTTTTTACATTATATAAAATTTATTGCTGATCCAAATATTGTGATTCATTTTTGTATTAGTTATTTATTGCTGCAAAACTAATTACATCAAAACTTAGCAACTTAAAACAATAATTAACCTTTATTATCTCACACAGTCTGTGGGTCTTGAATTTGAGAATAGCTTAGTTGTGTAGTTCTGGTTTGGGAGTCTCTCAGGAGATTTCAGTCAAGATGTCAATCCCACACCAAGAGGTGGAATCAACCTAAGTGTCTATCAGCAGATGAATGGCTAAAGAAGATGTGGCATATATACACAATGACATATTAGCCATAAAAAATAATCTGGTAATTTGCAACAACATAGATGGAATTGGAGGACATTATGTCAAGTGAAATGAGCCAGGCACAGAAAGACAAATATCATGTGTTCTCACTAATATGTGGAAGCTATAAAAAAAAAATTGAACTAATGGAAACAGAGAATAGAATGATGGTTACCAGAGGCTGGGAAGGGTTGGTTACCAGAGGCTGGGAAGGGTAGTGGAGAGGAGGGCTAAACAGGGGATGATTGATGGGTACAAAAAATACAATCAGACAGAAAGAATAAGATCTAGTTTTCAGTAGCACAATAGGGCAACTATAGTTAAGAAAGATTTATTTTGTATTTCAAATTAATTAAAAGAGTGAGATTGGGATGTTCCTAGCACAAAGAAATGATAAGTGCTTGAGGTGATGGATACCCTAATCACCCCAGTTTGATCATTACATGTCGTAGGCTTGTATCAATGTCACAAGTACCCTATAAATATGTATAACTTGTGCATCTACAGCAATTAAAAATGAACTATTTTAAAAAGAAAAAATATCAATCCCAATAATTTATATCTCTCACACATGCAAAGTTCACTCACCTGCCTCCTAAGGTCCCCCAAAGTCTTACCCCATTACAGCATCAGCCAGAAGTCCAGTATGTCATTCTCTAAATTGGGTCCAGGGGAAAATAAAGCTTCTCAGGGGTGGTTCTTTAATAATACCTCTTCAAACACAGTTCCTCTTAATTGGAAGACCTGTGAATTAAAGAGAGAATTTGTCTGCAGCCACACACCCAACACACATTGGTGAAACAGGAATATGAAAACTGCTAGAACCCTCCCAGTAAAAAGGAAGAAATGAGAAAACATACAGGAGACAGTGGGCCATAGCAATTCTTAAATCAAGCACGATGCAGTTGACAGTTTCTTAGTTAAGACTCAAGACCTGGGCAGGACTTTTAATGGCTCTTGGCTATGCCCACTGAACATTTGTTTCCACTTTCAGAATCATTCTTTCATTTCCATCAAAGGTAGCCCATGTATACAGCTGAGATGTTTTCTCAGCCTGCTTTCTGCCTGTAGAAGTTTGGGGACCCTAAGTCCTCTTTATAATTTGTTCTCTTTCTATTCCTTTTAGTTCAAGCTGGAGGTATTTTAGCCAACACAATTCTTATAAAATCGTTATATATCTCCCATGAATCTTGTTGGGGTTTATGCCATTAGACAAAAGCCATATCCAGGAATTTCTTTGATATAAACCTTCTCTACTTTGGGCTTTTGCTGAGATGAGGAAAGGACAATGCCCTTAGCCTTCTTAGAAGCCTTGTCTGACTAACAGTGGCTTGAGGGCTGGGCACGGTGGCTCACATCTGTAATCCCAGCACCTTGGGAGGCTGAGGCAGGCAGATTACCTGAGGTCAGGAGTTCGAGACCAGCCTGGCCAACATGGTGAAACCTCGTCTCTACTAAAAATAAAAAATTAGCTGGGTGTGGTGGCACACGCCTGTAATCTCAGTTACTTGGGAGGCTGAGGCAGGAGAATTGCTTGAGCCCAGGAGACAGAGGTTGCAGTGAGCCGAGATCGTGCCACTACACTCCAGCCTAGGCGACAGAGTGAGACTGTGTTTCAAAAAACAACAACAATAAAAATAAAAACAGTGGCCTGAGACATTGCTTTAGATATATTTGAAGTTCTAACAGTTGTTTTTGTTACAACCAGACCCTCAGCTTCATCTTTATATCATGTTTTCCTGACACTTCAGTGGATTTTATCTTTGTATAGATGCCATTTCTTAATTTTAGGATCATTTGCCACCTAGAGATGCTGGGAATTTTCAAACTATCAAGTTCCATCTTTGTTTTGCTTAAGAGTCTTTCTGTGGCCTCTCTATGCTCACATTTTATTTTTATCAGAAAAAGGAAACCATGTGGTACCATCCACATTCTGCCAGGAAACCTCCTCAGCTAGATTACCTACTTCATTAGGTAGTTTTTAATTTTTCCATGTTAGGACAGGCAAAAGTATTGCTAAACTTTCTGCTGTTTTATAACAAGGATTCTCGTTTCTCCATTTTAAAATAACATTTCCCCTACTTTTTTTTTTTGTTCTCAAAGGCCATCAGGCTTCTACTAACAATATCTGTAATATTCTTTAGGCTTTCATTAACACTACCCTCAAAGTCCTTCCAGCTCTTAACCAATACTCAGTCTAGATTTACACCCACATTTTTAGTTTTTTGTCATGACTTGCTCAACTTCCAGGTACCGAAGCCTTCATACTCAAAATGAACTCCAAAACTTAGCACCTTAAAACAATATTACACATTGTACATAGTTTCTGTGTGTCAGGAATTCAGGAGTGATGTAAGCTGGTGGTTCTGGTTTGGGGGTCTCTCATGAACTTACTGTCAAGATGTTGACTGGGGACTGAAGTCACTTGAAGGCTTGACTGTGTAGAGTATCTTCCAAGGTGGCTCAGTCCAATGGTTGGCAAGGTATGCTGGTGTTGGCTGGGTCCTGGCCCTAAGGATGCTTGAGTGTTATTGTTAATTGTATCATGAGAGCTGGCTTCTTCCAGGGCAATTGATTTAAGAGAGCAAGCTGAAAGCCCCAATTTCTCTTTATAACCTAGCTTTAAAACTCACATGCCACCATTTCTGCAAAATCCTAGTTGTTACATGGTCAGCCCTACTGAATATGGGAGGAGATTATACAAGGATATGAAAACCAGGATGCAGGATCATCAGGGACTATCTCAGAAGCTGGCTGTTAGTATCTTTTCTCATTATTTTTTCCTATAATTAATAATTACCTGATTTGTTTATCTGATTAGCTTTACATGTCTTAATCTTTATTTTTTCTCTAAGGCTTCATCATCTTTCAAATACCTGGGAATTATTTTTGCACAGCTTGAAATGTATTAGATTATTTCTGCTTCCATTGTTTTCTTATGAACATTATCCTTCATGTCCTCCATCTTTTTTTTTTTTTTTTTTTTTTTGGTGGACGGTGGGGGATGGAGTCTCACTCCGCTGCCCAGGCTGGAGTGCAGTGGTGCCATCCTGACCCACTGCAGCCTCCACCTCCTGGGTTCAAGTGATTCTCCCACTGCAGCCTCCTGAGTAGCTGGGACTACAGGCACCCGCCACCATGCCTTGGCTAACTTTTGTATTTTTAACAGAGATGGAGTTTCACCATGGTGGCCAGGCTGGTCTGGAACTCTTGACCTCAAGCGGTCCCCCGGCCTCGGCCTCCCAAAGTGCTGGGATTACAGGCATGAGCTACCATGCCCAGCCGTATTTCTCCATCTTTCTGCTCCGTCCAGGCTCATTCCTTCCTAAGCTTGATGCACAGTTGCGATCCCAGGACTTCCCTTCACTGCAATTCTGTATTACAACTCTTGTTTACTGGATCCCACATTTTCCTCTTTGTTGGTTTTCTTGTTTATTTTTGCCAAAGCACAGGCTACCCGGAGTTTGAAGAACAGTATGTGGGAGAAGAAGTTTGTGAGTTCTGTGTTTGAAATGTCTTATTCCACCCTCACTTGTTCCTTGGCTGTCTTCGCACTCGTAACGGGTGCAGTTTGTCAAACTGTAGTCTCCTCTGTAAGGTATCAAGGAGCATATGGGTTTTATTTTTGTTTTTCCATTGGTAAACTCTCAATTTTCATTGTGCAGAGATCATTCCTCTGGAGCCGATTAGTTTCTCCAAAGAAGAATCTTTCATTCTCTTCCCTGGGGTGGGAGGGATGTGCCCGTGACTGCTGCCTTCCAGGAGCAGGGCCGAGGTGGAGGGCTGGGGGCCTCACAGTTCAGCAGCAGGCAGGCCTTTTAACACCCTGAACTGCGGCATGAGGCCTCCTGTGTCTTCAGCTGCTCCCCTAATCTTCAGTTCAATTTCTCCAGAAAACAAAACAAATATTTCCCATTGCTTATGGGAGAGTGAGCTGAGGGGTGGTTACCTGACTCTTCAGAGTGGGCTGGATCCTGCTGGTTCAGCAGCTCAGCATGGAGCCTTCCAAAGGCCTCACCTGTTTATCATCACCCACCTCCATCTGAACTCCTTTACAATCTACCTTTCCAGTCAGAGCTAAATCAATCCCCCACCTGCTTTCTGTATCCTCATCCCACCCCTTTATATAAATATCTTAGCTTCTGTTTTTTTCACTTTTCCAGGGTCATTCTCTTTGACCGTGGGTAAATACCTTTCAAAAAATTGATTTACTGTTTATTTATTTTGAAATAGGATCTCCTTCTGTCACCCAGGCTGGAGTGCAATGGTATGATCACAACTCACTGCAGCCTTGACCTTTGGGGCTTAGGCGATCCTCCCACCTCAGCCTCCTGAGTAGCTGGGATTACAGGCGTGTGCAACTATGCCTAGCTGATGTTTTAAAAAAGAAATTTTGTCAAAACAGGGTCTTGCAGTACAGCCAAGCCTGGTCTCAAACCCCTGGGCTGAAGTGATCCTCCTGCCTCAGTTTCCCAAAGTGCTAGGATTACAGACATGAGCCACTGCGCCTGGCTGCTGTGTTTTAAATTGGCATTTTGGAACAAAAGAAAAGAAAAAAAACATGTGTGATCATTTCTTTATGCATCACTGTAAGTACAGGTAATGGTTTTCAATTTGTGAAACAACAACGTAACACAAAAACTCAAACCAAAGAAAGTCGACCTATAACCACTCCAGATAGGGAGCAAAAACCTACTAATGTTGCCCAAGTGAGGCTGGCTCTTACAGCCCCTGTATTCTGCAAGATGGATTTTTATACCTTCCCTGAACAGGAAAGTTCCATCCCTTTTCCAGCACCCAGCCTGCTCTCAAGCATCTGTAGCTAGCGCTGCCGATACAGACCTCCCAACCAAAGAAAGCAGATGGCTTGCAGGCACTGATTAATTACCATTCTTCCTCCGCTTAGGTTTCCAGCTGTGGTTTACTTTCTCCTTCCTGGCACGGAGGCATGTCTTCTGGTTTCTTTGCTTCCCAGCAAAATGTCAGGAGCAGTCCTGTCTTTTACTAAGTCTCTTCCAGTCACCAGCTCCACATTGCTGGTGATCAGCATTGCTTTTTGGCTTATCTCAAAGCTACTATGTGGCAATAACTTTCATCTGTGACGGAATAAAACAAATCCGCCCTCGTCTGTTTCCTTGACCTCCGATTGCATGATGGAGCAAACAGGAAGCAGAAAGTCAAATGAAAGGAAACCTCCATAGGTCAAATAAATCTTTCTGTCTGTCTTCTGGAGCTGGACCCATGACAGAAATCACCTCTGGGGTTTAGCTCCCTGTTCAGCCTGATTTTAAGTTACAGGGCACATCCCAAACCAAAATGGGGTTATGAATAATGAAGCATTGGAGTCTGGCATATGGCTGGCCACATTTGTTAGCATGGAAGTGATCCATCTTGCCACATGATTTTGGGGATTTAGCAGGCTCTCCTAATCACCTGTTTTCTCTAAGCAGGGGTTCTGAAACAGAAATGTGTTGTACATAAGGATCGCCCTGGAAACTTTGACATAAGACATATGTCCAGACTCTACCCCGGGAGGTTATTCAAGGCAAGGCATTTGTGTTTTGAAAACAGCTCTTGGCCAGGCACGGTGGTTCATGCCTATAATCCCAGCACTTTGGGAGGCCGAAGTGGGCGGATCATGAGGTCAGGAGATCGAGACCATCCTAGCTAACACGTTGAAACCCCGTCTCTACTAAAAATACAAAAAAAAAAAATTAGCCGGGCGTGGTGGCGGGCGCCTGTAGTCCCAGCTACTTGGGAGGCTGAGGCAGGAGAATGGCATGAACCCTGGAGGCAGAGCTTGCAGTGAGCCAAGATCGCACCACTGCACTCCAGCCTAGGCAACAGAATGAGACTCTGCCTCAAAAGAAAAGAAAAGAAAAGAAAAGAAAAGAAAAGAAAAGGAAAGAAAAGAAAAGAAAAATGAAAACAGCTCTCGGTGATTTTGGTTAAGAAGCACTGTTCTAAAGAAATACCTAATGTGAAAGAGGCAACACAGTATAATGATTATTAAAAAATAAAAACTCTGGATGATTAGGTGTAGGCCCGGGGCCTGGCTAAGTTGTTTTCTCTCATTAGTCAGGAGACCATATAATACATCATCCACATTAGGACATATTTGAAAGGAAAAGAGGGAGCTATTAATAATCGTGTCAGGACAAGATGCATACATTGAGGCCGTGTGGACACACCAGTCACCGTACTCATTAGTCAAATGCGAGATTGAAGTAGAGAACTCTGAGGTCCCTTTCAGACTGATGATTGTGTAATTTATGACAACTGGGACAAGTCCATGCAGGACAGAGTCTCATTCTAAATGCAAGCAAGACAGAGCTGTTGAGGCGTCATCTACACTCAGGAGGGCTGAGATGGGCAGCATCCACACCTCAGAGGCTGAGACCCGATGGCACGTGAGGCTTAGGGGCCAGGCAGATCAAGCTAATAGGAGGAAGTGACCCTTCTAGGGCAGAGGCCCCAGAAAGCATGGGTCAGGAGGGGCAGATTCGCAATCAGTGTTGATCAGAGGCAGCTGCTATTGCCATCAGAACCCCCAAGGTGTTATTTGAGGTCTACTGACTTTTACACATGCTTCTGGGTCATATTCAGTGTGATACTCTTAGACATTTACACACATTTCTGTATTATCTCCCATACGTGACACAAACAATCTGTACAGCCATCTCCTTGGTGCCTCTGCCATGTGGCACAATTAGGGAAAAGGGTATTTAGGGTAATCTAATGTTCTAGTTAATTATAAATTAGTATATAAATTATACCATAAACGACTGGGTGCGGTGGCTCACACCTGTAATCCCAGCACTTTGGGAGGCCTAGGCGGGTGGATCACCTGAAGTCAGGAGTTCGAGACCAGCCTGACCAACATGGAGAAGCCCCATCTCTATTAAAAATACAAACAATTAGCTGGGCGTGGTGGCGCATGCCTGTAATCCCAGCTACTCCGGAGGCTAAGGCAGGAGAATTGCTTGAACTCAGGAATAGGAGGTTGCAGTGAGCCGAGATCGCACCATTGCACTCACAAATCGTACCATACACAAATGACCAATTTTCTAAAAATCAAAGAGTAATAAAATACCCCAACCCCCACCAAAACTCTGATGGTTTTATCTGCCATGTTTTAGAAAGCACTGCAGTGTCACAATAAAGATCACTGCAGCTGGGAAAGGTCAGCTTAATCTAATCTGTGGTATCGACAAGTTTCCATGAACACGGAAGAGTTAAGTTGGGTGTAGTTTGTTTTTTAGGATTTTTTTTCTACTGTATTTCTTATGTTGGGGCTTATCAAGTGTGAATTAGTGGAAATCTTTAGGGTGGGATATTGGGACAGACGGAGAGGGCATGAGCAGATGACTACTGTTTCAAAGCCAGTATTTTATCATTTCTGAGAGGTGGGCTGAGCTGGCTTGTTTGTGCAGCTTTAGGCATCAGGGGAATGAGCAGAGATTTGAGGAGAGAGGCAAACAGAGACAGAGCAAGAGAAGACAAAGAGAAGGAAGGAAGACCGAGAGACAGAGGGGGAAAGGAGTGAGGAAAAGAAAGGGGGGAAACAGAGGAGGAGGAGGGAAAAGAGAGACAGAGACAGAGAAAGCATGATAACATAAACAGAGAAGCAAACAGAAAGATGTGGACAGACACCGAGAAGGAGAGACATACATGAATAGTTAGATGTACACACATGAGCGTGCACACACATGAGCATGTCTCCGGGAAAAAGAAAGGTAAGTCCAAGGTTAGAATTTATAGTCAAAACCTTGGAAAGGCTTGTATTGGAACATAGGAAATGGAACAGCTCACACAGTTGCTGAAGCTGTTTTGATGAACACAGTCCAGTTCGTTTCATGTAGATCTAAGCTCACGCTGTTTGGAAGGAAATTGCTCACTGCAGCTATGCTTTAGGGGTGTGATCGGAGGGGCTGGCACTGATGGAAAGCTTCTCCCCACCGCTCTGGGAGGAAGCCGGCAGATTGTGAACAGCTCTGTTCTCACAACTGTGGCAGTGTCGTCTGTTTGTCAGACTCGTGCCCTGAATGCGGCATTTGGGATGTGCAGATGCTTAGCCTGGGATTAGAATTCTCCTGGCTGCAAAATCGTTTTGCTTCTTACTGATTTCTTACCTTTGGCAGAGAATGGCAGCACAGCAAGGAGAAATTGCTATTGTCTGGCTAAGAGTTATTTTCAGAGAGTCTTGGAGAGGCTGTCTGTCCCTGAGGGAATGCAGAAGGTGAAGGAAGCCAAGAGGTAATCATTTGGCTTGACAGGTGACATGGGGTGATGTGGCTGAAGGGCCAGCAGGAGGCTGGGGTCTCCAGGAAGAGCTTTGTAAACAGAAACTTGCTTTCACTTGAAAAATGCTGTGCGTACTTCTCCCTGCACATCAAAAAGGACAAACTGAGCTGCAGAAGGCCTAGGGAAGGGCCAATGCAACAGTCAAGGGCGTGGAGATCGGGGAAGATGGGAAGCATTAGGATCTTCAGTCCAGAGTGGCAGAGGATGAGGATGGAGAGGACAGATCTCTGAAACAAAGGAAGGGAAAGGGTGGAGTGCATGGGCTTGGTCACGAGATTCCTGGATATCAAACCCTTGAAGGTTTAGAAAGGTCATTTTAGAAAAATAAATAAATAAAGCGTGGATTTTTATGGTGAACAGTAAACTTGGGAAAGTTTTAGACAAACTCAATCAACATGATTAGAAATGATAAATGTTGAAAATATTAATACAGGCAGGAAGGGTGTAGACAAATCTCTCTACAGTGCACAAGGCTGGTTTCATCTATTCACATCCCTTGCTAAGGGGATGGTCCTTTCTAGGCTTCTCCTGCCTAACTAGCTTGGCTTCAGTTTGCCCTTCCCGGGCCCCACGACCAACTGGACTAGGCGGGGGCACCTAACCCAAGGGCAGCCAACTCTATCCTATTGCTATTTCTTTTTTTTCCCCACGCAATCCTGCAAGGTGTTGACAGACCACTCTCCCTCAGATATCAGTTTTATCAAACCTTTTCCTGAAACAGCTATACCTCAGACAATCCCAAGACATAAACAAGAGCATCCTCAGTACCTGGGACAGGGCAAGGCTTAACCCTCCTAAGAGTTAACTCTTCATGACACCTACTGTAGGCTGGGAACTCTGCTAAGTGCTTACCTTACATCACATAGCACATTTAATTCTCATAGCTCAATAAGGCAGCAACTATTTTTAATTCCATCTCACAGAGGAGAAAGTCAAATTGAGAAAGATTAATGAACAGCTAGGATTGGAGCTCCGGTCAGTCCAACTCCTGAGCCCAAGCTTTAACTCTATACTTTAGCTCTATGCTGACTCCCAGCAACTCTGACCTCTCTCCTCCACTTGTTTTCCTTTTCTATTCATTCCCATTCTCTCCAATCATCCCTACCCTTTTCTATGTCATCAAACTTCTGTGACTGGTTGTGAAGCTCCTAAGTGTCATTTAGGGTGCTTTCAGTAAAGTCCATAGAAAACAAACTAAAATAATTTAAATAAAGATGATGAGATTTTTTTCCTTCACATAACAAGAAGCTTAGAGGTAAAGAAAATCCAATGTTTTTCTAGCTAATGACTCAGCATCAATGACAAGGCTCTTTCTATCTTTCTCTTCTACCATCCTTTGCTTGTTGGCTAGCTCCCCTCAGGCTCACAAGATGGCTGCAGCAGCTCTGGACATCACATCCTTAAATCCTAGTTTCAGAGAAAACAAACATGGCTCCTTTCTTGTGCGTTTCCCTTAAATAATGAAGAAATATTTCTCAAAGTCCCTAGCAGATTTTTCCTCACATCTCATTGGTCAGGATTCGGTCACATGGCCATGCTAAACCAATCACTGGTAAGAAAGGTGGGATAACTGTTATTTTTAGACCAACTGAAATATATATGACTCGACAAGGGGACCAGTGAACAGAAGAACAGAAATCAGAATTCTGACAACATAACAGAAGGCAGAAGTCCTTGTGAGGTAGGTGACAATAGTTATTTTCTTTTGTTCCCAGCAAACATCTTCTGCTTCAGTCAGCGTCCTTGCACGTGACTCATTCATTCTTGCCTCATTAATTTCTCATACTGTCCTTTCCTTCCTAGACACTTTCTACCCCGTCAATCCCCAAGATGCAGCCCGGGTCTCTTCATAACTGTTTCTCTGACGTTTAATCCTTACTAACTTCCTCTCTGAACTTTCTTATATTTACTGTGAGTGACTTTCTTTCTTTCTTTCTTTCTTTTTTTGAGACGGAGTCTAGCTTTGTTGCCCAGGCTGGAGTGCAGTGGCGCGATCTCGGCTCACTGCAAGCTCCGCCTCCCGGGTTCGCGCCATTCTCCTGCCTCAGCCTCCTGAGTAGCTGGGACTACAGGCGCCTGACACCACGCCTGGCTAATTTTTTGTATTTTTAGTAGAGATGGTGCTTCACCGTGTTAGCCAGGATGGTCTCGGTCTCCTGACCTCGTGATCCGCCCGCCTCGGCCCGCCACAGTGCTGGGATTACAGGCGTGAGCCACTGCGCCCGGCCTACTGTGAGTGACTTATAATGTAGCTATTAGCTGTTATGAAATTGTTATCAGGATTTACTGCTGTTTCTCAAAAAATAACACATTTGAGAAACTTGATTGGGATAGAAATTAGGATAGATGACCTTTAAAGAGACTTTCAACTCTCATATCTTATGACTGCACAAGTCTACAATGACTAGTCTCTCTCCTTTCAGACTGTTCACTCATTGAGGACAGGGTCCAAGCCTTTGGGTCTTTATGTGTTCAACAGCATACAACATGGTGACTGATGCATTTTGGGAATTCCGTAAATAATCATTGATTGACTGACTGGTCAATGGATGCTCTAAACACCACTAATTCACTACTCAAGAGATTCTCACTGGCTTTGGGCATGAACTCTCCTAACTAGATTCAAGCAGGTAGTTGATAATTTGTTTTTCTGTCATGGCTGGATCTTAATGTTGGTATGTGCCCTAGAATATAGGTGATTTGCCCAACGACATTTGGACACCTGGTGAAAGGTGGAACACAGACAAGTGAGCAGGTGTACAGAGCGAGAAAAAGAAGGTGTTCTGGAAGTGAGCTCAATAAACACCCACACAGAAACAGCGAGCACAGACCATGACAGAGAGTCATGGGTGACAGCACAGGGAAAGAGCCTTAGGTGATCTAGAATTCACCAGAGAGGGTGGAGCAGATCCCGCTTGAGTGTGACTCCAGGCCAGGAGGGTTAGGCATATTTAATATACTCATGTAGGTAATGTTCCTAAAAACAGAAGATCAAAGGTGTTCAATCCACTTGATTGGTAAAGACATTCAGGAAATAAAGAAAGCATTCCAGTGAGCATGAGATTAAAATATGGGGAAACACCAGTCTGGCATAGATGTCCCCTGCCTGTCTCCTGTAATTCCCAGCATGACCTATCCCAACACCTGGCATGCTTCATAGCAATGGTCTGTTTATGTGTCTGACTTTGCCCATATTGTGAGATCTATGATGGCAGAAGCCTGCGTCGTTCATCAACATATCCCCTGTGTCTCTTGGATGAAGAGACCAAGTATCCACTTGGCTCTAGACAGGATATGTGGTTGTCACTGTGACCTCCGTAGGCTTCATCTGCCCTTCCGGGGCACTTAGCACCCTCCCTGGGACTCCTGTTCTCCTCTGTCCTCAGATACAGAAGCCACCCCATAGGGGATTCGATGTCCTTAGAGAATATGGAAGCCCCATTGCCCAGATGAGGAAACCAAGGCTCAGATCAGGAAAATCAAGGGAAGCAGTGAATCCACAGCACATCTCGAATCTCAGCTGAGACCACCTCTACATCCTCACTCTCGTTGCTAGGCAGCACTGCCTCAGATTTTCAAAGTTTGCTGAAATTCTAAAATAGATCACTTAAATTGGTTTGCTCACTTTTAGCTTTATGGAGGGTGGAACTTAAAGGAGGTGAGTTAATACTTCATCAGTACTCTTACAGATAAGCTTTTATTTCCACAATGACATTGGTGAAGAGACGTAGATAGTAACATGAGTAGTACAGAGGTGAGGGGTAGGGGGAGGCTGACAGAAAAGAGGAGCCCAGTGGACCTGCTGAAGCCATTGTTCCCCTTCACTGCTCATTCAGTTCCGCTCCTTAGTTTGGCGTTTAATGTCCTTCCTGATCTTTGCCTCACCTGCTTTGCTGGCCATGTTTTTCCTAAATAATAATAATAACACAATTAGAATTTTCACATAACTTTCGCATTCACTCTTAATTTGATCCTGCTGATGACTGTATGTATCAAGGAGTAGGAGTTGTCCAGCAGGAAAAATCCGGGGCATGGCAGCCTGTTGACCTTGTTGAGGTCAGTATGAAGCCCTGCCAGAGGCCACCTCTTCTAGGTCTTGTCTGGGGCTCTCCCCCAAAGCGCTGGTCTCCGTACACACCTCATTCACTCATTCTGCATCATTGTCACCACTCAGAATGCACAGCTGGGTGAATCCTTCCTTAACTCCTTGATTTTTAGTTAGAGACAGGGCCCTACTCTGTCACCTAGGCTGGAGTGCAATGGCATGATCACGGCACACTGCAGCCTCAAACTCCTGGGCTCAAGTGAGCCTCCCTTCTCAGTCTCCTAAGTAGCTGGGACTACAGGCACATGTCACCACACTCAGCTAATTTTTATTTTTTTATTTTTTGTGGAGATGGGATCTTGCTCTGTTGCCCAGGCTGGTCTCAAACTCCTGGCCTGAAGTGATCCTGATCCTCCTGCCTCGGTCTCCCAAAGCGCTGGGATTACAGGTGTGAGCCAGTGCACCTGACCCTCTCTCCTCAACTCCAAATTCAAGTCCCACTTACTCCATAAAACCTTCCCTGAACACTCTGGCCCTCTCTAAGTCCCCGCAACTTGAACCTGTCCCAGTGGCCCCACCTTATGATGGGCTGCCTTGGACTACTTGGTGACTATGATGTGTTCATATCTGTCTCTCCTGAGCATGTCGGATACAACATGCCTTGATTTTTTTTTACCCACAGAGCCATTGTCAGTATCAGTTGGTGACTGACAGCTCCCCTAGGGTTGTGACAAGGAACGTGAGTCAGACTGGCATGCACCAAACATGAAGACTCAGTCTGCTTGGTGGAACCCAACTAGCCCCAAAGACCCCCTGCTTGCCTAACGTCTGGCAAAATTACAGCTGAGACTGGGAACTCGAATTTCATTAATGTTTTCTATTAAAAGCACCATTTCCCATTAGTATTTGGAGGGTAATTGATCTCTAGAAGTGCAGCTCAGGGCAGGGCTGAAGGTGTTACCACAAAGGGGGAATGACTTCATAAGTCTCCCACTGAGCTGCCACAAAGCCAAATGAAAATATCTCCAGTTCCCTGGGGACCAGTAAGGCTATTAGATTAGAGCTCAGGTGAAGACTATTTGATGAGTCAGTCTTCAGAGGAAAAGCCACGGTTGTAATAGCATTGGCTTGCCAAAGATAAAACAGAATTTAAAAACCAGGTAATTTTAAAAGCCCCAAATCAAAGGTTGAGATACTTTATAAACTTTGAACAGTGCCAAAAGAAATGCCTGATCGTTTATTACATCTGGAAAAGAGTGTGTTTACAATGAGTAAAGAGGAATTCATGTAATTTTCATATTTTATGACTATCAATTCACTGAAGTAATTATACCCTCATTTACTTATTCTCTCAAAAATGGTATTTTTTAGGATTTTCTCTGTGCCAGGCACTACTCAAAGGTTTGTGATAAACTCTTATGGGACACTATGCTTACATACAAGTAACTCCTGTTCCAGTAGATTGTTCTTATGTAATAAGCAAAAGATATTTCCATTTAACAAAAGAAGAAACAAAATTTCAGACGAACTTGGTGAATTTCCTATGTCACGTCTCAAATAATTAAGAAAGCCTTTGGCTGGGCGCGGTGGCTCACACCTGTAATCCCAGCACTTTGGGAGACTGAGGCGAGTGGATCATGAGGTCAGGAGTTCGAGACCAGCCTGGCCAAGATGGTGAAACCCCGTCTCTACTAAAAAGAAAAAAAAATTAGGCATGGTGGTGGGCGCCTGTAATCCCAGCTACTTGGGAGGCTGAGGCAGGAGAATCACTTGAACCTGGGAGGTGGAGGTTGCAGTAAGCCAAGATCGTGCCACTGCACTCTAGCCTGGGTGAAAGAGTGAGTGAGACTCCGTCTCAAAAAAAAAAAAAAAAAAAAAAAAGCCTTTAAATAACTGTTGTGAGAATCTTCCCTCAAACCTTAACAACAGTCCCCAAAGATCTATATTTTATCACATAAGTCAGTAATTATCAACTTGATACTTCTATTCTCTCTCCCTGAATCACAGTAAATCTTGAAGTCCACAAAAAATGGAAGTCTTGAATTGAGGTCTGCATGTCTTCAGAATTCAGGATTATATGGCCAAACTCTGTTGCCTCCTCCTGTGCCGTGGGGTACAAGATGGTTAGCCTGAGAACCCGTGCATCCCAGATTTATGTGCACAAGTCATTTTTTATACAGACAAGAAACTCTTTCCTTGCACCAACAGAGCTAATCTTAGGGTCAGGAATATTCCTGAAGAATCTGGCAAAGACTCAAAGCTGGGGCGCTGGGTAGCTCATTTGAAGGTTGCATGAGACTAAATTTATTCCTCCCTCATGCTTAATTGGAGCATTCATTTCCCCGTTCTGGCTCCCTGATCTGAAAGAAACATCTATTACTGACATAGAGGAACAAAAGGACGTCTCCTCCAATTTGTTAATTATGTTCTGTTCTGTGAACAACAACAGGAGAATCAACCATTGAAAAGAGGAAAAAAAAACCAACTCCTGGTCCTTCTGTGAGGGGTGTGTCATCTGTATACAGGAAGAGATGGAGCTATCTCTTTAAACAACGAATATGTTGAGTTTTGGTGGGCTTTGTCAGTTTCATTTCCGCACATTGGCTCTAAGGGGCACACACGTAGCAGCTTGATTTGGCTGGGTCCCAGCGGCATTTTCATACTTGTAGGTGGAAGATGAGGAAGCCAAGCGGAGAGGAAGTGAGGGGCTCTGTATTCACAGATGATGACTTACTCCCGAAATGAATAATGTGATGGTTTCCAATGCTGTGTACCTGATTGATCTGTCCTTTTCTTGTCTTCAAGAATTCATGTATAAATGTTTTAGAAGATTGCTAATGTCATGCCAATGAATCTCTTCAAGTGCTCTTTTTTGGGGAATAAATAGCTATAGTCTCTTCTGCTTCGATGTTGCTCATCTTTTCTGATGGCATTGTGTGGAATCAACGGGCAACATTTCAACTTCCCGCATGCAGACACGAACCACACACACGCATACACACACACACATACACACAGACACACACTCTCACTCTCTCTCTGTTTAGAATTTTTTGCCCTCTAGCCTACTTTTTAAGGAGGCTCTTACCTAAGGATGGGCTTAAATTTTTTTTTTTTTTCAGACAGGGTCTCACTCTGTTGCCCAGGCTGGAGTACAGTGACAGGTTCACTGAAGTCTCTACCTCCTCAGGCTTAAGCAGATCCTTCTACCTCAGCCTCCTGGGTAGGTGGGGCTACAGGTGCACACCACCATGTCCGGCTACTTTTTAAAAATTTTTTAGAGACTGGGTTTCGCTATGTTGCCCAGGCTGTTCTCAAACTGCTGGGCTCAAGTGATCCTTCTGCCTCAGGCTACCAAAGTACTGAGATTAAAGGCATGAGCCACCACACTGGGCCAGGCTTTTATTTTATTTATTTATTTGCTTATTTATTTATTTTTTTTTTTGAGACCGAGTCTCTCTCTGTCACCAGGCTGGAGTGCAGTGGCCCGATCTCGGCTCACTGCAACCTCTTCCTCCCAGGTTCAAGTGATTCTCCTGCCTCAACCTCCCGAGTAGCTGGGATTACAGGCACAGGTCATCACGCCCAGCTAATTTCTGTGTTTTTAGTAGAGATGGGGTTTCACCATGTTGGCCAGGATGGTCTTGATCTCGTGATCCGTCTGCCTTGGCCTCCCAAAATGCTGGGATTACAGGCGTGAGCCACCGTGCCCGGCCGGCTTTCACTTTTTTAAAGCCTTACCTGTCTATTAACTTTCCTCAAGTGCATTCTTTTTAGACAACGGCAAGGCTGGAAATACAAAGGCTTTTTTTGTTTCAGCTCAATGCTGGGCATAAAACAGGCACTCATACTGTTAGTGAATGGAGGCCCCTGCCTGGGGAAACTCTTCCTTTCCTAAGCCGTAAGCAATAGGAAGCCTTACTCTTAAAAGAGAGGCACTACTATAGTGATTTGGGAAAGACTGTTGAGGATTACAGCTCAATCAACAGACAGAAGAACTCCATCTTAAGCAGAAGGCAATGCTAGTTTTATCTCTGAGGACCAACACTGTAACCTTGAACGAGGTTAAATTAACCTTGCTTAAATTTTCTGAGCCTCCATGTCCTCATCTGTAAAATAGGAACAATATTATTGCTTAGCTTGGAGAGCTGTTGTGAGAATTGGATGATACAAGCATGTATAGCGTGTATAGCACAGAGCCAGGCATATGAAAAACACTCTATAATTGAGCTCTTATAATTATTATAATACTCTGATAATTATTACAGTAACCCAGAGGCCTTCTGGTGGGGTAGAAAGATCACTGGCTTAGGAGCCAGAAACTGGGGAACCCGCATTTAAAGTATCATTCAAAAGGTAGCTGTGCCTATTACTGATTTCACGTATGATGTCCCATTCCCCAATGCAATTTAAATGGCAGTGGTGTTACACACATTCTCTCTCCCCACTAAGACGTGAGAAATAACGGGGAAAAGTCAAAGTTTGACAAAGAGTGTTTCCATTTAATTTATGGAGTAGGCTACCTTTATGACCTTTTTTTTTCTTAAAATGCTTGGGGCTGAGTTGGAGAAAAGCTAATAGGAACATTTTCTGAGGAAAAGTGTTCTACAAGCTTCACTGGAAGAAGATGGACCATCTTTCTCTTTTAAAAGGCTTTTTGTGAGCAGCTCCAGATGAGCCACAAAACAGCAAGATCCATCATTTGGGCAGGATGGTTTTGCAAGGACCCTCCAGCCCTAACCGTAGCCCTAAATGGCAATCTCTACTTATGTGGGACAATTTCATAGAAAAAGAGGAGAAGCAAAACCACTTTTCACAGAGTCTCAGTTTCTTACTAGATCTATAGAGAGCTCCCAAACTTTAGAAAAAAAGATAATAGAACGTTTCAATGGTTTTTATGATGACTTCCTTCCATTGCTTATTCCTTATTTTTACTCAGCATGTCTACACAGCATACGGCTATTTCCAACCTCATTCTTCTACCTAATATTATGGTGTATATATGTTTTCACAAATTGGCAGAGCTTACGCATTCATCATTTGTAATATTCCTCAGCTGTGAGATTTCCTACATGTCATAAAACTAGAATTATTGAATGATAAAGCTAGATAGATAGCTATATTATATCTCATAAAAGCCAACTTTTATGAAACCCTTACTATGTGTCAGGCACTGTGTTAAATGCTTTCCATACTCATTTCAAGTAACCATCCTAATAGTCCTATGAGGTAGGTCCTACCAAACTTTCCATTTCATAGATGAGGAAACCAAGGCTAAGATGGCTAAATGGCTTGTTCAGAGTCATATAGCTACCAGGGCTGAAATGCAAACCTACACTAAGCCACTAGGCTATGAGCTAGGTACCATATGGTTTTTATGTTTCAGAAGAGGATCCTTAGAGTCCCAAAGAGGTGTGTGAGTTTGCTCAGAGCCACCCAATTAGTTAGTGGCCATCAGGGCTGGAACCCAGTTTTCTGGACTCTAAGGTCCCTGATCTTTCCATTGTATACCTCATTCTGCCTCTCAGCATGAGAGGTGGGGCTCCTGTATCTTTTTGAAGCTCTCCTTTTCCTTCTCATGTTTGCAAAATTCACAGTGAATACTCTCATGTAACTGAAAATTAAATTTTTATGTAAATTACTTTTGACAATGGCACAGCTCCTGTTTTTTTCATTCCTGCTCCTTAAGTCATATTCTCTTGGGGAAGTCTACATTTCCCAAATTTTTAGGTTCAGAAAGTTCACTTGAAATCCACAAGAACTCTCCTGGAATCCTCAAATGACAGCTCTCAGGCACCAGATTCCCCTGGGACAAGAGAACTGTCCACTCCAGTTGATCAGTTGCTAGGGCTTTGTCTCTTTAGGAAGCAGAAGAAAACCCACATGTCCTCCCCATAATAGAACCTAAATGGAGAAAATGATCAGATAAGAAATGCACCCAGATTCAAATTAAGTTTAAACAAGCTAAACAATCTTGTTTTCAGCCTGTTCCTTCTACATATAGTCCTGGCAGATCCTTAAACAAATGGTCTCAATGTGCATTACCCACACCTGTCAAAATCGCATGTGATCCTAGCCAATCCAGATATCACTGTTTGCATGCCATGAGGAGAGTGATGGATGAGACCTGTTCCTTGTGTGTGGCATTGTTTATTTACTTTCCAGATGAATTCAGATTACGAGAAGCCTCTGGAATGGTTGTTATCCCTGTAATCTAATTTACTGCTCTGTGCACCTGATACGTTCTTTACCTTAGGTAATGTTAATTTTATTCTTCTGTGCGCTAAGCCTGGTGTTCACAAAAAGCCATAAGATGTAATTTATTTCTCCCCACTTGCCTTCTAAATATTAATTCTATTGAAAAATGGTTAAATAGATTATGTAAATCATGGTCATTGCAACCACTTTAAAGGTTAATCCTGCCATCATGTAGCCAGATAATTAATTTGAATTCGCTTCCAAGCACTAACTCTCAGGAAAGCCAAGGTGTAATGGGTTGGAGTACCCTATTATGGAGGTCACTGTGTGCCTGCCTGTGATTAAATTTGGAAGAAACAAATCTCAAAGTTTTGAGAACAAAAGTTCCTTCGGGCCATCGAAGAGCCCAGCACATCATAGGATTGGAATCACACTTTGTCCGGAATTTTAGGAGATAGGTTTTACTGACACGTCTTCTGCTTCCTTGAGTTTTCTTAAGTGCCACTTCCTTTATTGGGAAGCCAGGCATGGTTTGGTTTCAAGGATTCTGGGGCAGTCCTGCTGCTCCCAACAAAAAAACTTCACCCACTTTCCAAAAATTACAGCCGGAGGAGACCTTATCAGATGTTGTCATAGCTTCAACTGTCTGTTGCCACACCTTACGCCTGAGCACACCCACTGATCAGTCATCCATCCAAGGGTGTCAGCCACCAGCCTGGGTTGATAGAAGATCCCTCATTGCAAGCTGGCTTGGAGGATCTTCCCCTCTGGTTCATCCTCCTTAGTCAGAGGTGGGGCCGGGTGATGTACACTTGAAGCTTATTCAATTTTTCAGGCCTTCTTTAAGAAAAAGAGGGGCTGGGCGCGGTGGCTCACGCCTGTAATCCCAGCACTTTGGGAGGCTGAGGCAGGCGGATCACAAGGTCGGGAGATCGAGACCATCCTGGCTAACATGGTGAAACCCCATCTCTACTAAAAATACAAAAAAATTAGCCGGGCGTGGTGGCGGGCGCCTGTGGTCCCAGCTACTCGGGAGGCTGAGGTAAGAGAATGGCGTGAACCCAGGAGGCAGAGCTTGCAGTGAGCTGAGATTGCGCCACTGCACTCCAGCCTGGGTGACAGAGCGAGACTCCATCTCAAAAAAAAAAAAAAAAAAAGAAGAATAGAAAAATATAAATTTAAAATTAGATGCAAAATGAATATGTACTTAGAATGTGAAAATAAACCACAGTCATGAATTTTAAAAAGCTAACACTGTAAACATCACTGAAGCCATAAAATGACACTATTTTATTTTTTAATTTCCTGACATGCCTTTATAATACATTTTTCCTAATTTTCTGACTGCCTACTCTTTGGTCGCGTCTTTGTATGACAGCAATTTTGTAATACCATTTTCTATAGAGAGAATAGGAAGATAATTTTATCTTTACCATAGATCATCAAAATTTGTTTCTTACTATTGCTAGGTTGAATAAAAGATACCAACTTTACACAGCCATACTTGCTATTTTTAATACAGTTTCAGATTTAGGCCCTACAAAAAGAGGAATTCTGATCAATTCGATTTCATGTAATTTCCATCAAAAAAGAAAAAAATGTATATTTAAGGTGAGTTTATAGTTGTATATGTTGCATTATCGAGTATCTCCCTGACAAGAGAGAGCTTCAATTTTGACTAGGCATTGATGCGGACCAAGTCATTCTCTACTTCAATTTTACTCATGTGATGATTAGAACTTTCCTAGACTAGCTTGGCTCCAAACATCTCAAAGCTTATTTCTTCTCCACTATCCAGATACTTTCCTGCCAGTTGTGGTGAATTCATTTATATTCTGATGCAACTTCTGGCCTTGTATCTTAAGTTATGATGCTAAGTAAGTCAGCACAGTCAGTGTTAGGTATATTTCTGGAATTATTCCTCCACTGAAATGACTACACATGGAAGTGATTAAAATCATATACAGGCTGGGTGTGGTGGCTCACACCTGTAATCCCAGCACTTTGGGAAGCAAAGGTGGGCAGATCACTTGAGGTCAGGAGTTCGAGACCAACCTGGCCAACACGGTGAAACCCCCATCTCTACTAAAAATACTAAAATAAGCTTGGTGTGGTGGTGGGTGCCTGTAATACCAGCTACACGGGAGGCTGAGGTGAAAGGATCACTTGAACCCGGGAGGCAGAGGTTTCAGTGAGCCGAGATTAAGACACTGCACTCCAGCCTGGGCAACAGAGTGAGACTCTGTCTCAATTAAAAAGTAAAACCAAACAAAAAAACTACGTGTGTGTGTGTGTGTGTGTGTGTGTGTGTGTGTGTGTGTGTGTGTGTATCCCCTTAAACCCAGACTAAATGTATCCCCAACTCAAATTCCCCTTATCCAGCCCACGACCATTGCAGAGCCACCTGCTAGATGGGGAAGCAGGAGAGAAGGGAAGTTGTAATGAAAAGCCATTGACCTCCCCTCCAATTAAAACATCCCCCCTCCAATTTTGTTCTTCCTATGATCATCTGGATACATTGTTAGCACCTTTTTTTTATAAGCCCTGGAAAGGGGCCTTTGGGAATGACTTTCAAACTTCACTTTGACAGTCTCTCTGCCTCTATTTCTATTTCTCCATGGTGTCTAGTGGTTTCCCGTCTTCCTTCTGCTGCAGGCACCTAACCCTACTTGTCAAATTTTGAGCACCAAATTACATCTCTGCCTGCTTGAGCTCATTTCTTTTTGACTTTTCTATTGGATTACTTCTCTTGTCTACAAACCTCTCATTCTCTCTAATTATCTAGAACATTCCAAAGTGTCCCTCAAATTTTTTACCTTTTCCAGAAGCTGATATTTGTCACTGAAATCCACTGCTTCCATGATTTGTGGATATCTCAGGTGGGTGACACACGACACAGACTCTGCCTGCTGGTCACCTGCATGTTCGTCCAGGGTTTCTCCCCTACCAGCCTAGCTCAAAAGCCCTCTCGTTTGATCCCAAGGAATTGCTACAGCACATGCTGTTGGGGTGCCTGGTGTGGGGCTCCTAGAGGGCTCCTTTAAGCCTGCCTCTCCCTCTCTGGTAGTTGTAACTAGAAAGGGTATTCAGGAAAAAACACAAATTTCTCTCTAGGTCTTCTCAGCCTCCTTACCAGGCAGCAAGAGCTGAGAGAACTTGGAGTAGAATATTCTAAACCTTGCTCCTGTATCTGCTTTCTTGCCTTAAGAGAAAAATCTTTTCCCCCAGATTCTGCTGTCTTTACACTCATTCTCATCTTACCGATCTCTTTAAAATTTCAGTCATTCTCGGAGACCATAGGGCAGAACGCAAAGAACATAACATAGGAGTCAAATGGAGCCGAACACTTCAGTCACTCACGTGATGGCTGTGTGTCCTTGGGTAAGTTCTGTAGCTTCTCTGAGCCCCAACTTCCTTATAACATCATTGAAGTCCTAACAGCTGTGAGAATGACACATGATGCCTGCAAATTTCATAAAACAGTGCTTGGTGGTTAGTAGTTGGTTTTGAAAAGGTTATGCTAAAATTCCAGGGTGATACTTTTCTAGGTAGTCCCTTTTTGCAGGTAGCTTTCAGAGGTAAAACCTCAGACCCCAACACGGTCCACCTCTGCATTTTTTTTTTTTTTTTTTTTGACATGGAGTCTCGCTCTGTGCCCAGGCTGGAGTGCAGTGGCGTGATCTCGGCTCACTGCAAGCTCCGCATCCCGGGTTCACGCCATTCTCCTGCCTCAGCCTCCCGAGTAGCTGGGACTAGAGGCTCAGGACACCACGCTCGGCTAATTTTTTGTATTTTTTAGTAGAGACCGGGTTTCAC
Organism: Homo sapiens; assembly: GCF_000001405.40. Taxonomy (NCBI): domain Eukaryota; kingdom Metazoa; phylum Chordata; class Mammalia; order Primates; family Hominidae; genus Homo; species Homo sapiens. The sequence goes on from NW_018654717.1 coordinate 3,947,959, forward strand.
CGTGTTAGCCAGGATGGTCTCGATCTTCTAACCTCGTGATCCGTCCGCCTCGGCCTCCCTAAGTGCTGGGATTACAGGCGTGAGCCACCGCGCCCGGCCTTTTTGTTTGCTTGTTTTTTGAGATGGTTTCTTGGTCTGTTGCCCAGACTCTAGTGCAGTGGCACGATCTCGGCTCACTGTAACCTCTGCCTCCCAGGTTCAAGCGATTCTCATGCCTCAGCCTCCTGAGTAGCTGGGACTACAGGTGCCTGTCACCACGCCCAGCTAATTTTTGTATTTTTAGTAGAGAGGAGGTTTCTCCATGTTGGTCAGGCTGGTCTCGAACTCCTGACCTCAGGTGATCCACTCACCTTGAACTCCCAAAGTGCTGGGATTACAGGCGTGAGCCACCGCGCCTAGCCTGCCTGCTTTTCTTTTTTGTGAAGAGTATAACATACTTCTCTGGCCCTGTGTGTATTGATCATATCTATAGATGGGGCTGTAAAAATTTTTGGGGTCTGGTGAACACAATTCTGTCGGTTCAGCCACGAAGTGCCACACAGCCTGACTACAGAGAATAAATATTCATTTGCCTTCCCTTAATTTTAAAAGAGGTTGATATTATTACGAACAAGCCCACTGGTGACAGCACAAACATCAGCATTGTCTGCTGGGTGAGGCGGCGGCGGAATGTTCTGCACATCTCGTCTCGCAGGGAATGTTCCAAGCATTCAAATGCAAATGAGCACCGAGCCAGCCTCCACTGATTTGCATTCGCTCTCCGGAAACCTGGTTTTTCCCTCTCAAATTTACGTTATGTGCAGATACGATACTGCACTGATGGGGCCAAAATAACGTTTTGCCTTTTCCACTCTGTCCTTTTTATCTGGTTTTGCAAATAATCCCCCTAAACCCCATTCTTTCACTATATTGTTTAATTTTGCCCTCATTTTGCCAAAATTCCCTTGTGCTGTGCTCCCGCCAGCCCAGCCATCCACTCTGGCTTCATTCTGTTTCCCAGCTCGCTCGGTGCTTTTCCTTCTCCTGTGGGATTTTGCAGCTGTTCTCTTGCATTTTTTTTCCCACCGTGACCTCTTGCCCAAGTTCTACAAAAAGCACGTGAGAGGCAGCCGATAGTGGACACATGTGGAGGACCAGGAAAGCTGGATATGCCTAGAATCAGATGCCAGACCTTGAGGGATTCAAGCCTCCGTTAAAGCAAGTTTTATTGATGTCTCATATACATAGAGAAAAGTGCATAAACCATGAGTCTGGATGAATTTTGGCAACGTGAGCTCACCTGTGTAACCAGCGCCCATACCAAGAAAAGAAACATTAGGGCTGGACCTGGTGGCTCACGCCTGTAATCCCAACACTTAGGGAGGCTGAGGCGGGCAAATCACCTGAGGTCAGGTGTTCAAGACCAGCCTGGCCAACATGGCGAAACCCATTTCTACTAAAAATACAAAAAAAAATTAGCTGGGCTTGGTGGCACGCACCTGTAATCCCAGCTACTCGGGAGGCTGATGCAGGAGAATCACTTGAACCTGGGAGTCAGAGGTTGCAGTGAGCAGGGATCGTGCCACTGCACTCCAGCCTGGGCAACAGCGAGGCTGTCTCAATAAATAAATAAATAAATAAATAAATAAATAAATAAATAAAAGGAAAAGAAAAAAGAAAAGAAGTAGAACAGTAGGACTTTGCTAGAAAGTCATCACTTCCCTCTCCCAAGGGTAACCACTTTTCTGACTCTTAGACCGTAATTTTGCCTAATAGTGATCTTGACCTAATAGAATAATACAATATGTACTTTACCGTGCCGCTGCTTCTATTTTGTTTGTAAGGTTTATCCATCCTGCTGCTCCTCTCACCTCTGTGCTATCTCCTGTTGCGTGGGTATCTTGGAGTTCGTTTATCCATTCTGCCTGAAATGGGTTTTCGGGGTGCTTTCTGTTTAGGGCTACGAACCTTCTTTCATGTGTCTTTTGGTGAGTACATGGATACATTTCTGTTGGATATGTGCTTAAAAGTTATGCTGTTGCCTCATAAGTAGACTTGACGGCTTTTCATGAGACTGTTTTGATGACAGGGGTATTTTGAGGAGGTCCGAAGAACTTTGGTAATTAAGTGACTTGTAAAATTACAGGTTTGTTTTGTGCTATGGACTGAATTGTGTCCCCCCAAATTCATATGTTGAAGCTCAAACCCCAATATGACTGTTTGGAGATAGGCCTTTTAGGAGGTAATTAAGGGTAAGTGAAGTAAAAAAGATGGGGTCTTAATGTGGCAGAATTGGTAGCCTTTTAAGAGGAGGAGGAGGAGAGAGTTTGCTTTCTCAACATGCACACACCAGGACAAAGCCCTGTGAGCACACAACAAGAAGGTGGCCTTCTGCAAGCCAGGAAGAGAGCCCTCACCAGAACGTGACCCAGCCAGACCTTGATCTGGAACTTCTAGTCCTCAGAACTGTGAGAAAATAAATTTCTGTTGTTTAAGTCAGCTAGCCTGATACGGCAGCCTGAACACACTGACATTTTGTTCTGTTTTGTTTTTTGAAGTTGGAAAAGTACCTTTTTTAAAAAAATTATGGGCTAGGCATAGTGGTTCACACCTGTAGTTCCAGCACTATGGGAGGCTGAGGCGGGAGGATTACTTGAGCCCAGGAGTTCAAGACCAGACCAGAATGGGTGACAGAGCAAGACCCTGTCTCTACAAAGAAAAAATTCACCAGGTGTGGTGGTACCTCATGGGAATTACATGAAATAGAACTGATCAGAATTCCTCTGTTTGTAGGGCCTAAATCTGCAACTGTGTTAAAAATAGCAAGTATGTCTGTGTAAAACTGGTATCTTTTATTCAACCTATCAATAATACTTAGGCGGCTGAGGTGGGAGGATCAGTTGAGCCCAGCAGGTCAAGGCTGCGGTGAGTTGTGACTGCAGCACTGCACTCCAACCTAGGCAATAGAGTGAGACCATATTTAAATATTATTAAATTTTTTGTGGTAAAATACACACAACAAAATTTGCCATCTTAACCATTTTATTTTTTTATTTTTTATTTTATTTTATTTGAGACAGAGGCTTGCTCTTTTGCCAGGCTGGAGTGCAGTGGCACGATCTCGGCTCACTGCAACCTCTGCCTCCCAGGTTCAAGCAATTCCCCTGCCTGAGCCCCTCGAGTAGGTGGGATTACAGGCACCCGCCTCGTGCCCAACTAATTCATCTTAACCATTTTTAAGTATATAGTTTAATAGTATTAAATACACTCATAATGTTGTTCAACCATCACCTCCATTCATCTACATAACTCTTTACCTGGTAAAACAGAAACTCAACACCCATTAAATAGTAACTCCTCATTCCCCCTCCCTTCATTCTGACAACAACCGTTACACTGCCTGTCTGTATGATTTTGATTACTCTAATCACCTCATTTAGGTAGAATCATACAATATTTTATCCTTTTGTGTCTGGCTTATTGCACTTAGCATAATGTCCTCATAGTTCATCCATGTTGTAGAACATGTTGGAATTTCTTTCCCTTTTAAGGCTGAATAATATTCCATTGCATGTATAGACCACATTTTGCTTATTCATTCCTCTGTCAATAGACACTTGGGTTGCTTCCATATCTTAGTTATTGTAAATAATGCTGCCATAAACATACGTATACAACTATCTCTTTGAGACCCTCTTTTCAATTCTTTCGGAGTGCATAGTCCGAAGTAGAATTGCTGCATCATATGGTGATTCTATTTTTAATTTTTTAAAGAACCTCCATACTATTTTCCACAGTGGCTATAACCATTTTACATTCCCACCAACAGTGCACAAAGGTTCCAATTCCTCCACATCCTTGCCAACACTCATTTTCTGTTTTTTTTGTTTTGTTTGGTTTGTTTTTTAAGAGTAATCATCTTAATGGTAAGGAGTAGGTTGTATCTTACTGTAGTTTTGATTTGTATTTTTCTCTTTTTCTTTTTTTTTTTTTTTAGATGGAGTCTACTTGCTCTGTCACCTAGGCTGGAGTGCTACGGCCCGATCTCGGCTCACTGCAACCTCCATCTCCTGCGTTCAAGTGATTCTCCTGCCTCAGCCTCCCAGGTAGCTGGGATTACAGGCGCGCACAGCTATGCCTGGCTAATTTTTTTTGTATTTTTAGTAGAGATGGGGTTTCACCACGTTGGCCAGCCTGGTCTCAAACTGCTGACCTCAGGTGATCTGCCCACTTCGGTCTCCCAAAGTGCTGGGATTACAGGCGTGAGCCACCGTGCCAGGGCTATTGATTTGTATTTCTCTTATCATGGGTGATGGAAAAGTATGATTTTCACATTGCTAGTAATTTTCTATTATTTATGGACCACTTTCTTCATTTGGGGAAAATCACCAACGGGCCCTTGGTCAGATAGATGTGAAGCAATCACTGCCCCCTGTTTGAGGGGGCCCTGATGTCACCCTATTGGCTGCAATGCAGATGTTTCATGTAAGATATGGGTTCAGTGCATTCTTAGCAGGACTGAGTCTTTGCAGACTTGAAAAATGATCGTCTGTCTTGCCTCTAATTTGAATTTAGAGTAGATTGGTCCTAAAAATTGTTGGCTTTGGGAAGATGGGTGATCCTCTGTGGAAGAGGGACTCAGAAAGGATCAGCCTCTACTGAGGGCTGCTCGGTGTCTTTACTCCGTGTCATGCACTGTGTTGAGCACTTTACAGGGACTATTTCATTTAATTGGCATAAAACCCATTTAAGCTGAGTATTATTATTATCCTCATTTTATAGATGAGCAAAATAAAGCTTAGTGAAATTAAGTAACTTATCCAAGATCATAGAACTAGTGAGTCACAGGGCTAAGATCCAAGATCAGTCTGATTTCAGAATCTTTAACCAGTGTGCCCTGCTCACATGTACTCATACACATGTGTGCACATGGGCCAGGAGAGAGATGCAGATTTAGTCTTCCCTTTGCTGATCATGGAGGAAAGATTCTAGAAGTACCTAAGACTAAGTTCGGATGTTGCAATTTCATGGGTGTGCCAGAGGTTCCACTGATGTGCAGGTTATTCTCTCTCTGCCCCACTCCCTTCCCCAATCCATTCTCTGCCCATCTCTACTCTGTTCTATGCCATGGGACACTGATCCCTGTAGCCTGCATCTCTACAACCTCTTGCTGGCTGACTGCCAGGTCGATTTGATCCCAGGAGACAGTGGCAGGGCATCAGAGGTTGGAGGGAGAGGACAAATGGAAACCTCTTTTCATGACTTCAGCATCTGCCAGGTGGCCTCGCCTTTGCCTTCCAGCTCTCACCCAGCTCTGGTAACTCTATTTGTTCCTTGTCTTTCGAATTTTGGGGTGCTAATAACTTCCAACGTTGCTAATCTCTGCATATCTTTAATCTCTGATGTGTTTCCATAATCCTGCTCACACATCTGTAAATAGTTCTTCATAAAATCTCTCCATTTGAGGAATGAAGAGAGTCTTCATTCACCTGTGATGAATTCTGTGTCCTCTCAGAACCCTGAAGGATACACATGATTTTAGTTAAGTCAAATGAGCCAGACTTTGGCAAAAGCACTGTTAACAATTGTTACTGTATTCCTTGGGCTTGGGAGCAAGGTCACTGTCAATCAGCTTGGTACTTCAGAGGATGGGAGTCTTGGACTTCCTCCTCTCTGGAGCCAGGGAAGTTTGAGGTCTGGACTGGAAGAAAGAGAGCCAAGGTCTCTTTGGTGGGCAGTCATCTGGCCCCTGCAACATGGTGATAGGTGGACAGAGATACTAGGCCAGTAGGAAATTCCTCATGGAAAGTCATGGTCCATGGACTCACACCAAATCAGGCTCAGATTAGTTAACAGTGGCTCAAAGATAGGGAAAAAACACACACTTTTCCTTTTTTTTTTTTTTTTTTTTTTTTGAGATGGAGTCTCACTCTGTTACTCAGGCTGGAGTGCAATGGCGTGATCTCGGCTCACTGCAACCTCCGTCTCTTGGGTTCAAGTGATTCTCCTGCCTCGACCTCCCAAGTAGTTGGGATTACGGATGCCTGTAATCTTTTGTGTTTTTAGTAGAGACAGGGTTTCACCATGTTGGCCACGCTGGTCTTGAACTGCTGACCTCGGGTGATCCACCTGCTTGGCCTCCCAAAGTGCTGGGATTACAGATGTTAGCCACTGTGCCTGACCTCATTTTTAACTAGTTCAGTGGGAACTTATGATTTTGGCACCCCACCCTGCCACGCCCCCCCAAAAAACCTTACAAAACCAGAAAACAAAAATACTGAAAAAGATGATACTCCAAATTTAAGGTTCAACCAAACATATATGTATATATTTAGTTGTCATCTTTGGGGTTTGGGGCATCAGTGCAGTCTGCTACAACTTTTGTTCACAATTGTCAGCATGTGATTGCAGAAGAACAGGAGGAATTCTTTCCTGATGTATCCTCTGCAGTAGACATGCTCTTTTTCTGCCTGCTCTGCCTCTTTTCCTTTGGAACTCTCCCACACTTCATATGATTTGTGGGTCCTGTCAGTCAAGAGTTCTTACTTCCTCTGCCATGAGGGCAGGTTCACAACCCAGTCTGACTGACAGGATTGCTCTGGAACTGTGCATGCTCTAGGGACAGACCTGAGGCCAGTCAGAATCCTGCATTAATGTAGATCTTGGGAAAGGAGCTTTAAGAGTCGAGAAGGCTGGAAGCTGCCCCAGCCATCTTGCCTCACAAAGAGAAAGTCTTTCAGATAATAAAGCCAAACAGAGTGAGAGATGGAATGAGAAGAGTGCCCTTGGCTGTTATTAGACCCCCTGAAACCAGTGATGCCTGTAGCCCGACCCTGGGACATTCATTCATGTGAGCCAACTATTTCCCCATTTAAAATTAAGTGGCCAGGTGCAGTGGCTCACACTCGTAATCCCAGCACTTTGGGAGGCTGAGGCAGGAGGA